>NC_000019.10:43301480-43604510 GCF_000001405.40 Homo sapiens | reverse complement strand
GTGCTCATAATAATCCTTAGAGGCTACCTTTATGACTATTTTATAACTGCTACAACAGGCCAGGCATGGTTGCTCATGCCTGTAATCTCAGCAGCTTGGGAGGCCAAGGCAGGTGGATTGCCTGAGGTCGGGAGTTTGAGACCAGCCTGGCCAACATGGTGAAACCCCATCTCTACTAAAAATACAAAAACTTAGCTGAGTGTGGTGGTGCGTGCCTGTTGTCCCAGCTACTTGGGAGGCTGAGGCAGGAGAATCGCTCGTACCTGGGAGGCGGAGGTTGCAGTGAGCCCAGATTGCACCACTGCACTCCAGCCTGGGCAATAGAGCAAGACTCCGTCTCCAAAAAAAAAAAAAAATCTGCTACAACAGAGGCACAGGGAGGTTGAGTTACCTGCCAGAGGTCACAAAGCCAGTAAGCAGCAGAGCCCTGGTTTGTACCCAGACAACTGGATGCAGGTGCATCCACTCTTAACCACTAAGCCACACACCAGAAATGGCAGTCTAGTGCCCACAGCCACCATCTGACTTAGAGGAGTGTATCTGGTCTCCACAGAGCTATTGAATTTTTTTAAGTTACGTTGGTTACCAATGTTGAAAAATGGGTAATTTCACATTTAAAAAAATTGAAGTTTCTGGACTGTCTCGAAAATTGTGAGATCTATATTGCTGAACCCCCAGTTCCCATGGGGATAGTGGTTTGTTGGTGCTGAGAAGGAGTCACTTTCTGTAGGGGAGGCATTCACTCTTATGTGCCCAGTCACCAATGCCTCACATCTGGACACCCCTACCCTGCCTGCTTGGCCCTGAAGAGCATCTGCTTTTTTTTTTTTTTTTTTTTTTTTTGAGACGGAGTCTCGCTCTGTCGCCCAGGCTGGAGTGTAGTGGACATGATCTCAGCTCACTGCAGCCTCTGCATTCTGGGTTCAAGCGATTCTCATGCCTCAGCCTTCTGAGTAGCTGGGACCACAGGCGCGGTACTACCACCCCCGGCTAATTTTTGTATTTTTAGTAGAGATGCAGTTTCACCATGTTGGCCAGGCTGGTCTCGAACTCCTGACCTCAAATGATCCGCCCGCCTTGGCCTCCCAGAGTGCTGGGATTACAGGCGTGAGCCACCGTGCCTGGCCAGCATTTACATTTTTGACACCTATTACAGGATTTCAGACCAAAGCATTTTTCAAAACCCACGTTTCTCATCCCAGAATCTCCAAACCTGACATTGATACACTCTGAACTGAGACTTTCCTAGCCACTATAGCTTAGCATCATGGAACCTCAGAATCATCAGCAGAAATTCCAGGCTCATTAAAACAACAGAGTCTTAGTCCGTTTGTGCGGCTGTAACAAAATACCTGAGACTGGGTAATTCATAAAGAGCAAAGGTTAATTCCTCATAGTTCTGGAGAGTGGTTAAGTCCCAGGTCAGGGAACCAGCAGATTTGGTGTCTAATTAAGGGTTGCTCTCTGCTTCCAAGTTGGTGCCTTCTTGCTGCATCCTTACACAGTGGAAGGTGGCAGAAAGGGATGAATGCTGTGTCCTCAGATGGTAGGAGAGATGGAAGGGGAGAAGGCCTAGCTACTTCCCTTGGGTCCTTTTCTAAGGGCACTTATCTTGTTCATGAGGGCAGAGCCCCTGTGACTTAACCATCTCCTAAAGGCCCCATGTCTGAATACTATCACATGGGGTCTTAGGTTCCCAACATATGAATATTAGGGGGACACATACATTCAACTATAGCACATGGATAAGTGTGATCATAGGTTTTGTTTCCTGGAGCAGCACCCCATCCTGTCTTCTGCCATAAGACAGGACTTCTAAGGACAAATATAGAGAATTTCCATCCATTGGCAAATATTCCTAAGGATCACAAGAGGCACTATCAATCAGGAGTTGGGTCATTCAGCCAGCACCCATTCAGGATATGGAGTCAGGCCAGGCATTCCCCAAAGAGGATTTAATACAGGGAATAGTTACACAGGTGTTAGAAGGCTGAAAGTCAGCCAGGCACGGTGGCTCACGCCTGTAATCCTAGCACTTTGGGAGATCGAGGTGGGCGGATTGTTTGAGCCGAGGAGTTCAAGACCAGCCTGAACAACATGGTGAAACTCCATCTCTACAAAAAATTAGCTGTTCATAGTAGTGCACACCTGTAGTCCCAGCTACAGGGAGGGAGGTGGAGGTGGGAGGATCATCTGAGCCTGAGGAGATCAAGGCTGCAGTGAGCCAAGATCTTACCACTGCACTCTATCCTGGGCTACACAGCGAGACCCTGTCTGAAGGGGAAAAAAAAAAAAAAAAAAAAAATGAAGGCCAGGTGCAGTGGCTCACACCTATAATCCCAGCACTTTGGGAGGCCCAGGCGGGCAGATCACTGAAGGCCAGGAGTTTTGAGATCAGCCTGAGCAACATAATGAAACCCCGTCTCTACTAAAAATACAAAAAATTAGCCAGTTATAGTGGTGCACACCTGTAATCCCAGCTACTCGGGAGGCTGGGGCTGGAAAATTGCCTGAATCCAGGAGGCGGAGGCTTCAGTGAGCTGAGATCACACCACTGCACTCCAGCCTGGGAGACAAAGTGAGACTCAAAAAAGAAAAAAGAATTTAAGAGTGCACAGTTTACTAACATGATGGCAATGGTGGTGCAGGTTGGGCCGCAGGAGTCCTGTTGACCCATTTTAAGTTTGAGATCTCCATTTGTTTATTCAAGTGGTTATATCTTATGTCTGGGGTTTGGGCTGCAGATAAAGATGTGGATGTCATCAGTGATGCTATTTAGAGAATCTGTGATGTCTGGAGAGAACAGGAAGCCCAGGGTGTACTTGGGCAGGCTGCTATCTTGGGAGAGCATGTGGGATTAGATACTTAGGTTTGGTTTAGGGGAGCCACTGTGGGGGTAGTGTGACAATATCTGGGTTGGAAACTTCGGAGCATTCACCAGGAGCCAGAGGAAATATCTGGCTCTTCATGAAGTTGGTATCTTGAAAAAAACTGATGGTCTACTAACTCCAACCAGTCTCCCCATAAGTCACCCCAGCAAAGAGATCCAGGGTAGCCCTGCCCCAAAACACACACACACACACATACCCTACCTACCTACCTACCTGGTAAAGATGGTGGTTCCCAGGATGGAAATTTCTGCTTCCAGACTCAGAGTAGGTTGAATGTCTTATTAGACCAGGGGTTGGCAAACTTCTCCTGTAAAGGGCTAGATGGTAACTATTTTAAGTTCTGTAGGCCTTAAAATCTCTGTTGCAACTATGCAGATCTGCTGTTCTAGGCAAAAGCAGCCATCAACGATACATAAGTGAATGAGTATAAAACTGTTCAAATAAAATTTTATTTGCAAAACCAGGCAGCAGGCTAGAGTTGGCCATAGTTTGCAGACCCCTGTCTTAGGCTGTAAATTCTGTTGCATGTGACAGAGACCCAAAATAATGGTGGCTTAAATAAGATAGAAGTTTCTTTCTTAGATAGCAATATGGAAGTGGGCTGGTATGGTGGCTGTGCTCCTTGAAATTGACGAGAGACCCAGGCTCCTATCTTGTTGCTCTGTCTTCCCACGTGTTGCTCTTATCCTTATGGTCTGAGATGGCTGGATACCATTTCCGTATTACAGTTAGGAAGGTGGAAAAAAGGTATGTCCCTTTCTTTTCTTTTTTTTTAAACAGTCTCACTCTGTCACCCAGGCTGAAGTGCAATGGCACGATCTTGGCTCACTGCAACCTGTCTCCCAGGTTCAAGCAATTCTCCTGCCTCAGCCTCCCAAGTAGCTGGGATTACAGGCATATGCCACCACACCCGGCTAATTTTTGTATTTTTGGTAGAGACAGGGTTTCACCATGTTGGCCAGGCTGGTCTCAAACTCCTGACCTCAGGTGATCCACCGGCCTCAGCCTCACAAAGTGCTGGGATTACAGGCGTGAGCCACTGTGCCCAGCCGTCCCTTTCTTAAGCTTGACTGTTCTACCCAGGAATTTAGCCAGAAATCAGTCACAAGGCCACATCTAGCTGCAAAGGAATCTGGGAAATGCAGTCTTTTCAGCTACTGTGTGCCTAGCTAAAAACAGAGACAGTGATCAGTCTACCACATCCACCTCACCTGTGGGCTTTAAAAACATCCCTCAACATAAACAGAGTCTATAAGTATTATATGCAAGGCATCGACCATTGTCTGCAGGTGCAGGGCAGGTAACTAAGGGGGTAAAACTGGCCTGGTGGGACTCATCTCCAGTTGAGGGTGACACCCACTGCTCCCTCCAGCCTGTTGTAACTTCTGTCCTGCCCCTGCTGACAATGTCAGCCTAGGTTGGGCCTTTCAAGAGAGCTGAAAATAGGATCTTAATGGGAAATCTCCCAGTGTTGGCCAAATAAAACCCGAAACAGAAGGTATCTCTGTTTGATTCCAAACCAGTTTCCCCACAAAGCGAGGCCAACTCTGGCCTGAGTTCCCCCACCTGCCCACACCCTTATGTTCTCTGGAAATTCCCACTCAAAAGCCAGAGCTCCCTGTTTAGACATTTTAATATGGATGTTTTCTGTTTTTAGATACTATTCCTGTTAGCTTATTCATACCATTTCACCTACACATATGAAAAAAATATTTCAGGACTAGAATGATATACAAAATTATTTCAACGAGACATAAATTATCGGGGGACTAGTGCCATCTAGTGCCATGGCCCCTCTAAGTGAGGATGGCAGGGGGTGGAAAAGAGACACAAGGACTCCAATTGCTACCCCCACTCAATTGGGGTCCAGCTCCCAACTTTGCTGCCCCATCCCCAAAAGCCCAAGTTGCTCCACATCTGGAACTCACCTGGTGGCATTACAGGCCAGCAACACCTCACCTTTCCTGCCCCCATTCAGGCAAAGGTCCAGGGCAATTTGCTCCCATAGCCCATGGCATCCATCTGGGAAGAATGAAGGGTGATGGCACAATCTGCAGCTAGGTATTTAACTGGGAATAAGGGAGACACAAACCATTTCTCTCCCGCACTCCCTTCCCATTTTTTTTTTTTAACAAAAGATCTCATTATTATCTGATTTCACTGTCTCACGAAGGCCCTGTGTGCTCCAAAGACTGAAGCTCTAAATAAGAATCTTCTGGGTCCTCTTTATTAAGAGCCCTCTGCCTTCCCAGGGGAGGGAAGCAAATCCTTCAGGGCCCCCAGAGTTCCTGCACCCCATATCATGGGTGAGTCCTACCAGCCACAGAGCCACCCGTCACCGTGGAGAGGCTTAAGCTGCACTCAGAGCTCCCCCCGGGCATGCCGAATGTAGTGTTGATGCAGCCCTGCTTCCTGAGCAAAGTCCTGACCGCACTCTGTGCAGGCGAAGGTGCCAGGAGGGGCACGGACCTCATGCATCTGGCGGTGCCGCCTCAGAGAAACAGCCTGCCCAAAGGTCTTGCCACAGTCAGGACAAGGGAAGGTGGGCTGGGCAGTAGTGGTTGCAACCGGCAGGGTGGGCTTGGCGGCTGGACCGTGGCTGCGCTGGTGGGTGATTAGGGCTTTGGAGGAGGGGAAGGAGCGGGCGCAGGTGAAGCAGATGAAGAGGACCCCCTGCAGCTTCTGGGCCACGAAGTCCGCTGGGTGCTCCCGCTTCATGTGACGCTCCTGGAACTTGGAATCTGCGAAGGTGATGAGGCAGCGGGTGCACTTCGGGGCCCCCAGGTGGCCTGAGGAATGTGGGGGAGAGGTCAGGGGAGGCCAGCAGGAGTCTCCAAGACCTCTTCCTGAACCCCAGAATCACACCAACAATTAACATTGAATGTGTTATGTGCTAGGTTCTATGCTAATGCTGGACAACCAAACAGGAGAACTGTTCTTGCACCTATTTTATGGATGAGCAAACTGAGATTCAAAGAGGTTAGGCAAGTTGCCCATAGTCATGAGGCTAGGAAAGGAAATGGTGGAGCCAGGGTTGGAACCCAGAGAGTCAGCCTGCCCAACAGAGGGGTATGGTGATTACAGCACAGCCTTTGGAGCCAGACTGCTTGGGATTGAATCTCACCTCCACCACTTCCTAGGCAATTACACCAGTTTCCTTATCTGGAAAATGGGCTAATAACAGTATCTACTCCATAGGACCGTTGGAAGGAATAAATGAATTGCTGTACAGTCATTTGCAATTATGACTAATGATACAGAGAAATCCAGCCCGACATCCAGGATCTGGCCTGGTACTCACAGCTAGACCTTGGTGTTCTGTTGAACATAAATTTTCACAGAATATCAAGGACAGACAAGGCCACGCTGTGACTAAAATGAATCAAGACAAGACTACATCATCATAATGTCTGAGCACAGACAAAATATGAATACTGTCCAAGCAGAAAAATGACCAAACATCCTCCTATCCTGGCTAATGTGAATGTCTGCTGCTGCTTTATCAGTCAGAGCTTGAGCCTCGCCTCCTTCCTTCCTCCTTCTGGGTAAGATTTATTACGATAGCCAATCATAGAATTGCCCCTGCTTCCTGGTAGCATCCAATCCAGAGCAAAACAATTTTGCTTGAACCTTCCCCAAAATCACCACCCACAAGCCCAAATCCTGTGTCGTTTTTACCATTCTTAGTGAGACACCCCACAGTCCCCCCATGGTCTGTGTTCATTGCAGTGAGAAACCCAACGTGTTCAACTGCAGGTGTGTTCCTGGTAGTCTCTGGCTCAAGGGCATTGAGACTACAGCTCTTGTTACAAATACCTCTCTCTGCCTCAGTTCCCAGTTTAAAGGGCCTATTATTAGAAGGACTCAATGAGATAATGAATGTTAAAATGGTTCATAATATGAGAATAAATACACCTAGCTCATAATAAAACACTGAGCAGGAGGTGTTGCTATTACATGTCAAACTGGCTACCATCATTAACCCCTAGCTTTCCCCTTTGCTGCAGTTAATCCCATACCCACCCTGTGAGGTGGGAAGTACCACCCTCTTTTGACAGTCAAGGAAACCAAGGCCCAAGTTACACTGAAAGTCTAGGGCAGAGTTGGGACCAGAATCTTGGGGTTTCTCTCCCAATAGAACCATTCCCAGCCACATCTCCAACCCAAGCCTCTCCTGGAAGCCACCCTATCCCTCTGAATGCATAAGCATTGCAATCCTGCTTATGTGGCCAGAGGAGGGTGAGTACTCTGGCCACATAAGCTGGTGTGAGGAGATGCACTTCCTGCTAGAGCAGCTCAGGGACCATTACAGCCCCTTCTCAACAGGCAAAACTCTGTGGCGCCTTGGACACCGAAGTGCCACAGAGATCTTAGCATCAGCTCCTGCACCCCACCCTCCTCTAGCCCGCCAGCCATGTGTACTCACAGATGTTGCCTCCTGGGCTCTGGGGACTTCTCTCCTTGGGTGAATCCTGCTGCTTCATGTTCTCTTCAGGGTTCGGGTCCTCCATGGTGCTGGGACCCTTCTAGTCAGGAGAGGAGCGTGCATAAGTGAAGCTGTTCATCTGTTACCAGTCTTAGAGGGCACCCTAAGTCTATGACCTTTGACATCGCCAGAGGCTCTCCTTGCCTGCCTTTGACCCCTACGACATACTATCTCCTTGAACTCTAATTGATGGAGTTCTTGCTAAAAGAAGCTTCAAACCTCCCAAAGGACTGGATTTCCTGGGTTTGGGACTCCCCTAGAGTCTTCTCACTGGTGTGACCTATGACCTGCTGCATCAAACTAACTCCCTGAACTCAGCGTGGAAGCCTTGATCTTTGACACCAGCGTCATCCCAATCTCAAGTGTCTTGGGGCAGGTAGTGATACCCACCCTTTATCCCAGTTCTTCCCGGGAAACATCCTCTGACATCCTGTGATTTTTGTTCCGCCCAGAGCCCCCGCCTCCCACGCGCGCTTGCAGCTGCTATCCCGCTACCCTCAAGCGCTGCCTACAGGTTCCTGCTCCCAGGCCTCAGTTTTCCTCCTTACAGCAGAGGGCTGCCTTTCGCTGCGCCTGTCAGCCGCTGGCTACAGCGCCGCCCCAGAGAGAAGTGGGATAGGGACCACTCAGTCTCAGGGCCCCCGTGGTTTCCGCGCCCTTTTGCCAGATGAGCCTCTCGGAGCCGAGATCCCGGATTTGCCATCCGGCAGTAGTATAGTCGCACCAGCCCGGTCCTCAAAATAACGGGAGGGGTCCTTCTCTGCCCTATGGCGCGTTTGATGACGTTCAGCCTCCCGCGGCTTAGCTAGCTAAGCCTTTTGCGCATGCGTGGGTAGGCTCTCGTGGCGCGCAGGCGCGTTGACTCATTCATTGTTCTAGGCCCTGAGGCCGCCAAAGAGGGGCGTGCACACTTCGGCCGTTCTGCGCAGGCGCGGCGAAGGGCTGGGTCTCTGCTGTCGGCCTTCCAAGACACACCCCCTTGGGAGAGGGAGTGACGTCAGGTTAAAGCTACCGGGACGGGTCCCGGCATCTCTAAATCACCGCTCCCTGGCCTCTTCGGCCTCCGTCCGCCGCGGCCCAGGGGCCGGGCTTCTCAGCTGCTGACCTACTGCCACCGACTGCGCTCTCTCCCGTGGGTCGGCTTTTTGCTCGGTTGGTGATTTGGAAGGGGGAAGGGGAAAGATGAAAATAACAATGTGTCCGAGGGAGGAGGGACTGGAAGCCAGATTTCTGAGGTTTTATTTTTATTTATTTTTCAGAGAGGGTCTTGCTCTGTCGCCTGGGCTGGAGTGCGGTGGTGTGATCACGGCCCACTGCAGCCTCCAAGTCCTGGGCTCAAGCGATCCTCCCGCCGCAGCCTTCCGAGTAGCTGGGGCTACAGGCGCACACCACCATGCCCGGCTAAATTTTATTTTTTATCGAGACGGAGACTCTACCAGAGAGTCCCCCCACATGTTGGCCAGGCTGGTCTCGAATTCCTGGCCTCAAGCGATCCTCCGGCCTCGGCCTCCCAAAGCACTGGGATTACAGGCATGAGCCACCGCGCCTGATTTCAGAGTTTTTGAAGCAGAAAGGGAAACGTTTCCATCTAGAGGGAGGGCGGACAGACAGGACGCCTGGGATTCTGGGGGAATAGGGTCTGGGCTCTGGATTTTTTAGGTCCTGGAGAGTGACACTCAAGAACCGAAGGGGACAGGGTGAAGGACTGAGGCCTGGGTTCCGAGTGGGGCGGCTAGGAAAGGAAAAGGCTAGGTGCTCCCTGACCCAGGTCTTCTCTACCCGTTGCTTTCCAGCCATGCCTCCGCCGCAGGGTGACGTGACCGCCTTGTTCCTGGGGCCTCCGGGCTTGGGGAAGTCCGCGCTGATCGCAGCGCTGTGCGACAAGGATGTGGAGACGCTCGAGGCCCCCGAGGGACGGCCGGACTCCGGGGTTCCCAGCCTAAGAGCTGCGGGCCCAGGCCTTTTTCTGGGCGAGCTGAGCTGCCCACCCGCAGCGCCGGGGCCCTGGGCGGCGGAAGCCAACGTGCTGGTACTGGTGCTGCCCGGACCCGAGGGGAACGGGGAACCGTTGGCTCCAGCCCTGGGAGAGGCAGCGCTGGCCGCCCTGGCCCGAGGGACCCCGCTACTGGCTGTGCGGAACCTCCGTCCTGGGGATTCACAGACTGCCGCCCAGGCCCGTGATCAGACAGCAGCTCTGCTGAACAGCGCGGGGTTAGGAGCTGCGGATCTGTTTGTGCTACCGGCGAACTGCGGCAGCAGCGACGGCTGCGAGGAGCTAGAGCGCCTCCGGGCGGCGCTGCAGAGCCAGGCAGAAGCGCTGCGGAGGTGAGTGCCGGCTTTCTGGCTGGGTCCGTTAGTCGAGACCCTAGGCACCTAGGTGCGACCATGGAGGTCCATGAGATCCCTCCCCCAGTGAGTTTGGGGCAAGGCTTAGCTCTATTATTATTATTTTTTTTTTTTTCCTGAGAGACAGGGTCTCGCTATGTTGGCTAGGTTGAATTTGAACTCCTGGCCTTAAGCAATACTCCCGCCTCAGCCTCCCAAAGTGCTAGGATTACAGGCGTGAACCACCACACCCGGCCTTTTTTTTTGAGACAGGTTCTCACTCTGTCGCCCAGGCTGGAGTGCAGTGCCGCGATCCTAGCTCACTGACGGCCTCCACCTCCTGGGCTCAAATGATCCTCCTGCCTCAGCCTCCAGAGTAGCTAATACTACAGGCTGCAAAACAGCATCTCACTGTTTCCCCAGGCTGGTCTTGAACTCTTGGCCTCAAGCCATGCCCCCACCCAGGCTTCCCAAAGCCCTAGAATTAAAAGGGAAAGGCTTAACACTTTATCTGCTGGGGCCCTGAGGCTCCTTTTTCCAGGCCCTGCCCCCACCAAGGTGATCCACCCTCCTTGGCCTCCCAAAGTGCTGGGATTACAGTCGTGAGACTCTCTGCCCAGCCCCCTGGAAGATTTTACCTGAAAACTCTAATCTTTGAGCCCTCCCCACCATCAGTTTTGTTTTCAAGCACCTAAAGCCACACCCGCAATGAGCTTTATTATTTTGGGGCATCCTCATCTACCTCCTTTCTCCAGCTCCCTCTTGTTTCTGTGCCCACTTGCTGGCTACCTCCTGGATTTGCTCTACCACCTGCCAGCCTCCTCATTTTAAAGACTTTAAAACGAGGCTCAGAGAGGGACAGTCCCTTGTCCCAGTACACTGTCATCTTTTTTCCTTAGCCTCACCTGCCCGGGAGTCACCTTAGCCACTCCCCCTTGGTAAGAACTGGTAGATGAGATTTCTCCCCTCACTGACCCTCCTTAGGCCCAGCCCCTGAAAAGAGTGCCCTTGGGGACCTTGTCTCAAATAGTGCTGGACTTGTGTTTAGGCCACAATACAGTTGCGATTCTTTGTTCTAGGCCCCACCCTCTGTGAGCTTTGTCCCACCCAGCACAGCCGACCCTTGGAAAAACCCCGCCCCCAAATACTGTATTCCATGGAAGTTTTAGCCCAATCCCCATTTTAGGCTGGGGTGGGAAACCTGACCTTATGTCCACCCGTCCAATAATCAAGACTCCATTATTGCTTGAAGCCCCACCCATATCATCACTGCCTCTCCCTATCTGGTTTCTATTTGCTGTGCCATCAGTCTGGCCCTTCCCTTTCCTACCCCTGCCCCATTCTGGGATCATTAGGAAAGCTCTGCCCTTGTCATCATAGCCCAGTCCATGTCACCCAGCCCCTCTTCTACCTTTGACCCTGTCCCTTCTTGTCCCCACAGGCTCCTGCCACCGGCGCAGGATGGCTTCGAGGTGTTGGGTGCAGCAGAGCTAGAGGCTGTGCGTGAGGCCTTTGAGACCGGCGGCCTTGAGGCTGCGCTGTCGTGGGTGCGCTCAGGCCTGGAGCGCCTGGGCAGCGCACGGCTAGACCTGGCCGTGGCTGGCAAGGCTGACGTGGGCCTTGTGGTGGACATGCTGCTTGGATTGGATCCTGGCGACCCAGGCGCTGCGCCTGCTTCGGTCCCCACAGCACCCACTCCCTTCCCAGCCCCAGAGCGCCCGAATGTGGTGCTCTGGACCGTGCCTCTGGGCCACACGGGCACTGCCACCACCGCGGCCGCCGCCTCTCACCCAACGCACTACGACGCCCTCATCCTCGTCACCCCTGGGGCCCCCACTGAGAAGGACTGGGCCCAGGTCCAGGCCTTGCTGCTACCAGATGCGCCTCTTGTCTGCGTGCGCACAGACGGCGAGGGCGAGGATCCGGAGTGTCTGGGAGAAGGCAAGATGGAGAATCCCAAGGGCGAGAGCTTAAAGAACGCAGGTGGAGGGGGATTGGAGAATGCACTCAGTAAGGGAAGGGAGAAATGTAGCGCTGGATCGCAGAAAGCAGGCAGCGGGGAAGGTCCTGGGAAAGCTGGCAGCGAGGGTTTGCAGCAGGTTGTCGGCATGAAGAAATCAGGTGGTGGCGACTCAGAGCGGGCCGCTGCGTTAAGCCCGGAGGACGAGACGTGGGAGGTGCTGGAGGAGGCGCCGCCGCCAGTGTTCCCCCTACGGCCTGGCGGACTCCCAGGGCTATGCGAATGGCTGCGGCGAGCGCTCCCCCCAGCCCAGGCAGGGGCACTGCTGCTGGCGTTGCCACCAGCATCTCCCAGCGCTGCCCGAACCAAGGCTGCGGCGTTGCGAGCCGGGGCGTGGAGGCCAGCTCTGCTGGCTAGTCTGGCGGCGGCGGCGGCACCACTCCCAGGGCTGGGCTGGGCATGCGACGTGGCACTTCTGCGGGGTCAGCTGGCGGAGTGGCGACGGGGCCTGGGGCTGGAACCCACGGCACTGGCTCGACGTGAGCGTGCCCTGGGCCTGGCTTCTGGAGAGCTGGCAGCGCGCGCTCATTTCCCAGGCCCGGTGACGCGCGCCGAGGTGGAAGCAAGACTGGGCGCCTGGGCGGGCGAGGGCACTGCTGGGGGCGCAGCACTGGGGGCTCTCTCCTTCCTGTGGCCTGCGGGTGGTGCAGCGGCGACAGGTGGCCTGGGCTACCGAGCGGCTCACGGCGTCCTGCTGCAGGCTCTCGATGAGATGCGGGCTGATGCTGAGGCTGTGCTGGCACCCCCTGAGCCTGCCCAGTGAGGAGTGGGAGGGGGCTTGGGAGTCCAGACTCTGACAGGGGATGCCTGGGCTTAATCCTGGGTGCTTGAAGGGGATGTGGACTCTTGACTTCCAGCTGGGATGTGTGACTTCTTATCACCTGGATTCAGAGAGTCTGGGGGACAGGAATCCTGATTTTTTTTTTTTTTTTTCTTTTTTTTGTGAGACGAAGTCTCTTGTTGCCCAGGCTGGAGTGCAATGGCGCGACCTCGGCTCACTGCAACCTCCGCCTCCCGGGTTCAAGCGATTCTCCTGCCTCAGCGTCCGGAGTAGCTGGGATTACAGGTGCCTGCCACCACACCTGGCTAATTTTTGTATTTTTAGTAGAGACGGGGTTTCACCATGTTGGCCAGGCTGGCCTCGAACTCCTGACCTCAGGCGATCGACCCGCTCCGGCCTCCCAAAGTGCTAGGATTACAGGCGTGAGCCACCGCCCCTGGCCAGGAATCCTGATACCTTTGGGAACCATGGTGAATGACATCTAGACCCTTCTGTCCTGAAGGGAGTTGGTGGCCCAGACTCTAGCAGGGACTATGTCTTTGTCTCCTAGGGAGTAGAAACTGGAGTTACTGGATGTTTAGTCCTCCAGGGAGGCTGGTAGAAGTCCTGTTTCCTAATTGGTGGGGAGGTGTCCATGACTGGGACCTGAACTCCAGTATAGGGGAGGGAGACCTGAGCGCCCCAGGGAGCTGGAACTCTTGGGCTTCAGAGCCTCAGAGGGAAACAGGGTCTACATTTCTCTGGGAGAAAAAGCCTGCACACAGGTCCCCAAGGAGCAGTGGGCTTTGAATCTTGATGGGGTGGCGGAGGCCCCTGGGGTCTGAGACTTCCGGGGTTCTAAGATGGCTGTGGACCTTGGTTCCTAAATATTGGGTAAGGGGAGGTCTGCATCTGGAGGAGGGATCGGGGGCTTGTGCGAGAAAGCTGGAGACTTCTTGATCTCTCCTGGGGAGTGGATGGGTTTCTATAATTGCCCTCCAAAAGCATGTAGGGAGGGTGGTCCCACAAAAATGAGGTGAGGTGGGTAAGAGGTCTGGGCATGGTGGGCTCTGGGAGTAGCCAGGGACCAGGAATGAGGTCTTTTGGGTGTGGAAGGGCAGTAAAGCATACCTCAGAGACAGCTCCTCCAAACCTTGTATTGGGATCCCGGCAACTGCCTCTGTGAGTGTGACTGGGAAGGGATATGACTGCCTTCATCTTCTAGGTGCTGAGCAATTCAGGTGATCTCTGGGGAGTCTGTTTCTCTGTCTCTTTTCTTTAGGAGTTTCTATCTTTTTTTGGCCTTTTTCTCCTGGTATTTAACCATAACCCTTTATGGCCTTGGTGTTTTGTGCACCTTCCTTTTCAGAAGAGCAGCTGTACTGCTGCACTGGTCCAAACACTTCTGTATGGACACCTCGGGTATCCCCAAGAGGCTCTGCTTTCTGATGTACATAGAGGGTGCTGCATTGAGCCAGGGGCCCACCAAATGGGTGGTCAGGCACTTGAGACCATGGGAATATGCCAGGAGTGAATGAAGCAAAGGCAGAAACCACAGTGCCTGGAATGTTCTAGGCTGCTAGCCACATGTGGGGGAAAAGTTGCAGGTTACAGAATTCTTCAGTGTCAAAAACAGAAAAGGAGGATCTGAGAATCCAAGCGATAGAATCCCTTTTGTCGTAGACAGAAAGAGCAAAGTCCAGAGAGGGCAGGCTTGAGGCCCAACAGCACACAGTAAGGCCCTGTGGGTCTGGCCCTTGCCTATTCTCATTCACTGCCCCTTCCCACTCCTGTCCAGCCTGATAGACTTTCCTTCTTTTTTTTTTTGAAATGGAGTCTCACCTTGTCACCCAGTCTGGAGTACAGGGATGTGATGACTGTAGCTGAGATGACAGGCATGTGCCACCACACCTGGCTAATTTTTGTAGTTTAGTAGAGAAGGGATTTCACCCTGTTGGTCAGGCTGGTCTCGAACTCCTGACCTCAGGTGATCCACCCGACTCAGACTCCCAAAGTGCTGGGATTACAGGTGTGAGCCATCATGGCCGCCTGACTCTTTCTGATGCCTGAGTGGCTACCTTGAGTCCTGCCTGGGGACCCATGCACCTGCTGTTCTCTTTCCTTCAAGGCTCTACTCACAACTTCCTGTTCTACTCTCAAACCTTCCTGTGACGGGCTCAGTCAGATCTCAGCTCACGTATCCCCTCAGAGAGGACTTCCCCTCCCTGACCACCCTATCTGAAGTAGCTCACATTCCCCCACTATTCATTTCGGCCAGTTGAGTTTCCTTGTAGCAATTATTACTGTCAAAAATGATCTTATTTATTTACCTGTTTATTGGCTTTTGACCCGTTGCCTGTCCTGTTCTCTGTTGTTTCCCCAGCATCTAGAACAATAGGTGCCTGACACAATAGGTGCTTCGTAAATATTTATTATTATTATTATTATTTTAGAGACAGGGTCTTGCTCTGTTGCCCCGGCTGGAATACAGTGGGATGATCATGGCTCACTGCCATCTCCAACTCCTGGGCTCAAACGATCCTCCCACCTCCGCCTACAGAGTAGCTGGGACTATAGGTACACAGCACCAAATTTTCTGTAGAGACGGGGGTCTTGCTTTGTAGCCCACACTAGTGTTGAACTCCTGGCCTCAAGTGATCCTCCTGCCTTGATGGGATTACAGGTGTGAGCCACCACACCCAGCCTAAATGTTTATTTCATTGGTCAGTGTCAGAACTAGGATTGGAATTTAGATTGTTAATCTCTTGCCACAAGATAGGAAAATGGAGCAAGATGAGGAGAAAAAAGCATTTAATGGGAGAGAACACCCTTGTCTGAGGTCAGGGACCTGGGAAGCAAGCACGACTTTGCCACTGTCACTGTGTGTTACTTGGACAGTGCCTTATTTTCCCATCTGTGAAATAAAAGAGCTGGATAAGAACCTTAGTTTTGAGATCCTGTCTCCCTTAAAAGCTGAAGACAAAGGTAACTGATCCAAGGGCAGACAAGGGATGGTACCATCATCTCCAGCTTGGACTCCCACTGCTGACAAAATTTGTCCCTTCAAAGTTGAGATAGCTACCATGGGGAAGAGCACTTAGTTCTATACTGAATGGCTCCAGGCATTTTCATGAAAGCTCTTTCAGCTTTGGGGAAGAATATTCATCCATATCTTTACCCCATCATATTAGTGTCTAAGCCCTGCAATCAGGCATGTCAGCCACGTGATGGAATGGGAGGGCTGCAGGGCAGCACTGTCCAGTAGAAACGAAATGCAAGCCACATATGTCATTTTAAGTTTTCTTTTTTTGAGATGGAGTTTCACTCCATCACCCAGGCTGGAGTGCAGTGGCACGATCTCGCCTCACTGCAACCTCCGCCTCCCAGGTTCATGTGATTCTCCTGCCTCAGCCTCCTGAGTAGCTGGGATTACAGGCATATGCCACCATGCCTGGCTAATTTTTGTATTTTTAGTAGAGATGGGGTTTCACCATGTTGATCAGGCTGGTCTGGAACTACTGACCTCAGGCCACCCGCCTTGGCCTCCCAAAGTGCTGGGATTACAGGCATGAGCCACCGCGCCCAGCTAATTTTTGTATTTTTATTTTATTTATTTATTTATTTTTTGGGAGACGGAGTCTTGCTCTGTCACCCAGGCTGGAGTGCAGTTGTGCGATCTTGGCTCACTGCAACCTCAGCCTCCCAAGTAGCTGGGATTACAGGCATGCACCATCATGCCCAGCTAATTTTTGTATTTTTAGTAGAGATGGGGTTTCACTGTGTTGGCCAGGCTGGTCTTGAACTCCTGACCTCAGGTGATCCACCGGCCTCAGCCTCCCAAAGTGCTGGGATTATAGGCGTGAGCCACTGCACCCGTCCTAATTTTTGTATTTTTAGTAGAGATGGGGTTTCACCATGTTGGCTAAGCTGGTCTGGAACTCATGGCCTCAAGTTATCTGCCCACCTCAGCCTCCCAAAGTGCTGAGTAAGCCAAGTTTTCTAATAGCCACATTAGACAAGTAAAAGGAAACAGGTTAAATTCATTTTAACATGTTTTACTTAACCCAATGTATCCAAAATAGCATTTCAACATGTCATCGGTTTTTTAGTTTTTTTTTTTTTTGAGATAGTGCTTCGCTTTGTTGCCCAGGCTGGAGTGCAGTGGCACAATCTCGGCTCACTGCAACCTCCACCTTCCAGGTTCAAGTGATTCTCCTGCCTCAGCCTCCCGAGTAGCTGGGATTACAGGCACCCGCCACCATGCCCACTAATTTTTGTATTTTTGGTTAGAGATGGGGTTTCGCCATGTTGGCCAGGCTAGTCTCAAACTCCTGACCTCAGGTGATCCACCCACCTCGGCCTCCCAAAGTGCTAGGATTACAGGCGTGAGGCACCGTGCCTGGCGTCATCGGTATTATTTAAATGAATTATGTTACGTTCTTTTGTGCTGTCTTCAAAATCTGTTATATATTTTACACTTACACCAAATCTCAATTACCATGGTACATTTTTATCTGAAATGCTTGACCTTTATTTTGATTTCATAAAATTCATAGTTGGAGAAGTAGATTCACATATCCAAGTTGTTCCAATTATATAATAGTTTTCCAAAAACTGAGATGGGTGTCCATTTTTTTTTTAAGTAAAGATGCAGGTCTGGTTATGTTGACCAAGTTGCTGGGTTGTTTTGTTTTGTTTTGAGACAGAGTCTCACTTTGTCACCCAGGCTGGAGTGCAGTGGCATGACCTCAGCTCACTGCAACCTCTGCCTCCCAGGTTCAACTGATTCTCTTGCATCATCCTCCTGAGTAGCTGGGACTACAGGTGTATGCCACCATGCCTGGCTAATTTTGGTATTTTTCTCAGAGACGGGGTTTCACCATGTTGGGCATGCTGGTCTTGAACTGCTGACCTCAGGTGATCCGCCCACCTCGGCCTCCCAAAGTGCTGGTATTACAGGCATGGGCCACCACACCTGGCCTCAGCTGTTCAATTAAAAGTAAATACAACTTAAAATTCTATGTTTCATTGGCAGTAGTGCAACATTAATACTGAGTAGCCACATGTGATTAGTGGCTATGGTATTGGACAGGGAAGGTACAGAATACTTCCATCAACATAGAAAATTCTATCAGTCTAGCTCTAGGGGCAGATAGTCCTTCCACTGACTTGGGCAAGTCACTCTACAAATGGCATCTACCTCACATGGTTATGGTGAGAATTCAGCGTATGTATGTACATGCAGGCACACAATATGCACACAGACACATAACATAGTACACCCTTTCCTGAAAAGCCTGACACATGGAGCTCAAACATGAGTGCCACCCACCCCTGGGCAGCACCAAGATGGCTCTAGTCTGGGTGCCTTTGTCTCACCCCCATGCCTTTGCTCGGAGTGTGCTCCTCATTTTTCTGCCACTTTGACCCTGTCTCTGATTTGGTCCTGTCTGACATCACTGCTATATGCTTTGCTCCTCTCAATTTCCTCTGCCCTCATGCCAGCAGGAGTCATGCCAGAGATCATATCTGAGAAAGCAAGACAATTTTGTGTGTGTGTCTGTGCCCATAGAGGAGTGCTGGTTGTGTTGATATAGTTGTAGATTGGTTGTGTTTACACAGTTGTATATATTGACACCCTTGAGTGTTATGACTTCTTTTGGGGGTGGTCGCCTTTTAAATCATAACTTTTAATGGGATTCCATTTTAGTCTTTGTGAAGACATAAGGTTGTTGGCAGGCATCTGTCCCTGGGAGCATCCAAGCAGAAAAGACTAAGACTCCCTTGTAGACAGATCACTGGCCGCCACTGAAGTGTGTCTGCATGGCACCACAGGGCTGGAAGACCCTTGAAGGCAGGAATTCAAGGAAATGTATGATGAATTTTGGCATTGCCATCAAAAGCAGAACAGGCATGGAAAACTTGGGTGAGTGGGCGAGACAACCTCCTCACCACAGCAGAGTTCCATCCATGCCTGGATAATGATGGAGGGATTTGTGTCCACTGCAGTGGGGAACCATGAAGGACACATCAAGGGTGTGGTTGGCCTGTGGTGCTCTTTGGAGGAATGAATAAAAATGAATAGAAATCCTATTGCGTGTCTGTTCTTTTGGAGTTTGAGGGAAAAGAAAGATCCTTGAGATTTTGACTGGGCTGGAAACCTAGACTCCAGCGTCTGGGGATAGGAGGGATGGTGGGGAATCCGCTGGGAAAAACTGGGCTGTGATCAAGAGAATTTATCAGTATCTGAGTTTTTCCACCCTGGAAGGAGTGCGGGCAGACTTACTGTTTAAACATTGGGAGCTTATGATGGTAAAGCGCCTTAGTTCTGGAGCCAGGTATACCCATTAATGACCCCAACTGGGCCAGCCTTTCTGTAGCCATGCCCTTGGATTGTTGCTCTCCTTCTAGGTTTGACTATGTGGTTTGCTTCAGCCACTAGAACAATAGCAAACATGATACAAGCAGAGGCTTGGAAAGTGCTTATGCGGCCGGGTGTGGTGGCTCACACCTATAATCCCAGCACTTTGGGAGGCCAGGGCGGGCAGATCACAAGGTCAGGAGATCGAGACCATCCTGGCTAACACAGTGAAACCCCGTCTCTCTACTAAAAATACAAAAAATTAGCTGGGTGTGGTGGTGCACACCTGTAGTCCCAGCTACTCGGGAGGCTGAGGCAGGAGAATAGCTTGAACCTGGGAGGCGGAGGTTGTAGTGAGCTGAGACTGCGCCGCTGCACTCCAGCCTGGGCAACAGAGCGAGACTTCTCTCAAAAAAAAAAAACCAAAGTGCTTATGCACTGGGACTTCCTCTCTTGCTCCCCTTGGGACCCCTACCACCACTGCCACATCCAAACCCCGGGCTGGCTGAGCATGGTGGCATATGGGTATAAACCCATAATCCCAGCACTTAGGGAGGCAAAGGTGGAAGAATTTCATGAGCCCAGGAGATCGAGACTAGCCTGAGCAACATGGCAAGACCCCCATCTCTACAAAAAAGCAACAACAACAGAATTAGCCAGATGTGGTGGTGTGCACCTGTGGTCCCAACTACATGGGGGAGGCTGAGGCAAGTGGATTGTTTGAGCCCAGGAAGTCGAGGCTGAAGTGAGCTATGATGGCTCCACTGCACTCCAGCCTGGGTGACAGAGCAAGACAATGTCTAAAAAAATAAAAAGAAGGAAAGAAAAGGAAAAGATCTGGGCTAACCTGCTGGGTAATAAAGGGAAAAGAGACACATGGCTCCGTCATCCTTGATCCCTGCCACCCATAGCCAACCAACCTCTGAAACAGAGCTCCCTAGCTGATAGGCAGCTGAACCCAGCTGAGACCAGCAAAAGAACTGCCCAGCTGATCCCAGACCAAGTTGCAACCCAGAGAATCATTAACTAAATAGGTGATTGTTCTAAACCACTAAATTTTGGAGTGGTTTGTTATGTAGCAAAAGCAACTAATACAGACTTGTTCTCTCTGTGTGTGATGTGGTCTCTTTCTCCCCAACAACATGACCCAATGATTAAAATCTTAAATTCTGCCACTTTTTAGCTGTGTGACTGCCAATGTGACAGCCTTCTGAGCCTCTGATGTCTCCTGAAAACAGAGATGTGAATAATAGTGCCTATGACATAGAGTTGTGAAAATAAAATGAAAAACAGCTTCTTAAGGGGTCATGGTGGTCATTTGTGCTATTAATGAAACATGTCCAGTTCTCTGCCTTCTGACCTTGGGGCAGGATCTCACTTCCTGGTGCCCATGTGGCTGGGTGGGCCATGTGACTAGCTCCATCCAGTGACTTGTATTATGTCACAGCATGTGATTACCCATGGTAGACTTCCTGTGACACAGAAATTGGCCACATTCAAGTTGGTGGATGCTTTATTTATTTATTTATTTAAGACAGGGTCTCACTCTGTCACCCAGGCTGGAGTGCAGTGGCAAGATCTCGGCTCACTGTGGCCTCCGCCTCCCGGACTCAAGCAATCCTCCCGCCTCAGCCTCCCAGGTGGCTGGGACTACAGGCGTGCACCACCACGCCTGGCTAATTTTTTTTTTTTTTTTTTTTTTTGTATTTTTGTAGAGACAGGGTTTTGCCATGTTGCCCAGACTGGTCTCAAATTCCTGGGCTCAAGTGGTCCTCCTGCCTCGGCTTCCCAAAGTGCTGGAATGACAGGCGTGAGCCATCGTGCCCTGCCGGTGGCTGATTTATGACTATGACGAGGAAAACACCCTCTGGATAGTGCTAGGGTGAAGGAAAAGTTTACCTTTTGTGAATGGGCAGTCATTCAGCAAATATCCACTCCTCTCCCTTCTACTGGAGGGGGAGTATATTTCCCTGCTCCACTGATGGGTTTCACCATATGATTTACTTAATGGAATTTTAGCAGACCTAACCTTAGCAAGGCCCTTAAGTGCACTTGGCTTTTGTGCTCCCGTGATGTGCCATGAGAACATTTGCGAGGGAGCTGCTGATCCCAGAAAATTGTGGAATCTCATGGAAGAGACCTGAATCCTCCCGAACTGGAGCCAAAGCAGCCATCCCACAAACCCTTAGAAGAATGCTTGTTGGTATAAGTCTCAGTTTTCATGTTGGGAGGCCGAGGTGGGTGGATCACTTGAACCCAGGAGTTTGAGACCAGCCTGGGTAACATGGGGAAACCCTGTCTCTACAAAAAAATTACAGGAAATAGCTGGGCATGGTGGCGCATGCCTGTAGTCCCAGCTACCAGGGAGGCTGAGCGGGGAGGATCGATTCAGCCCATGAGGTTGAGGCTGCAGTGAACTGTGATGGTTTCACTGCACTCCAGCCTGGGAGACAGAGTAAGACTCTGTCTCAAAAAAAAAAAAAAAAAAAAGAAGTCTCAGTTTTAGGATGATTTGTTACATAGCATTATTACAGTGTTAGTTAATACAACTTTGTTGTTTTAAACCACTGAGATCAGGGACTTGTTTTGTTACTGTAACATCTAGTCTGTCCCAATTGATGTCAGTGTTTAGCACCTGTCAACTAATGGCCACTCAGTAAGTGGCAGCTATTATGATGATTACTGTTTACTCAGGCATACATTGTCTTTAGAATCCACATGTGGTGCTAGGCATTGCACTAAGCGCTTTTTAAGTTGTCTTTCATTTGACTCTTACAACAACCTTATGAGGTTATAACTATTAATATCTACATTTTGCAGACATGAACACTGAGGCAAAAAGAGGAAGCAGTTAATTGAGAGAGATGATCATGGACTCTGAAGTATACCAGACTCGGGTTCAAATCAAGGTTCTGACCCTCCCTGGTTGTTTGACCCAAGGCAAATTTTGACACCCACAATCTATGCCTCAGTTTGTTCATCTGTAGAGTGGGGATAATAATATCAACCTCACAGTTGTTATGATCATGAAATGAGGTATAGCATGGAAAACACAGCACAGGGACCTGGCAAAGACTAATCCCTTCATAAAAGGCAGGGCCACCAGGCATGGTAGCTCACACCTGTCATCCCAGCACTTTGGGAGGCCAAGGATCGCTTGAGCCCAGGAGTTCAAGACCAGCCTGGGCAATGTGGTGAAACCCTGTTGCTACAAAAAAATTAAAAAATTAGCCAGTCATGGTGGTGCACGCTTGTAGTCCCAGCTACTAGGGAGGCCGAGGTGGGAGAATCACCGAGCATGGTGGTGCATGCCTGTAGTGCCAGCTACTAGGGAGGCTGACGTGAGAGAATCACCTGAGCCCGGGAGGTCGAGGCTGCAGTGAGCCTTGAATGCACCACTGCACTTCAGCCTGGGTGGCAGAGTGAGACCCTGTCTGAAAAAGAAAGAAAGAAAGAAGGCAGGGCCTTCCCTCTCTTCCTCAAAAGGAGGGGATTTGAAATGAGGATTGAGACCCCCTATTTCCTGCATTCTATCTCATCAAGATACATCACACCACAAGGACTCAGGCTTGCTCTATTAACTTCTTTATAGGCACACGGGGAGTTACAGGCTGAGGACAAATGGGGACTTCACACTACATTATCTTCCTCTGTTCAGATAGCTTTTCAGGGGGAGTGAGTGCACTCTATATGATGGAGGAAGAGGACATTGGTGCCTGTGGGTACTTCAGCACCAGGCTTGGTAAAGCACATACTCTCTGTAGCACAGCCCCGCATAGCAAATCTGGGTTTGAAAATACCTGAAAGGGAGATTTCAGACTGGAATCAGGGACCTCAGCCCCTTCTTCCTCATAATCCCAGAACACATCCTCACCCACTTCTCTGGAACCCTCTCCTCCCATCGAACCTAGAAGTTTGGACCTCTAGTTCTGTTTCCTTTTCCAGAGATTCAGGCACCACTCACCAGCCTGCACGTGTCCAGATAAGGAGACGCAGTGGTTTTCCTTTCCAGTACAGTGGGTCATGGGCCCCATGCATTTGTCCCTGAAGCTCGCAGTGCAGGCGGGGCACATCAGGCCATTCTCAGTAAGATTGGTCAAGGGAACTGAGGATGAGGATGAAGTGTAAGGTGAATAGGGATGTTTAAGCCGTTCCCCCAACCTCCCAACAACCCCGGGAAACACCAGGGTTGCTAATAGACACTGCATTTTACAGGTAAGGAAACAGGCTCAGAGCCAGCAAGTGGCTACAGCAAGGGTCAGTGGAGAGCCAGAGCACACACCACACACCACGGGCTTCTTACCAGACAAAAAGGCACTGTTGCAGCCGTCGCTCTGGCAGCAGAAGGAGCTGGTTACCATGTGGTCCTTGGGGCCCATGGTGGTGGATATAACGCCGGAGTAGCAGTCCTGGGACCTGATGCAGCCCTTGTAGGTGTGCACCAACTCCTTGCCCTCTGTGGGATGGGGACAGGCAGGGACAGTGCTGGCTGACCACTCCCTGGCTTCAACCCCTGCCTCAAGGTCTTGCCTAACCCTAGGCCTCCCCAACCCCACAACTTCCTGGGATGGTCTCTTTCTTTTTTTTCTTTCTTTTCTTATTTTTTTTAGACGGAGTTGCCCAGGCTGGAGTGCAATGGCGCGATCTTGGCTCACTGCAACCTCCACCTCCCGAGTAGCTGCGATCACAGGCGACCGCCACCATGCCCGGCTATTTTTTTGTATTTTTAATAGAGACGGGGTTTCACCATGTTGGCCAGGCTGGTCTCCAACTCCTGACCTCAGGTGATCCGCCCGCCTCGGCCTCCCAAAGTGCTGGGATTACAGGCGGGAGCCACTGCGCCAGCCCGGCCGGGGCGGTCTCTTTCAAGCCCCCTAGAGCCATGCGGCCAAATCTGTCTGGTGCATGGCCTGGAGTGCTTTCTTAGGTAGCCCTCCCTCCCGCTGCCATAGCCCCTAGTCGGCCTTTGGTGGTCTCTTCCAGCTCCCCATTGCCAACCTCAGCCTGCTGGATGTGGTCCCTTCCACCCCACCCCACCCCACCCACGGCCACCCCTCTCTCCCTGTCCTTCCGGGATTACTCTATTTCAGGCCGCCTATGGCCACCCCCATGCCTTCGTGAAATGGTCTCTTCCAGCCTCCTCAACTCCCCGCCAACCCCCGCCCACCCCGTAGTCTCTTCCAATGAACCCCGGTCCCAGCAACAGGCATCCTCCTCTCTCAGATCCTGCCATGGTCACTCCTCAGACCTCCCAACGAGGGTCTCTTGCTGCCCCTCTTGGCTATTTTCAGGTCTTGTTTAAGGTGGGTTCTTCCAGTCTCCCCGGCCTTCCCCCTCCCCACCATGTGGTGGTCTCTTCCTACCCAATTCACAGGTTCCCCCTTCACTCCATCGAGGGGTCCCCCAGCTCTCTCTCCTCCCTTCCCGAGGGTGCGTTTCCTCTTCTATGCCGGGATGGGGGTTCTCTTCAAGCCTTTCAGGTCCTTCCTTAACCCACCAACGCTGGCTGGGTGATTTTCGATCTCACTTTCCTTTCACAGCCTCTCCCGACCAGTGTTTTCTCCCTGCACCCAAAGTCGCCTTTATTCCCTCACCAGGCCTCATCATCTCTCCTCCTGTGATTGAAAGTCTCTTTCAGCTTTGTATAAACATCTCTGTCCCCCACTGGTCTCTTCCATTGCTCCCTTTCTCCTCCATCATTTTTCAGGTCTGGGGTGGTCTCTTTCATTTAACTCATGCCCATCTTCTCTCTTCCATTTTATTTTCTGAGACAGGTTTCCCTCTGTTGCCCAGGCTGGAGTGCAGCGGTGTGCACTTAGCTCGCTGCAGCCTCGATCTCCTAAGCTCAAGTGATCCTCCTGCCTCAGCCTCCCAAGTGGCTGGGACTACAGGCATGTGCCACCATGCGCAACTATTTTTTTTTTTTTTTTTCTGTAGAGATGGATCTCTTTTTGTTGTCCAGGCTGGTCTCAAACTCCTGGGCTCAAACGATCCTCCCACCTCAACCTCCCAAAGTGCTGGGATTACAGGCGTGAACCACCGTGCCCGGCCTCCCTTTCATTTTACTCATCCACATCTCCCCCTCCCTGTCTCTGCTTCTCCTCTTTACGATGATTTGCTCAGCCAGGCACGGTAGCTCATGCCTGTAATCCCAGCACTTTGGGAGGTCGAGGCGGGAGAATCACTTGAGGTCAGGAGTTAGAGACCAGCCTGGCCAACATGGCGAAACCCCGTCTCTACTAAAAAATACAAAAATTAGCCAGGTGTGGTGGCACGCACCTGTAATTCCAGCTACTCGGGAGGCTGAGGCAGGAGAATCGCTTGAACCTGGGAAGTGGAGGTTGCAGTGAGCAGAGATCGCGCCATTGCACTCCATCCTGGGTGACAGAGCGAGACTCTGTCTCAAAAAAGAAAAAAAATGATTTGCTCCATACTTCAAGGTTATCATCCATCTCCTGTTTGGGGTGATCCCTTTTCTGTCTCTTCCACCACTCCAACACTCCACCATCATCTCTCCTCCCTCGGTCAGGAATGACCTCTTCCCTGATTACACTTACACTTTCCCACCCCAGCCCAGCCTCTTCCTTCTCTATCCACTCCCCACCATTTCCACCTCCTGCCAGTTAGATTCTTCCCCTCTCACTATTTCTCTGCCCCCCACAGTGTCTTTCCTTACCCCTCTTCTGCCTAAGAAAGTCTATTAACTCTCACCCCTCCCACATTTTCCTTCTCTTTAGGACAGTGTCATTTTCAGAATTCTGTGACAATAATGATTTCTATCACACCACTTATTTCTGTTCCCTCCATCTCATGATGGTCTTTCCCTCTTTCCTGCTCTCCACTGATTTCTTCCCACGCTCCCGTCTTGAGAACCATGATGATCCCCCCTCAGCATGGTAGTCTCTTCCACCCTGAAGGTACACCCCACCTCCCCACCAGGTCCCAGGCCACATCCTCTTACTTGAAGTAGCCTTCCCGACCAGGAGCACACATGTGTCCTTGTCACTGCTGCAGGTCTTCATTTGGCCATGGCACCTGCTCCCCGCCGCCGTACATATTTCGCAGTGTAGTGGGCACCCTGCAGTGTAGACAGAGGGCGAGGCTGTAGTCATGGGTGGTGTGGTCTTCGGACCACGACTTTGACTTAGGACTTTTGTGTCCTGAGAGAGGAGGGACCAGCAGCTCCCTGGTTTTTCATGGGCGGGATGTTGACCACTGCCCAAGGAACTGTCCAGAGTTGGACGAAGAAGCAGTGGTGATGCCAGCAAAGCTGCTTCCAGGGGCGGGAAGCGACTCCACCATGAAGCCTGTTTGCCTAATTACATGGCTGGGGATTTTGGATGCCAGGGTCCGCTGAGAAAGCTCAGGGGCAGGGAGGGGTCGTGATGGAGGTTTCCATGGACTTTTGTGAAACTTCAGGTCCAGCTGGTTCTTGAATGTGGGATTCTCCTCCTTGAAGGTGCCATGTAGGTCTTGTAGACAGCAGGAGCTCAGGCAGGGGGCCCTGAGGCTAGGGTCTGCATCCCAGGTCAAGGAGGGAGAGTGAGGACCAGGAGGGCAGAGGACTTGAACTTCTTGGTTCTGAGAGAGGGGACAGCTAGGGGCCCAGAAACCTGGGTCCTGGGGAAAGTGAGGCTTACTTGGACTCCTGTGTGCAGGGGAGGAGGGGGCTGGGGCCTGAACTTCTTAGTCTAAGGAGAAAGGAAATCTCTCTACCTCTTTTAAAAAAATATATCATATGATATTAATGTATTTTTTTTGAGATGGAGTTTTGCTCTGTCACCCAGGCTGGGGAGTGCAGTGGCACGATCTTGGCTCACTGCAACCTTTGCCTCCCAGTTTCAAGCAATCCTCTCACCTCAGCCTCCCAAGTAGCTAGGATTACAGGCGCCCACCACCAAGCTCAGCTAACTTTTTTTGTATTTTTAGTAAAGACGGGGTTTCACCATGTTGGCCAGGCTGGTCTTGAACTCCTGACCTCAAGTGATCCACCTGCCTCGGCCTCTTAAAGTGCTGGGGTTACAGGCATGAGCCACCGCACCTGGCCTTCTCCCTCTTTTTTTTTTTTTAATTATATTTTTAAAGATTTCCCTTTCCAGCCATGCTCTCATCTGATTTCCTAGAATTGAGATGTGTTTGGGATCCTTCCTGGAGGATGGAGGATTCAGAGCCCACCAAGCCCCTCTCTCAGGGATCCAATCACAGGAGCTTTTCTTCTCTGGGACCCCCAGGCTTTCTCTTCCTTTACCCTTGGCCTCTTCCATGAATCTGAATTTCCAGAATGCCTCCCCGTTCACCTTGAGGACTTGCTGAAGGCTCTTTCTCTCTCTATATCTCTCTCTCTCTCAATCTGGGACCTCTCTCTTCCTGAGGTCCCAGAGACAGTTCAGGTCCCTTGTCACTTACCAAGACCCAGGAGGGTGCAGAGCAACACAAAGGCCAGCAGAAAGGTCTCTGGTCTCCTGGAGAGCCTCATGGTGTGTGTATCAGCAGTACCTGGTCCCCAGCTTTTATAGGAAGCTGAGGAGGGGTGGGTCTGGACCCACATTCACCCTACGGGGAGAAATAGCTGAGGTCAGAACCCAGGGCAGTCCTCTGTGGCCTCCGGGTTGGGAAGGCAGAACCAGAATCCAAAAGTGACCTGGGCATCTTGTGCCCAGCCCCCCACCTCCATGGAGACCCCAGGAGTCTGGGCTTCCATCCCCCTCTTCTATTAGAACCCAGAAAGTCACCACCCTGTTTTCTCACCTTCCCACGGCCCATTGTTGTTTGTTTGTTTGCTTGAAGACCAAGACGGAGTTGGGCCTCTTGATTCCCAGTGGCTGCAAGAACTGGGATTCCCTCTCCTTCTCTCTCTTCCCCTCTCCTCCCAAGGAAGCACCCAGTGTGGGTAGGGCCCCACCTTGGAGCACCCAGCATGTCCAGGCTGGTCCTGCGGGTGCGGGGTGCCTTGTCTCCCTTCCCCTCTCTTCATGTGCTCGGCTCACACTCCTTGTGTGTTTGGGCTGTCTCCAGCTGCGACCCCACCCAGGGCTGCACCCTTGGGTCTCCAAGGCACCGAATGAACAGAGGGATGTCTGTCGGCAGTCATAGGCGGGCGTAGTAAAAGACAGATGCCCACAGTCCACATATTGGGAAACTGAGGCTTTTGTGGAAGAACTCCAGGATAGGGGTGTGTGTGTGTGTGTGTGGTGGGGGTTGGGCACATGCTTTGTGTTATATTTAGGACGCAGAACCCTTCTCTTTTGGCCTCAGGCATAAGGCTGAAAGAGATCTGCTAATTTTTTTCGCGCGTGCGCGCGCGCGTATGTATGTATATGTGCGTGTGTGTGTGTGTGGCAAGGGGACAGAGAGAAGAGTGCAGCCGCCTGAGCCATTTGAAGAGATCCTGTTGCGTAGAATCCAGGTTCCCTACGAAACTACGAAAATTCACTCAGATTTGCTGTCCTAGCCCAGCGCAGTCGCTCACGCCTGTAGTTCCAGCACTTTGAGAGGCCGAGGCAGGTGGATCGCTTGAGCTGAGGAGTTCGAGACCAGTCTGGGCAACATGGCAAGACCCGCCGCCCTCTCACCCCATGTCTCCACAAAAAATACAAAAATTAGCCGAATGTGGTGGCGCGTGCGTGTAATCCCAGCTACTTAGGAGGCTGAAGTGGGAGGATCCCTTGGCCCCAGGAGACAGGGGTTGCAGAAAGCCGAGATCGTGCCACTGCACTCCATCCTGGGTGAGAGAGCAAGACCCTGTCTCAACAAAAAATTTTTAAAAAATAAAATAAATAATAATACAGCAAAAAGATTTGCTTTCTCGGCTTCAGTGTGGGCGGTAACTCCATCGTGCAATGAGAAAGGCGAATTTCTTCCAGACACCAATCCCGGAGGTCGCTTCTGTTGCTAGGCTCCCAGAAAGCAGGGTTCGGACGTCATTGGGAGGCGAGGCTAGAGCGGGGTTGTGTGTGGCGGAGGGAGGCGGGGCTGGAGGAAACGCTCGTTGCTAAGGAACGCAGCGCTCTTCCCGCTCTGGAGAGGCGCGACTGGGCTTGCGCAGTGTCGACGCCGGCGCCGGCGCGCCGGGGTTTGAAAGGCCCGAGCCTCGCGCGCTTGCGCACTTTAGCCAGCGCAGGGCGCACCCCGCCCCCTCCCACTCTCCCTGCCCCTCGGACCCCATACTCTACCTCATCCTTCTGGCCAGGCGAAGCCCACGACGTTGACATGCCGGAGATCCGCCTCCGCCATGTCGTGTCCTGCAGCAGCCAGGACTCGGTGAGGGACCTGCATGGGGGAGGTTGGAAGACGTGAGGGAATTAATGAGGATAGCTCTTAAAAGAGCTTTTGGGGTTCTCTTGGAAGTCTAAGGAGAGTCATGGGGGGATTTCCAGGAGGCTAAAAGTGAATTGTGGAGAGATGTTGAATTAGGGACGTTCCGGCGTCTAGGGAACTTCCGGAGAGAAAAGGAGGAATAGGGAAGCTTTCTTGGAGAGCCCATAGGTGAACTTCCACGGGAAAGTGTTGTAGGGGAAACTCCAGGCAGAGTGTCGGGGGATTAACGGGAGAGCTTAAATCTGGGGGTCGTAGAGGCCTTGGGAGGACTCAAAGGAATCATCTGAGAGCTGGAGGCCTAGCTGTCATCTCTGTGCCCTAATTCTCCTCTCCCACTGTTGTTTCCAGACTCACTGTGCAGAAAATCTTCTCAAGGCAGACACTTACCGAAAATGGCGGGCAGCCAAGGCAGGCGAGAAGACCATCTCTGTGGTCCTACAGGTGATCCTGCCACCCCACCTCCTCCTCACTAGGAGTCTGGAGTCCGGGGTTCCAGATTCTGCTCCTGAGCCAACTGGCAGTGGGTTTAGTCACTTTCTTTGCTGGGCCTCAGCTTCCTTACTCGGAAAATGGGCAGCATAATCCCTGTGCCCCTCAGCAGAGAGGAAAGGAGACCCAAGGATTAAGTCCAGGATGACCACAGGAATCAGTGTGTGGTCCTGGGCAGGTGGCATCTACTTTCTGGGTTCCAGTTTCCTCAGCTGGAACAAAATGAATCATTGCCACGTACTCTGCCTCCTGCAGCCAGTGGGCTCAGGGCTGGAAGGTGTCCAGGAAGGTCGTCTAAGCCAATCAACTCCACTTTAAAGAAGGGGAAACTGGCCGGATGCCGTGGCTCATGCCTGTAAACCCAGCACTTTCAGAGCCTGAGATGGGAGGATTGCTTGAGCTCAGGAGTTCCAGACCAGCCTGGGCAACATATCAAGACCCTGTCTCTATTTTTATTAAAATAAATAATTTTTTTTAAAGAATAATAGCCAGGTATGGTGGTTCACACCTGTAATCCCATCACTTTGGGAGGCCGAAGCTGGAGTATTGCATGAGCCCAGGAGTTTGAGACCAGCCTGGGCAATACAGTAAGATGTCATCTCTACCAAAATTTTATAGATTAGCTGAGTATGGTGGTGTGCACCTGCAATCCCAGCTACTGGCGAGTCTGAGGTGAGAGAATTGCTTGAGCCCAGGAGATGGAGGCTGCAGTGAGCTGAGATTGTGCCACTGCACTCCAGCCTGGGCACCAGAGTGAGACCCCCAAAATATAAAAAATAAAATAATAATAATGAGAGCTGGCATTATTCAACGTTACCTGTCAGTCGCTGCTCTACACACCTCACTCACATGGATTAGCTCATTGAGTCCTCATAAAAAACCCCAAGAGGCAGGCTCTGTTATCCCCACTTTTACAGATGAGGAAACTGAGGCCCAAAGAAGTTATACAATTTGCCTGACAGTCAATCTTTTATTTATCTGTTGAGACAGAGTCTCACTCTGTTCCCAGGCTGTAGTGCAGTGGCATGATCTTGGCTTGGCTCACTGCAGCCTCTACCTCCTGGGCTCAAGCGATCCTCCCACCTCAGCCTCCTGAGTAGCTGGGACTGCAGGTGTGCACCACCATGCCTGGCTAGTTTTTTTTGTATTTTTTTAGAGATGGGGTTTCCACCATGTTGCCAGGCTGGTCTCAAACTCCTGGGCTCAAGCGTTCCTCCTGCTTCAGCCTCCCAAAGTGCTCGGATGACAGGCATGAACCATTGTTCCTGGCCTGGGGGCTGCTTTATGACTATAAGGAGCAGAACACTCTGTGGATAGTGCTAGGGTGACGGAAAAATTAACCTTTTGTGAATGGGCAGTCATTCAGCAAATATCCACTCCTCTCCCTCCCACTGGAGGGGGAGTATATTTCCCTGCTCCATTGATGAGTTTGACCATATGATTTACTTAATGGAATTTCAGCACATCTAACTTCAGCAAGGGCCTTAAATGCACTTGGCTTTTGTGCTCCCATAATATGCCATGAGAACATTTGCCAGGTTACTGCTAATCCCAGAAAACTGTGGAATCTCATGGAAGAGACCTGAATCCTCCCAAACTGCAGCCAAAGCAGCCATCCCACAAATTCTTATAAGAATGCTTGTTGGTATAAGTCTCAGTTTTCATGTTGGGAGGTCGAGGTGGGTGAATCGCTTGAACCCAGGAGTTTGAGACCAGCCTGGGTAACATGGGGAAACCCTATCTCTACGAAAAATTATAAAAAATAGCTGGGCTTGGTGGCGTATGCCTGTAGTCCCAGCTACCAGGGAGGCTGAGCGGGGAGGATTGATTGAGCCCATAAGGTTGAAGCTGCAGTGAACTGTGATGGTTTCACTGCACTCCGGCCTGTGAGACAGAGTGAGACTGTATCTCAAAAAAAAAAAAAAAAAAAAAAAGAAAAGATCTCAGTTTTAGGATGATTTGTTACACAGCATTATTACAGTGTAAGTTAATACAACTTGGTTGTTTTAAACCACTGAGATTAGGGACTCCTTTGTTACTGTAACATCATCTGGTCCACCCCAATTGATGTCAGTGTTTAGTGCCTGTCAACTAATGGCCTCCACTTCCCAGGTTCAAATGATTCTCATGCCTCAGCCTTCTGAGTAGTTGGAATTTACATGCCTGGCTAATTTTTGTATTTATAATAGAGACCGAGTTTTGCCATGTTGGCTAGGCTGGTCTTGAACTCCTGACCTCAGGAGTTCAAGGCAAATGAGCACCAAATGCTAATTTAAGTGATCCACCCACCTTGGCCTCCCAAAATGTTGGGATTACAGGCATGAGCCACTGCACCTGACCTCAGTCTTTTAAACTGTGATAGATACAGATTGCTGACAGTTTTAGTCTTGAGATCTAGATTCAAGCCCCCAGCTCTTCCTCTTAATCGGTGACCTCAAGAAAATTGTTTCATTTCTCTAACCTGTTTTCTCATGTGTCCATTGGGAATAATGACATCCAAGCCCGGAGTTGTGAAAATTCGGTGACATAATGTCTGCACAAGTGCTCTGTCAACATGTAGGTGTTTGTGTAGAGGGAGGGATTTGTGTTTTTATTACTTAGTGGGTGATGATTCCACTGGGCTCTCTTATGATCAAGTGACTCCAGGGAAATCACATTTCATTCTGTTACCCCAGTTGCTGTGGAAACAGAGTGACTGGAGGCAGAAGAGACAGAACCTGTCTCTGGCCTGGGAGAGACTGAGGGAGTATTGCAGCGGTCACCAACATGGTAAACCCCAGAGGGAGCAGCTTGGGGAGGTGATGTGTTTCAGTTGGGATGTCCAGGTTTGATGTGACTTTGGGACATTCTAGGGGTGGCATCCAGGAGGCAGTTGGGGATCACATGTGGAGCTGAAGACAGAATGTGGGGAAGTTGTCAGTGCAGAGAAAGAACCTATAGACTCGGGAGTAGATGATGGATTTATTTGTTCATTCACTCATTTATTTAGTCAAGTATTTATTAAGTGCCTTCTGTAGGCCAAGCACTGTTTTAATACAGCAGTACACAGCAGAAGACAAAAAATATTCACTCTCAGTGGGGTGCAGTAAGCTCACGCCTATAATCCCAGCACTTTGGGAGGCCAAGGCCTGGCAGTTCGAGACCAGCTTGGGCAACACAGGGAAACTTCATCTCTACTAAAAATACAAAAATCTGCCAAGCGTGGTGGCCTATGCCTGTGGTCCCAGCTACTCCAGAGGCTGAGGCGGGAGGATCACTTGAGCCTGGAAGATCAAGGCTGTAGTGAGCTATGATCGCACCATTGCGCTCCAGCCTGGGCAACAGAATGAGATGCTGTCTCTTAAAAACAAAAGAAATTCAGTCTTGTGGAGCTTTCACGTTAGTAGGGAAAGACTGACAAATGAGTCAGTGAAACATATGTTGGATGATGAGTGCTATGGAGGAACTTAATGAAGGGGAATGAGAGTGCCCCAGCTGGAGCTGGAGCAGTGGCAAGGATTTTTATTTAAATAGTAGGGTCCGGGAAGGCCTCCCTGAAAAGGGGACATTTGAGCAACATGAGCTATGTATGTATCTAGGGAAAAGACTCTGAAGCTGGCTTGTGACAGCAAGGAGGCCAGTATGGCTGGGGTGGAGTCAGCCAGGGGGAGAGAGGTAGGAGATGAGGTAACAGGGTGGGACTGGGAACCCCTAAAAAACCACTTAAGGCCTGGAAAGCCATTGAAAGGACTTGAGCTTTTACTCCAGGTGTGAGATAGGAGCCACCGGAGGGCTCCGAGCAGAGGAGGGACAGGATCTGCCTTAGGCCTTCACAGGATCCTGCTGGCTCCATGTTGACAATCAACTGCAGGGGCCACACACAGGAGTGGGAGATCAGCATTGCAGCAGTTGTTTTGTTAACTTACTCCACGTCAGAGACCCTTTGGAATGACTGATTGCATCTGGCAATGACTAATTTGTGGGGTTACTCTGGATTCATCAAATGCTAATTTTGATTCTTTTGACGTAACTGATAAAGGCAGACATTTCTGGCCACCAAGGCAGTAGGCTTATCTCTGGGTTGTTATGTTATGTTTTGAGACAGGGTCTCACTCTCTTGCCCAGGTTGGAGTGCAGTTGCAAAGTCATGGCTCACTGTAGCCTCAACCTCCTGGGCTCAGGCAATCCTCCCACCTCAGCCTCCCAGATAGCTGGGACTACAGGCGTGTGCCGCCAGGCCCAGCTAATTTTAAAAATTTTTCGTAGAGATGGGGTCTCACTATGTTGCCCAGCCTGGTCTCGGACTCCTGAGCTCAAGCAGTCCTCCTGTCTTGGCCTCCCAAAGTGCTGGCATTACAGGCATGAGCCACTGCACCTGGCCACATCTGTGGGTTCTTCTACTACCCTGCATTTTCTCCTCTAATTATTGTTATGCAAAATCTCGATCTTACCACATGGGGCTTAGCCATCTGCTTATGACAGCCCCACACACCTGGTTGTTTGCAGTAGCCACAGCAGGCTCTGTTGTCTGTTCATCACCTGCTCCCAGAGGGAAATGCCAACCTCTTTGCTAACTACTCCTGGGCTGGAGGGGTGGCTTGGACAAGACCCAGATATAACTCTGGTGTGTCACTGGAGGTGTGTCATTTTTAGAAGAAATGTTCATCAGCAATAGGGCCTATGGTCATTTTTGATTGTTATTGGTTTTCTAATCACTCAGTTCGCCACTGTGGTGTCTTAAATTTGTTTTTACTGTTTTTTGATGTGTAACATACATAGAGTGAAGTGAAGGTGTAAGTAAGAGTACAGCTCAGTGACTCTTTGCAAACTGCAGCCCTGTGTACTCCACACCCAGATGCAGCACAGAACATGCCTAGCCCCCAGCAGTTCCCTCAGGTTCTTTCTGTCAGTACCCCTGCAAGGGTAACCACTGTCCTGATTGTTAACAGCATAGATTCATTTTGCCTGATTTTGAATTGCATATAAAATGGAATCGTGTGGTATAAACTTTTCTTATCTGGCTTCCCTTGTTATGTTTGTTCATTTCATCTATGTCGTTCAGTGTAGCTGTAGATGATTTATTGTGATTTTTTTTTTTTCTGAGACGGAGTTTCGTCTTGTTGTTCTGGCTGGAGTGCAATGGCACAATCTCAGCTCACTGCAACCTCCGCCTCCCAGGTTCAAGTGGTTCTCTTGCCTCAGCCTCCCAAGTAGCTGGGATTACAGGCATGCACCACCACGCCTGGCTAATTTTTTGTATTTAGTAGAGACAGGTTTTCACCATGTTGGTCAGGCTGGTCTCGAACTCCTGACCTCTAGTGATCCACCTGCCTTGGCCTCCCAAAGTGCTGGGATTACAGGCATGAGCCACTGTGCTCGACTCCTATTGTCTTTTTTTTTTTTTTTTGAGACAGGGTCTCACTATGTTGCCCAGGCTGGAGTGCAGTGGCACCATCTCAGCTCACTACAGGCTCGACCTCCCGGGCTCAAGCGATCCTCCCACCTCAGCCTCCTCAGTAGTTGGGACTACAGGCATGTGCCAGTTCACCAGTCTAATTTTTGTATTTTTTTTGCAGAGATGGGGGTCTCACTGTGTTGTCTAGGCTGGTCTTGAACTCCTGGACTCAAGCATTCCTCCTGCCTCAGCTTCTTAAATCCTTGGGATTACAGACATGAGCCACTGCACCTGGCCTATTGTCATTTCTGTATAGTATTCTGTTGTATTGAGATAACTATTATGGTTTTATTTATTTATATTTGATTTTCTTTTTTAAACGGAGTCTCACTATGTTGCCAAGGCTGGTCTTGAACTGTTGATCTCAGGTGATCCCCCAACTTGGCCTCCTGAGTAGCTAGGACTATAGGTGCACACCACCACACCCAACTAATTTTTTTTTTTTTTTTTAAGCTTTTTGGAGGCAGCTTCCTGAGTAGCTGGGATTACAGGGATTACAGACAGAGCCACAAAGACCTGGCCATTGGGGTTTTATTATATTTGCTTTCTGAATGGGTATTATATGCATATAGTGCAAAATTCAAAAGGTGCAAAAGGGTATACACTAAAAAGAAAATCTCCCCTCACCCTTTCCATCCCTCCCTGCTCCCTCCCCAACTCCTGCTCCCTCCCCAACTCCTGCTCCCTCATTCTTCTCTCCTGATGCAACCACCATTAGCAGTTTTTTTGGGTGGTCTTCCTGGGTCATTCTGTACACATACAAGCATATATACCTACCGCCTCCATCCCTTTTTAAAAAATTCATAGTATATACACTGTTCCCTTGTGTGTTTTTTTTCAAGTAACAGTGTATTTTGGAGATGCACACTGCATGAAGTTCTACCTTATTTATTTATTTATTTATTTACTTACTTACTTACTTACTTACTTTGAGACAGAATCTCGCTCTGTCACTCAGGCTGGAGTGTAGTAGTGCGATCGTGGCTCACTGCAACCTCCCCCTCCCAGCTTCAAGTGATTCTCCTGCCTCAATCTCCCTAGTAGCTGGGATTACGGGCACATGCCACCAGGCTTGGCTAATTTTTGTATTTTTGGTAGAGATGGGGTTTCCCCATGTTAGCCAGGCTGGTCTTGAATTCCTGACCTCAAGTGATCCTCCTGCCTTGGCCTCCCAAAGTGTTGGGATTACAGGCGTCAGCCACGCCGTGCGCAGCCTACCTTATTCTTTTAAATGATGCATACAATTGCATTTCATGGCCGGGCGCGGTGGCTCACGCCTGTAATCCCAGCACTTTGGGAGGCTGAGGCAGGTGGATCACGAGGTCAGGTGTTCAAGACCAGCCTGGCCAAGATGGTGGAACCCTGTCTCTACTAAAAATATAAAAATTAGCCAGGTGCAGTGGTGGGCACCTGTAATCCCAGCTACCTGGGAGGCTGAGGCAGGAGAATTGTTTGAACCCGGGAGGCGGAGGTTGCAGAGAGCCGAGATCGTGCCACTGTACTCTAGCCTGGGTGACAGAGCAAGACTCTGTCTCAAAAAAAAAAAAAAAAGAAAAGATTGCATTTCATGGATGTGAAACAGTTTTTTAGCAATATATCTCAGGAACTTTGCCTTCCTGTGCCATGTTTGTTTCAGGAACAGTTCATATCAGAACTGTGTCTCCCTGAGAAAGCTGCATGCACACGAACCCAGGCCATCGGTGATAGTCATCTTGTGCTCTTATCCTCACAGCTGATACATACTGAGCACTCATCTCTTATTTTGAGAAAAATTCACATAAAATTTACTGTTTTAACCATTTAAAGTGCACATTTCAGCCAGATGCGGTAGCTCACACCTGTAATCCCAGCACTTTGGGAGGCCAAGGCGGGTGGATTGCTTGAGGTCAGGGATTCGAGACTAGGCTGGCCAACATGGTGAAACCCCATCTCTACTGAAAATACAAAAATTAGCCGGGGGTGGTGGTGCGTGCCTGTAGTCCCAGCTATTCGGGAGGCTGAGGCAAGAGAATCACTTGAACTGGAAGGCAGAGTTTGCAGTGAGCTGAGATTGCACCACTGCACTCCAGCCTGGGCAACAGAGTGAGACTCCGTCTCAACAAAAAACATAAATAAATAAATAAATAAAGTGCACATTTCAGGGTTTTTTTTTTTTTTTTAGCATATTGACAATGTTCTTCAACCATCTCCATTCTCTAATTCAGAATATTTTCATCACTCCAAAAAGAAACCACATAACCATTAAACAGTCACTTCTTATTCTCTCCCCAATGTTGCCCTTGGCAACCACTGATCTACTTTCTGCTTCTCTGGATTTGCGTATTCTGGACTTATAAATGTATACGTGGTCTTTTACACTTAACCTTGTTACACTTTGCATAATGTTTCTGAGGTTCATCCATGTTGTAGCATATATCACAACTTCAGTTTTTTAAATAACTGGATGATATTCCATAAATATACTGTACAATGTTTATCTATTCATCAACTGATGGACATTTATTGGGTTGTTACCATGTATATATAAACCTTTTTTTTTTTTTTTTTTTGAGATTGAGTCTTGCTCTGTTGCCCAGGCTGGAATGCAGTGGTGCAATCTCGGCTCACTGCAACCTCTGCTTCCCAGGTTCAAGTGATTCTCGTGCCTCAGTCTCCTGAGTAGCTGGGACTACAGGCGCATGCCACCATGCCCAACTAATTTTTCTGTTTTTAGTAGAGACGGGGTTTCGCCGTGTTGCCCAGGTTGGTCTTGAACTCCTGGGCTCAAGAAATCCACCTGCCTTGGCCTCCCAAAGTGTTGGGATTACAGGCGTGAGCCACCACCCCAGCCTCCATGTATAAACATTTTTATCAGATTCTTAAAAAGTATTTATTTACTTTTTTTTTTTTTTTTTTTGAGACAGAGTCTTGCTCTGCCACCCAGGCTGGAATGCAGTGGCATGATCTTGGCTCACTGCAACCTCCGCCTCCTGGGTTCAAGCAATTCTCTGCCTCAGCCTCCCGAGTAGCTGGGATTACAGGCGCCTGCCACCATGCCTGGTTAATTTTTGTATTTTTACTAGAGACGGGGTTTCACCCTCTTGGCCAGCCTGGTCTTGAACTCTCCTGACCTTGTGATCTGCCAACCTCTGCCTCCCGAAGTGCTAGGATTACAGGCCTGAGCCACCGTGCCTGGCCACTTTTTTTTTTTTTTAGATGGAGTCTCACTCTGTCACCCAGGCTGGAGTGCAGTGGCATGATTTCGGTTCGCTGCAACTTCTGCCTCCCAGGTTCAAGTGATTCTCTGGCCTCAGCCTCCTGTGTAGCTGGGATTACAGGTGCACGCCACCAAGTCTGGCTAATTTTTATATTTTTAGTAGAGACAGGGTTTCACCATATTGGTCATGCTGGTCTTGAACTCCTGGCCTCAAGTGATCTGCCTGCCTTGGCCTCCCAAAGTGCTGAGATTACAGGTGTGAGCCACTGTGCCCAGCCTGTTGTTTTCTCTCTTGAGACAGAGTCTCACTTTATCACCCAGGCTGGGGTGTAGTGGCTCGTCTCAACTCACTGCAACCTCCACCTCCCAGGTTCAAGTAATTCTTGTGCCTTAGCCTCCTGAGTAGCTGGGATTATTGAGGTGCGTGTCACCACACCCAGCTAACTTTTTTTATTTTTGGTAGAGACAGGGTTTTGCTATGTTGGCCAGGCTGGTCTCGAACTCCTGGCCTCAAGTGATTCTCCCGCCTCCACCTCCCACGGTGCTGGGATTACAGGCGTGAGCCAGTGCTCCTAGCCAGGACTTTTTTTATATACAAAGAAGAAATGTCAGGGAGTGCCTGTTTAAAGTAGAAATAGTTATATATGCAGTAGGAATTGTTCATTTAAAATACAAGCATCTCCATCCTACCACATTTAGGAGCTATGCTGAATATTGTGGGAGAGGTAAAGATGTTGAGTTTGACTCAGGGATGGAAAGAAAGGAGTTGAGAACAGTGGTGGTATTGGACAGTGCTTTGCAGTCAGGCAGTTGCGTCCGAAGTACTCTGCTAGTTATTAGCTTGTGTGCCATGTAAGCTATTGATTAAACCTGTCTGAGCCTCAGTTTCCCCATCTGTGAAACTGGAGTCGTAACAGACCCTTCTATTTAAAGTGGTTTTGAGGCTTCAGTGATGCCCGGCCCATGCTTAGCCAAGTGTGGTGGACAGAACAGTGGTGCTCAAAAGATGTTCATGTCCTCATCCCCAGAACCTGGAAATATTTTAATGGCCAAAGGAGCTCTGTGGGTTTGATTAAATTAAGGATCTTGAGATGGGGAGAGTGCCCTGGATTATCTGGTGGGCCTCACGTAACCCCCAGAGGCCTTATAAGGGAAAGAGGGAGGCAAGAGAGCTGGAACCAGAGCTGTGAAGATGCAAGCAGAGCCTGGAGTGATGCCAGCGCTTTCAGCAGCTTTGAAGACGAGGAAGGGACTGTGAGCCAAGGAAGGCAGGTGGCCTCGAGAAGCCGAAGATGCAAGGAGACACGTTCTCCTCTAGTGCTCCCGGAAGGAAGGAATGCAGCCCTGCCGCATCTAGATTTTAGCCCTGTAAGGCCGAGTTTCAGACTTTTGACCTCCAGATCTGTAAGATATTAAATTTGTGTGTTTTTTTTTTGTTTTTTTGAGACGGAGTTTCGCTCTTCTTGCCCAGGCTGGAGTGCAGTGGTGTGATCTCGGCTCACTGCAACCTCCGCCCCCCCGGTTTAAGCAATTCTCCTGCCTCAGCCTCCTGAGTAGCTGGGATTACAGGCATGCGCCACCACGCCTGGCTAATTTTGTATTTTTAGTAGAGACGGAGTTTCTGCATTTTGGTCAGGCTGGTCTCGAACTCCCTACCTCAGGTGATCCGCCTGCCTCAGTCTCCCAAAGTTCTGGGATTACAGGCGTGAGCCACTGCGCCTGGCCAAATTTGTGTTTTTAGCCACAAAGTTTGTGCTAATTTGTACAACAGTAACAGGAAACTCATACACCAAGCACCTGGCACATGGTGAGAATCCGAAAATGTTAGCCATGATGATCCTCTTGTGACAGATGGGACACCCAGGCAAGCAGCAGAGAAGGGGCTCAACAGGGCCACTTGGTAAGGGAGGACAGAGCCAGAGTTACTGCTTAATAACTCTTGAGTAGTAACTTCTGCAAACGGTTGCTGGGCGCCTGTTCTGCGTCTGTCTGTACATCCATTGGGAATGCAGTAGAGGCCTGCTGTGTTAATGATATTCGCAGCTGACATTTATGTAGTGTTTGCTCGGTGCCAGGCAGTATTCCAGGCACTTGGTATGTTATTTCTCATTCTTGGTATGGATTTGAATGTTCTCAACAACTTTATGAGATAGACGTTGTTATTGTCCCCATTTCATAGGTTCGAAAACTGAGGCACAAGGGGTGAAATGAAACCATTTGCTCCAGGATCACACAGCAGGAAATCAGCAGAGCTGGGAAGGACCAGACACTGTTCTTGGCCTTGGGGACACAGTAGGGAACAACTCAGACGATACTGTCCTTGCTCTTGTGGAGCTTAAAAGTCTGGCGGGAGAGACAGATGCTAGACAAATACAAACAAAAAAGATGTAACTGTGTAACACCAGGCAGTAATCATGAAGAAAAGTAAAGTCGGGTAGGGAGATAGAGAGTGGCACCAGGTAGGGGGCGAGGTAGGTTACTTATGGTCTGAAGTGACATCTGAGTGGGCACCTGAAGCACAGAAGGCAAACTTTTACCCAGCTATGGATATGTTTGAGGGAAGAGTGGTCTAGGCAGGGGGATTGGCAGGTGCAGAGGCCCTGAGGTGGGAAGGAGCCAGACTGTTCTTGGCACAGAAGGGAGGCCGTTGTGGCTGGTGGAAAGTCACCAAGCCTGGCCTGGGGAGCAGTCAGACTGGGACTTCTTGTTATTGTTGTTTTTGTTGTTGTTGTTGTTTTTGAGACAGAGTCTCACTCCATCGCCCAAGCTGGAGTGCAGTGGCACAATCTCGGCTCACTGCAACCTCTGCCTCCCGGGTTCAAGTGATTCTCCTGCCTCAGCCTCCCCAGTATCTGGGATTACAGGCGCTCACCACCATGCCCGGCTAATTTTAATTTTCATATTTTTAGTAGAGACAGGGTTTCACCATGTTGGCCAGGCTAGTCTCAAACTCCTGACCTCAAGCGATTCACCTGTCTCAGCCTCCCAAAGTGCTGGTATTACGGGTGTGAGCCACCACACCTGGCCCAGACTGGGACATCTCATGAGCCCAGGCAGCACTGTACACTGCCCAGGGCCCAGGGCTGGGAATGGCGGTGGAGGCAGGGGAGTCAGCAGGAGGTCTGCCGGCCTCAGCCTTAGGCAGGCCCTTCCTCCAGCACCATCTTCCTCCTCTAGCACGTCAGTGGTGTGATGGAGGAGCACGCGTGGACTGTTGCCAGCCTGCCTGGGTTCCGGTCCGGCTTTGCCACCCACCAGCTGTGAAGTTACATAACCACTTCCTGCCTCCGTTTGCTCATGTGTAAGATGGAGATAATTATAGCAACTGCCTGGCAGAGCCATTGCAGGAGAGTAGATACATGTATTATTAGCAGGAGTCTGGCACACCAGGAGCGCTCAGTGCACTCGGATGTTGGCCGCAGTTGTGGTTATAGTTGTTAATTCTGTGTCATCTCAACTTCCTTCAGAGGGAGGGTAAGTTTTTTTTTGAAGACAAGGTCTCATCACTCTGTCGCCCAGAGTACAGTGATGCGAACATGACTCACTGCAGCCTTGACCTCCCCAGGCTCACGCGATCCTCCTTCCTCAGCCTCCTGAGTAGCTGGGACCACAGGTATGTGCCACCATGCCTTGCTAATTTTTGTAATTTTTGTAGAGACAAGGTCTGGCTATGTTGCCCAGGCTGGTCTTGAACTCCCAGCCTCAAGTGATCCTCCCACCCCAGCCTCCCAAAGTGCTGGTTATAGAGACGTGAGCCACTGCGCCTGGCCAAGGAGGGAGGGTTGTTAATGACCATCTTCCCTTTTTGCATGTGAGGAAACTGCCTCACAGAGACGTTGAATACGTCACCCAAGGTTGTGCAGGTTGGAAATGGCATTGCTGTATTTGAGCCCAGGCCTACCTCACCCCAAGTCCAGGCTCCCTCCTTCCATACAGTGGTGTTCCTGTTGATAGCAGTGTGCAGGTGATGTCTAGATGATCTGACAGGGAGGCAACAGAGCAGATTGGAGCATCTGTCATCACCAGGGGTGGGAGAGGGCAGTGTAGGGTGGACTAGGTACCTTGGTTTTTTTTTTTTTTTTTTTTGTGACAGAGTCTCGCTCTGTCACCCAGGCTGGAGTGCAGTGGCATGATCTCTGCTTACTGAAACCTCTGCCTCCTAGGTTCAAGAGATTCTTGTGCCTCAGCCTCTTGAAGAGCTGGGACTACAGGCATGTGTCACCATGCCCGGCTATATTTTATATTTTTAGTAGAGAAGGGGTTTTGCCATGTTGGCCAGGCTGGCCTCAAGTGGTCCACTGCCTTGGCCTCGCAGAGTGCTGGATTTACAGGCTTGAGCCACTGCACCTGGCCCAGGTACCTTTGAGAGTTGTAATAATGCGTCATTCTAGGATCCTAATAAAAGAGCCCCAAACTGGAAGGCAGGACACTTGCCTCAACCTAACTGCCTCCCGTGCCCGCATGGCCCGCACGGCTTTCTGCATCTTCATCTGTCAGACAGGAATGGCAGATCCTTTGAGATGAGCCCTCCTATAGGTAGCTCTTTTCTTCTTTCAACAAATAGTTGTCTAGCACTGACTAATAATACCTCCTGACTGACAGCAGATAATTGCCTACTCTTCGCCATGCCCTGTGGCCATTATTTATGTGCATGATCCTAGATATGGTGGTCATTCCCATTTTACAGATGAGAAAACTGAGGCTCCAAAAGGTTAACTGGTATGGTCATACAGCTAGTGTGCAGCACAGCTGGGATTCAAACCCAGGAACCAGCGGTGAGCAAGATCGGACAAAGCCCCTGCCCTCAGGGAGGTTTCCTGGAGTCCTCTGCGATTGTGGGTGAGGGGTGACATGTGCTGTTTGTCTGCATGATGATTTGAATAAAGTTATAACTCTGGCAAGTGCTTATCAAGGAGAGCTCTATGGCAGTGTGTGATAAGCTGACCTGGTGGAGTCTGGAGAGGTCAGGGAAGCAGGTATGTGTGAGGTGGGCGCGTATGCATTCATTCAGTGACTATTTTGTGAGTTTCTGCTCCATGCCATACCCTGTGCTGCATGGAGGGGACACATGGCACCATTCAACCCTGGTGTGCCCCCTCACAGAATTGACATTACAGGGACATGGTGATCCAAAGGAGATTCATCCTGAGGTCCCACAGTGAGCCCAGAGGCAGAGCAGGCACTGACAGTGGCCTCTCTCTCTGCCCACAGTTGGAGAAGGAGGAGCAGATACACAGTGTGGACATTGGGAATGATGGCTCAGCTTTCGTGGAGGTGCTGGTGGGCAGTTCAGCTGGAGGCGCTGGGGAGCAAGACTATGAGGTAAGCAGGGCTATGAGATGGATCCCATACTGACCTCTGCCCCTCATGCTCGCATCACCGTCTCCCCCAGGGGCTGGGGCTGGGAAGACATGGGGCAGATGTGAGTCACACCTGATTGCTGCCCTCTGGAGGATCACCCAGTGTACGGAGGAGACAGAAGGCAGACACAGGGCGGTAAACTGCACATCAGGGAAGAGAGCAAGTTTGGATCATGGCTTAAAATGACACAAATGTATTATTCGACTGTTCTGGAGGTCAGAAGTCTGAAATCACTCTCACTGGGCTAAAATCTAGGTGTAGGCAGAGCCCTGTTCCTTCTGGAGGCTCTAGGGGAGAATCCATTTCCTTGCCTATTTCAGCTTCTAGAGTCCATCTGCCCTCCTCAGCTTGTGACCCTTCCTTCATCAAAGCCAGCACTCCTGTCACTCTAACGCCTGCTTCCACTTCCATTGTTACTTCTCCAACTCTGACTCTCTTGCCTTCTTTTTTTCTTTTTCTTTTTTTTTTTTTGAGACGGAGTCTCGCTCTGTCGCCCAGGCTGGAGTGAGTGCACTGGCGCGATCTCAGCTCCTTGCAACCTCTGCCTCCCGGGTTCAAGCTATTCTTCTGCCTCAGCCTCCCGAGTTGCTGGGACTACAGGTGCCCACCACCACGCCCGGCTAACTTTTTTTTTTTGTATTTTTAGTAGAGACGGGGTTTCACCATATTGGCCAGGCTGGTCTCGAACTCCTGACCTCGTCATCTGCCCGCCTCAGCCTCCCAAAGTGCTGGGATTACAGGCGTGAGCCACTGCGCCTGGCCTTCTTTTTCTTTTGTTCATTTTTTTTTGAGACAGGGTTTCATTTCCGTTGCCCAGGCTGGAGTACAGTGGCGTGTTCTCAGCTCACTGCAACTTCTGCCTCTGAGGTTCAAGTGATTCTCCCACCTCAGCCTCCCAAGTAGCCAGGGCTACAGGTGCACACCACCACTCCTGGCTAGCTTTTGTTATTTTTTATAGAGAGAGGGTTTCACTGTGTTGCCCAGGCTGGTCTCAAACTCCTGGGCTCAAGTGATCCACCCACCCCAGCCTCCCAAAGTGCTAGGATTACAGGCATGAGCCACCACACCCAGCCCTCCTTTCTTATAAAGACCCTTATGATGACACTTGGCCTACCCGGATAATCCAGGGGCATCTCCCCCATTTCAACATCTTCAAGTTCATCACATCTGCAAAGTGCCTTCTGCCACATTTCCAGGTTCAGGGATTAGGATGTAAACATCTTTGAGGAGCTGTTATTCTGCCTGTCTCCTATGTTTTCTTCTAGAAGCTTTCTATTTTTAGATTTTACATTTAGATCTCTGTTTCATCTCAAGTGAATTTTTGTGTATTGTGTGAAGCAGGGGATAAGGTTTATTTTTTCTGTATCTTTTTTTTTTTTTTTTTTTTTTTTGAGATGGAGTCTCACTCTGTTGCCCAGGCTGGAGTGCAGTGGCGCGATCTCGGCTCACTGCAAGCTCCACCTCCCGGGTTCACGCCATTCTGCCTCAGCCTCCGGAGTAGCTGGGACTACAGGCACGTGCCACCATGCCCGGCTAATTTTTTGTATTTTTAGTAGAGACAGGGTTTCACTGTGTTAGCCAGGATGGTCTCGATCTCCTGACCTTGTGATCTGCCCACCTTAGCCTCCCAAAGTGCTGGGATTACAGGTGTGAGCCACCGCACCCGGCCCTTTTCTGTATCTTTTTTATATGTTTGTTGACAATGCTTATTTATTTATTTTATTTATTTTAAGACAGAGTCTCACTCTGTTGGCCAGGCTGGAGTGCAGTGGCATGATCTTGGCTCACTGCAACCTCCGCTTCCCAGACTCAAGGGATTCTCCAGCCTCAGCCTCCTGAGTAGCTGGGACTATAGGTGTGAGCCGCCATACCCGGCTAATTTTTTAAAAAATTTTTTGTAGAAATGGGGTTTCACTACATTGCCTGGCTGGTCTTGAACTCCTGAGCTTAAAGTGATCCTCCCACCTTGGCCTCCCAAAGTATTGGGATTACAGACCTGAGCCACTGCACCTGGCTGAAAATACTTTGAAAAAAAAAAAAAGACTTGCCTTTTCTCATTGAATCATTTTGACTCCTTGTTGAGAATTAATTAACCATATGTATGGGTTTATTTCTGTACTCTCTTCTCTGTTCCATTGATATGTATAGTTTTCTTTATGCCAATACCAAACTGTCTCTTTTTTTAACCATATTATTTATTTATGTATATATGTATTTATTTATTTATTTATTTATTTATTTGAGATGGGGGTCTCACTCTGTTGCTCAGGTTGGAGTACAGTGGCATGATCTCAGCTCACTGCAACCTCTGCCTCCTGGGCTCAAGTGATCCTCCCGCCTCAGCCCCCCAAGTAGCTAGTGGGAGCCATCATGCCCGGCTAATTTTTAAATATTTTTTGTAGAAATAGGGTTTCACTGTGTTGCCCAGGCTGGTCTTGAACTCCTGAGGTCAGGTGATCCACCTGCTGCGGCCTCCCAAAGTGCTAGGATTACACATGTGAGCTGCTGTGTGTACCTGGCCTACTCTTTTTTTTTTGAAACGAGGTCTCACTTTGTCACCCAGGCTGGAGTGCAGTGGCACGATCTCAGCTCACTGCAGCCTTGTCCTCCCGGGTTCAAGTGATCCTCCTTCCACAGCCCCTCAAGTAGCTGGGACTACAGGCTTGCACCACCATGCCCAACTTTGCACTAGTCAGTGTGACAAGGTGAGAAAAAGAAAAAAGAAAACTATCTTTTTTCACAGATGGCATGATTGTCTATGCAGAAAATCCCAAGAGATCTAGACAAACTACAAGGTTTAGTAAGTGAAGGTCACAAGATGAGAAGTCAATATACAAAATAAACTGTATATTACACATCACTTCTGTGGTATTCTGGCCAAAGTGTGCAACCTAAATTAATCACAAGGAAACATCAGATACTTTGTACAATAAGTGATATCTGACAAAAATCACTGACCTCTACTCTTCAAAAACATCAAAGGCACAAACCCAAAGTCACAGGAGCCTTCCTTCCTTCCATTCTCCCTCCCCTCCTTCCCTCCCTCCTTCCTTTTTTTTTTTTTTTTTTTTTTTTTTTGAGATGGAATTTTGCTCCTGTTGCCCAGGCTGGAGTGCAGTGGTGCAATCTCGGTTCACTGCAACCTCCGCCTCCCAGGTACAAACGATTCTCCATCTTAGCCTCCCAAGTAGCTCGGATTACAGGCCTGTGCCACCATGCATGGCTATTTTTTTTGTATTTAGTAGGACAGGGTTTTCCCATGTTAGTCACCAGATGATAAATGCAGCTTCCCTGTCAGCTCCAAATCAGGCCTTTTATAAACAAGTATAGTCAAGGTCAGGAAGAAAACTTCCCTTCTGTATAATTGTCTTTCTTGTTTCCTTTGCATAATCAGCTGTGCACAAAGAGAGCTATAGTTATGTTCTGTTTTTCTCAGCAAAAGGCTTTATTGTCCAATTTTATAATTTCACAGCATGTCAGTTAGAAAAGAGACTAAGTCAGTAACAAAATATACCCAACCAAAAGTGGCTGCATTCATCTTTTTTTTTTTTTTTTTTTTTTTTGAGACGGAGTCTCGCTCTATTGCCAGGCTGGAGTGCAGTGGCGCAATCTTGGCTCACTGCAACCTCCGCCTCCTGGGTTCAAGTGATTCTCCTGCCTCAGCCTCCCGAGTAGCTGGGACTACAGGCACGCGCCACCATGCCCAGCTAATTTTTTTGTATTTTTAGTAGAGATGGGGTTTCACTATGTTGGCCAGGATGGTCTCGATCTCCTGACCTCGTGATTTGCCTGCTTTGGCCTCCCAAAGTGCTGGGATTACAGGTGTGAGCCACTGTGCCCAGTCTTTTTGTTTCGTTTTTTGTTTTTTGGCAGAGTCTTGCTCCGTCACCCAGGCTGGAATGCAGTGGCACAATCTCGGCTCACCATCACCTCCAACTCCTGGGTTCAAGCGATTCTTGTGCCTCAGCCTCTCGAGTAGCTGGGATTATAGGTGCCTACCACCATGTCCAGCTAATTTTTGTATTTTTAGTAAAGACGGTGTTTCACCATGTTGGCTAGGCTGGTCTTGAACTCCTGGCCTCTTGTCCACCAGGCTTAAGTGCAATGGTGCGATCTCAGCTCACTGCAACCTCCGCCTCCTGGGTTCAAGCAATTCTCGTGCCTCAGCCTCCCGAGTAGCTGGGACAACAGGCGTCTGCCACCATGCCTGGCTTAAATTTTGTATTTTTAGTAGAGATGGGGTTTTACCATGTTGGCCAGGCTGGTATTGAACTCCTAACCTCAAATGATCCGCCTGCCTTGGCCTCCCAAAGTGCTGGGATTACAGGCGTGAGCCACCGCGCCTGGCCTCAGCTTGGGTTTTTCAATGCAGATTGCTAACATGAATTGCTACTCTCAATTCCTTGAGAGAACAGACTTGTGAGGAGTTCTCCCGAGAAGAATTTTCACCTCTTCTTTGGTGTCCCCCCAAGCTAAGGCCAAGACAGACAGGCCTCCCAGGGACTCTTTCCACAGGCTTATTTCCCCTTCATGTAACTAGTGTGGGCGTTGCCTTTGGGGAGTCCTCAGTTCTATGCAGTGTGGTGAGGATCTCTGAGATGCCACTCTCCCTTGCTTGGAGCCTAGGTTTTCTCTCTTGTTCTCTTTCACCACCACGTGCATAACCCTTAAAGATCAAGTTCTAGCTGGGTGTGGTGGCTTACACTTGTACTTCTATAGCTTTGGGAGGCTGAGGTGAGAGGATCATTTGAGGCCAGGAGTTCAGGACCAGCCTGGGCAACATAGCAAGACCATGCCTCTACAAAAAATAAAAAATTAGCCAGGTGTGGTGTCGTGCATCTCTAGACCCAGCTACTCAGAGGCCAAGGTGGGAGAATCACTTGAGACCCAGAGGTCGAGGCTGCAGTGAGCTATGATCGCACCACTGTGCTCCAGCCTGGGTGACAGAGAAAGACCCTGTCTCTTAAAAAAATAATAATAATAAATAAAATCAAGTTATTTGCTATCTGGGATCAGCACCATGACAAACTACCAACATGAGTGCTGCCGGGTCAGTCAGGGTCCTTGCCCGGAGATTAAAACCACACCAGTTATTTTAACAGATAATTTGATAGAAAGAACCAGTAACTAGGTGTTACTAGAAGACTAAGATATGAGGGAGAAGCAACCGCAGGGAGTAGCTACCACTCCCAGGGTTGGGGGAACAAAAGAAAGGAGCAGGAATTATTGAAACGTAGATGTTTGGAAACTGGGAGGTGGGGCTCCAGGAGCTGAAATTCAGATCGTTTGAGGAGGGCTTCCTCCCCCACCGGCTGCTGAGAGGGGCTGAATGAGGCTGTTTCTGGAGGTATTGGGACACTGCAAACTGGATTCATCTGCTGCTGCAGGCAGGAACCACTGCAGCAGCAGAAGCTTAACTGGGGGTGATGCTCACAGGATCTGCAATGCACGAGAAGCTGGTCCTTCCTCCCTCCTGCAGCCTTGCAAACTCTCTCTCTTGCCCCCCCTATTGGCAGAGCCTGGTCACGATCAGCTAGGGAAGCAGAAAGGTGGTTTGCCAAGTGCGGGCCCAGATCACAGAGATGAGTTGTAGAGGGTAGGTTTGAGCTGAGAAACAATCACTTAATACTTAGTGCAGCTCGCCTGACTCTCTGGATTCTGTTTTCTCATTTCCAGCCTCTAGTAATTCCCCTTGCCTTTCCGCTGACTCACCTGTGCATTTCCAAAAGGTGTTTGAATATTGTGCCAGTTTACTGAATATTCTCTGCCGGGAAAGTTCCTTAGGACATGTAGCCCGCTGTATTGCCAGATATGGAAGACTCCATGGGAGAATTTAGATAAGGGTCGCTCACATCTGGAGGATAAAGAGATCCCTCTGGGGCCTGTGTCAGGGCAGGACTGACTCAAGGCCTAGAAACAAAGGGTCTGGAGACATCTAGGCCCAAGCTACATTCTAGTGACTCCCAGTCCCCTGTGTGGGCCCTGTGCCCTCTTCCCCAGCCCCTAGAAGCTCTCATCTAAGCCAACCTGCCCTGGTTCTCATGCACTGTGGCTTCTCCCACCCAGGTCCTTCTGGTCACCTCATCTTTCATGTCCCCTTCCGAGAGCCGCAGTGGCTCAAACCCCAACCGCGTTCGCATGTTTGGGCCTGACAAGCTGGTCCGGGCAGCCGCCGAGAAGCGCTGGGACCGGGTCAAAATTGTTTGCAGCCAGCCCTACAGCAAGGTACCTAGGGTGGGAGCCAGGGTGCAGAGTCCTTGGTCCTGGGCAAGGAGGGAAATAAGGGCCAATATTGAGTCCCATAGGGCTGGGAGGAGTAGACAGCTGGTGTCCCATGGGATTATGGGGAGGCTGGGTCCCTGCGTTCCCTGAAATGGGTTTGGGATCTTTCCTGTAATGAGAAGTTTCATCTCCCGGAGGAATCTAGGAAGGGTGAACTGCAGCATCTCAGAGGGGAATCGGAGGAGGGGAACTGACTTGTTAGAGAGGTGGCCTAGTAGAGTGGGCCTAGTAGTTAACATCAGGAGATCTGGCGTCTGATTACTGAGTTCACGTCCTGGCTATACCACTTTTTAGCTGTGTGATCTTGGGCAAGTGACTTACGCTCTCTGGGCCTCCATTGCCTGATCCTTACAGGGTTGCTGTAGGTTAAGGGATGCTAAAAGCTGTGGTAACAGTGAGACTGGAGTATGTGATGATGCCACACACTAAAGGTGTGCTTCTTGCCCAGGTAACTGTCCTGGGGAGTGTTTAGCCTGTCAGCTGGCTTCTCCTTATGAGGTCGTGCAGGGACCCAGACTTCTCCTATTTTCTGGCTCTGCATCCAGCTGGCAGAGGAGAGAGCCTGGAACACTTCTGTGTTCTGGAAGTGGCACGCAGCACTCCCTCCCATTCCACAGGCAGGAGTTTGTGCATAGGGCAGTGAATTCGCTGGGACACCTAGTAGACTCTGCCAATTGCCCAAAGAGCTAATGCGTGAAAAGGGCTTGGAGCCAGACTCAGAGTTAGGGCTCAGTCATAACAGCTTAATCCTATAATTGTCATCACCATCGCCAGGGCCCCTCCTTCAACATGGGTGTTCATGAGAGGGAAGGAGCCAGGAAGAGGTTTCCCTGAGTGAAAAGGGTCTTGGGCCCTGGCCTCTGTCCTTGGGCCAGACTCCCTGACTCCCACCCCTCCTTTCCCAGGACTCCCCCTTTGGCTTGAGTTTTGTACGGTTTCATAGCCCCCCAGACAAAGATGAGGCAGAGGCCCCGTCCCAGGTAAGCTGTACCTGTCACTCCCCATGGCCTTCTCCCTGCCTCTCCACCCCCACCTGCCAGCAGCCCACCTATAATACTGACCTTGCGGGACCTTAGAAGGTGACAGTGACCAAGCTTGGCCAGTTCCGTGTGAAGGAGGAGGATGAGAGCGCCAACTCTCTGAGGCCGGGGGCTCTCTTCTTCAGCCGGATCAACAAGACATCCCCAGGTGAGCTCGGACAACGTGGGTCCTGAGTGAGTAGGGTTGAGACCTAGACTCGTGGGTCTGAGGGTAGAGGGGGCTGGGGCTCAGATTCCTGGGTCTGAGGGAGGAGGGTAGTGGAGTCCTGGACTCCTGGGTCTCAGGGTGGAGGAAGGTGGGCCTGGCCTCTTGTGTCCTGAGGGTTGAGAGGTCTGGAGGCTGGGACTCCTGGATCACTGGTGGGTTTTGGCAACAATATTCTGTGTCCCATAGATAGGAGTGAAAGGGTCTTGGGGCTCAGCCCTCTCATCCTGGATCCACTTTCTCCCTTCATAGTCACAGCCAGCGACCCAGCAGGACCTAGCTATGCAGCTGCTACCCTCCAGGCTTCTAGTGCTGCCTCCTCAGCCTCTCCAGTCTCCAGGGCCATAGGCAGCACCTCCAAGGTGAAATCATCAGACTTTGGTGGGGTGGAGGAGGAGAGAAGCTGGAGGCCTCAATCCATCCCCATCCCCTCAGCCCCAGGAGTCTCCCAAAGGGAAGAGGAAGTTGGATTTGAACCAAGAAGAAAAGAAGACCCCCAGCAAACCACCAGCCCAGCTGTCGCCATCTGTTCCCAAGAGACCTAAATGTGAGCTAACTAGATCCCTTGTTTCCACAGGGGCCTGTGCTCCTGTGTCCTAGGGGAAGCGGGGCTGGAGCCTGCTGTCCTGAATCTGAGGGAGGAAGGGCTGGGGGCCTGGACCCCTGGGTCTGAGGGAGGAGGGGCTGGGGGCCTGGATTCCTGAATCCGAGGGAGGAGGGGCTGAGGGCCTAAACCCCTGGGTCTGAGGGAGGAGGGGCTGGGAGCCTGGACCCCTGGGTCTGAGAGAGGAGGGGTTGGGGGCCTGGATCCCTGGGTCTGAGGGAGGAGGGGCTGGGGGCCTGGACTCCTGGGCCTGAGGGAGGAGGGGCTGGGGGCCTGGACTCCTGGGTCTGAGGGAGGAGGGGCTGGGGGCCTGGACCCCTGGGTCTGAGGGGGGAGGGGCTGGGGCCTGGATTGCTGGGTCTGAGGGAGGAGGGTCTGGGGCCTGGACTGCTGGGTCTGAGGGAGGAGGGGCTGGGGGTTGACCCCCAGTGGTGCTAACCTAATCTACTCTTTGTCTTCTCCAGTGCCAGCTCCAACTCGTACCCCAGCCACAGCCCCAGTCCCTGCCCGAGCACAGGGGGCAGTGACAGGCAAACCCCGAGGAGAAGGCACCGAGCCCAGACGACCCCGAGCTGGCCCAGAGGAGCTGGGGAAGATCCTTCAGGGTGTGGTAGTGGTGCTGAGTGGCTTCCAGAACCCCTTCCGCTCCGAGCTGCGAGATAAGGCCCTAGAGCTTGGGGCCAAGTATCGGCCAGACTGGACCCGGGACAGCACGCACCTCATGTAGGCTTGCGCCCCCCTCCCTGCGCCGCTGCAGTTTCTCCCCCAGCTCCCTGTGTCTCCTCCACCTTGTGCTTTCTCTGTGTCCACTATGCTGCATGCTTTCTCTCTCTCTCACTTGCTTTCTTTCTCACTGCATTCTGTAGCCTTTGTCTTCTCTCTGATTTTTGCATCTCTCCCTTGGTCTCCAACCTCTTTTTGTTTCTCCCACCTCAATCTCATGATCTGTCTGTCTGTCTGTCTCTCTCTCTCTCTGTCTGTCTCCCCTGTCTCGTTCCCCTTTGCCCCTCAGATCACACCTAACTGGCATCTTCACTTCTGCCCCCCACCAGCTGTGCCTTTGCCAACACCCCCAAGTACAGCCAGGTCCTAGGCCTGGGAGGCCGCATCGTGCGTAAGGAGTGGGTGCTGGACTGTCACCGCATGCGTCGGCGGCTGCCCTCCCAGAGGTAAGGCCTCACACGCCAACCCTGCTCCTTATCCTGTGCTGGGCAATGCCAGGAATCTGGAGGGGAGTCAGACTGGGGCCTGCCAGCGGAGAACACAGGTGGTCCCAGCCCAGAGCCAGCAGACTACTGAGAGGAGCGGGGCAGGGGCTGGGGTACTCCAGATGAGGGAAGGAGGACCTGCCTGGGAGGTCACAGAGGGCTCTGTGAAGCCTGCTTATCAGAAAAGGCTGGAGGAGCAGTTTGTGCAAAAACTCAGGGGTGGGAGAACAAGTGTTAGGGTCCATATTCATTCATTCAAAGTGAGTCCCGGTGCAGTGGCTCACGCCTGTAATCCCAGCACTCTGGGAGGCTGAGGCAGGTGGATCACTTGAGGTCAGAAGTTCGAGACCAGCCTGGCCAACATGGTGAAACCCCATCTCTACTAAAAACACAAAAATTAGCTGGGCTTGGTGGCGCACGCCTGTAATCCCAGTTACTCGGAAGGCTGAGGCAGGAGAATCGCTTGAACCTGGAAGCCAAAATCGTGCCACTGCACTCTGGCCTGGGTGACAGAGCGAGACTCCCATCTCAACAAGAAAAAAAAAACCCAAAAACCAAAATGAGTCCCAGAAGCCCCTGCTTGGTGCCAGGCTGGAATGTGCAAGGCTGAGGATCCAGTCATTGAGCCCTGCCCTTGAAGGCTTCTCACTTTGATGAGGGATCAGAATTGTTGTAACAGTGCAGTGGAAGCCCCACAGGGTGGCCCGCAGAGAGCGAGGGGTCTTCAAGGTCCAAGAGAGGTTTTTCAGGCTGAACAGAGGCAGAGAACATGCTGGGCAGAGGAGACAAGGTCAGGTCAGCCTGTTGTCTGCCTGGAGTTGTAGGTGAGGCTGAGCTTACACAGGGGCAAGAAGTGGCAGGAAAAATGGGACTGGGGCATTAGGAACCACAGAAGGCTTTGGACTGAGCAAAGGCTAGCTCATATCTGAGGTCCATGAATTGGAGGGGAGACTGGATTGTACTCCATGGCCTGAGTGTGTTCAGAAGTTAGTTGTACCTGGTGTATTTGAGAAATTATTTGCCTTGGGGGATAGCGAGGCTGTGAGGTGGGTGGGCTCAGGTCAGAAGGGGCTTCCGGAGCCCAGGCTACACACTGGGCTCCATGCAGCTTCACAGAACCCTCATCTGTTATTCAGGAATCCAAACATCTCTAGAAGCTGAAAGTTCTTTTCTAGGTTCAGCACAAACTCATTTCGCTGCAGTCATCCTGAACTAATGTGAGGCTATTTGCGGACTTTTTTTTTTTTATCCCCTTAAGTGTGTCATGGTCTTAACTGCAGAAATATTAGTGGGTTTGATCATGGGGTGCTCCCCCAGGCCCTCCTGGGAGTTTATGTAACAATCTGTATGCCAGCCATTTGCCTCTCTAAAACCTGAAAGATTCAAAATTCTGAAGCCCATCCAGCTCCAGAGGCCTCCTCTTGTGAGCAGAGGGGAGTCACAGAAGGTTTGATGGGGGCAGGGGCAGGCTCTGTTGGGAGGGATGAAGTGTCAAGGGGAGGCTGCAGGTGGGGACTCCTGAGTAGGCTGGGGCCTCAGGAACAGAAGAGGGGATGGGCTGGTGCTATATCTGGGGCAGAAGGAACCAGATTTGGGTTATTATCTGCCTGGGAGAGCTTAAGGAGGGCATGAAAGAAAGGGAAAAAGACAAACAGTGTTGGATTTGCAACTGGTCTTAACAAAAAGAATTCACAAAGCATTTTATATTTTTAAAAATTCTGGCTTGTACTCATTTATAAACTAAAAAAAAATAACTATATGATGCAGGCAACGTGGTGAGACCCCATCCCTACAAAACATGAAAAAAATTATCCAGGTGTGGTGGCACATACCTGTAGTCGTAGATACTTGGGAGGCTGAGGTGGTAGGATCACTTGAGCCCAGGAGGTTCAGGCTGCAATGAGCCATGATTGCACCGCTGCACTCCAGTCTAGGTGGCAAATCAAGACCTTATCTCAAAAATAAAAATTTGGCTGAGTGCAGTGGCTCACGCCTGTAATCCCAGCACTTTGGGAGGCCAAGGTGGGCAGATCACGTGACATCAGGAGTTTGAGACCAGCCTGGCCAACATGGTAAAACCCCATCTGTACCAAAAAATACAAAAATTAGCTGGGCATGGTGGCGCACACCTGTAGCCCCAGCTACTCTAGAGGCTGAGGCAGGAGAATCCCTTGAACCTGGGAGGAAGGGGTTGAAGTGAGTCGAGATCATGCCACTGCACTCCAGCCTGGGGACAGAGCGAGACTCTGTCTCAAAAAATAAAAATAAAATAAAAATTCAACTATAGAAGGAAGACCCCAAGAGGATGACTCTCCATACCTAATAAGCACAAATTTAGTTTTTTTTTTAATCTTTGAATAGAGCACTTTGAAGAAAAAGTTAAGTAAACCTGCTATTGACTGTTAATGAACTACTACATTTTAAATCCTCTGAATCTCCTGTAGGCACCGTTTTATGAGTGTGACTTACCTAAACAGCATTTCACCAGCTTGAAAACAACCAAATTAAATGCAGAAGGGTCTTAACATGTATGTCTCAGAAAAATGGAGCTAATACATTCATTTGTGTCTGCATACCTTCCCTGTGGCTTAGGGCAGATTAAATAATCTCTCTGTGCCTTAGTCTCCTCACCTGTAAAATGGGGCCAAAAATAGGACCTACCCCAGGATTCAGTGACTCAGTATTTGTCACGTGCTACCTGGCATGTAGGAAGTCCCATGTAAGTGTCAACCTGCTACTGTTGTGTTTTTTTTTTTTTTTTTTTTGATCATTCTTGGGTGTTTCTCACAGAGGGGGATTTGGCAGGGTCATAGGACAATAGTGAAGGGAAGGTCAGCAGATAAACAAGTGAACAAAGGTCTCTGGCTTTCCTAGGCAGAGGACCCTGCGGCCTTCCGCAGTGTTTGTGTCCCTGGGTACTTGAGATTAGGGAGTGGTGATGACTCTTAATGAGCATGCTGCCTTCAAGCATCTGTTTAACAAAGCACATCTTGCACCGCCCTTAATCCATTTAACCCTGAGTGGACACAACACATGTTTCAGAGAGCACAGGGTTGAGGGTAAGGTCATAGATTAACAGCATCCCAAGGCAGAAGAATTTTTCTTAGTACAGAACAAAATGAAGTCTCCCATGTCTACTTCTTTCTACACAGACACAGCAACAATCTGATTTCTCTATCTTTTCCCCACCTTTCCCCCTTTTCTATTCCACAAAACCGCCATCGTCATCATGGCCCGTTCTCAATGAGCTGTTGGGTACACCTCCCAGACGGGGTGGTGGCCAGGCAGAGGGGCTCCTCACTTCCCAGAAGGGGCGGCCGGGCAGAGGCGCCCCCCACCTCCCGGACGGGGCGGCGGCCGGGCGGAGGCGCCCCCCACCTCCCTCCTGGAGGGGCGGCTGGCCGGGCGGGGGCTGACCCCCCCACCTCCCTCCCGGATGGGGCGGCTGGCCCCCCACCTCCCCCCCGACGGGGCGGCTGGCCCCCCACCTCCCTCCCGGACGGGAACCTGCTACTGTTGTTAGAGCTAGGAAAATCCTTTTCCTGGAATGTTAGTGGCTTAAGGAACCATGATTATAGTGTTGTAGTCTTTAAAATGTGTTTGCTTTGAGATTTTCCCCTTAAATGGTGGGTATTTTCCTAATGAGAAACTGCCTTTGATTCTTAAAGGAGAAAGTTCTGATTTTTCATTCCTTTCTGAATTGAGACATTTCTTCCCCAAGAGGGAGGGGAATTCTGGGTACTGTGGTTCATGCCTGTAATCCCAGCACTTTGGGAGGCTGAGGTGGGTGGATCACTCGAGGTCAGGAGTTCGAGACCATCCTGGCCAACGTGATGAAACCTCGTATGTACTTAAAAAACAAAACAACACAAAAAACACAAAATTAGCCAGGCGTGGTGGCACATGCCTGTAATCGCAGTTACTGGGGAGGCTGAGGCAGGAGACTCGCTCGAACCCTGGGAGGTGGAGGTTGCAGTGAGCCAAGATCACGCCACTGCACTCTATCCTGGGTGACAGAGTGAGATCTTGTCTAAAAAAAAAAAAAAGCGGCCAGGAGTGGTGGCTAACGCCTGTAATTCCAGCACTTTCAGAGGCTGACGGGGGCAGAGCATGAGGTCAGGAGATCGAGACCATCCTGGCCAACATGGTGAAACCGTGTCTCTACTAAAATACAAAAAGTTGGCGGGGCATGGTGGTGTGCACCTGTAATCCCAGCTACTAGGGAGGCTGAGGCAGGGGAGTCGCTCGAACCTGGAGGCAGAGATTGCAGTGAGCCGAGATGAGGCCACTGCACTCCAGCCTGGCGATGGAATGGACTCTGTCTCAAAAAAAAAAAGAGGGAGGGGAAGAAAGGGGGTACCCAGGTCTGCAGGGCAGGTGGCCAGACTGACTGGGTTCACTGGGGCCTTCCTGAGCTGGGAGAGAATGGGCTGGGAACAAGACCATGAGGCCCACTAGAGTGAGTATTTTAGTAAATGCCAATGGCTGTTGCCTCCTGAACGCCCTCCCCACTTCCCTTGGGCCTGTTTGTCTGAGGCCCGATTTGTCCCCTAGGTACCTCATGGCAGGGCCAGGTTCCAGCAGTGAGGAGGATGAGGCCTCTCACAGCGGTGGCAGCGGAGATGAAGCCCCCAAGCTTCCTCAGAAGGTCTGATGCCCCCTGTCCAGTGGGGGAGGGTGTAGTGGGAGGATGACATGAGTCCGCTGTGGCACCCCAAACTTCCCACTCTTGCCTCTTGCAGGTACCCCCCCAACACACCCACACTGTTCCTGCCCTCCTCACCCACCCACTCTCCCTCCTTAGCAACCCCAGACCAAAACCAAGCCCACTCAGGCAGCTGGACCCAGCTCACCCCAGAAGCCCCCAACCCCTGAAGAGACCAAAGCAGCCTCACCAGTGCTCCAGGAAGATATAGACATTGAGGGGGTACAGTCAGGTCAGACTCTGAGGGAGGAGGGGCTGGGGCCTGGGCTCCTGAGTCTGAGGGAGGAGGGCCTGCGGCCTGGGCTCCTGAGTCTGAGGGAGGAGGGGCTGGGGCCTGGACTCCTGAGTCTGAGGGAAGAGAGCCTGGGGACCTGGACTCCTGGGTCTGAGGGATGAGGGGCTGGGGGCCTGGACTCCTGGGTCTGAGGGAGGAGGGGCTGGGGGCCTGGGCTTCTGGGTCTGAGGGAGGAGGGGCTGGGGGCTGGACTCCTGTGTCTGAGGGAGGAAGGGCTGAGTCCTGGACTCCTGGGTCTGAGGGAGGAGGGGCTGGGGCCTGGACTCCTGGATCAGAGGGAGGAGGGGCTGGGGGCCCAGACGACTGGATCTGGAGGGCAGTTGAGGCTGGGGGCATGAGATGCCTGGGTCTGTGCCATACTGGGAGAGCTGCCAGTCTTCCCAGGAGACAAGGCAGCCTTGCATTGACTGAGCTTCTACTTGCAGAAGGACAGGACAATGGGGCGGAAGATTCTGGGGACACAGAGGATGAGCTGAGGAGGTAGGGCTGGGGCTGGGGGTTGGGGTGTCCCTGGCCTTGGGTGTAGGGGAGGCTGCTCTGCATGCTCACTCTCTACTCCTCTTGGCACCCCCAGGGTGGCAGAGCAGAAGGAACACAGACTGCCCCCTGGCCAGGAGGAGAATGGGGAAGACCCGTATGCAGGCTCCACGGATGAGAACACGGACAGTGAGGAACACCAGGAGCCTCCTGATCTGCCAGTCCCTGAGCTCCCAGGTGGGAAATCCCCCCATCCCTCCTGAAGTGGCATTTTCTCTTCTCAGTTCTCAGCTGGGACTTGCCCTGGCCAGCCCTGGGGTCACTGCTGCCCCCGTGTCTTGCCTCCCCTCTCCTTCCTCAACCCACTCCCTGCCTCAGCACCTTCAGGTTCTGCCAGGCTTGTTCCTTTCCTTTCAGCATCCTCTCTGTGACTTGCCTTTTTCTCCCCTCCAGATTTCTTGTTCTGACCACTCCCCTCGCAGCCATGTGCCAGGTGTGACCTCCTTTTTTTCACGTCAGGGGTGAGGGCCCCACCCTCATGCTAGTGCTTCACTTGCTCAGGTGCCGTTCTGTTGGTCTGGGGTGAAGCCGGGCACACCAGGTGACAGGGGCACTGCTCTCTGTCAGGCCCTGGGTGGGTGCACACCAGTGTCTGCTTTAACATCAGCCATCACTCTGGACGTGGATGCTGTCTGCACACATTGTGTGTTTGCATTTCCAGTGTAAAAGAATAAGAACAAAAGGAAATGGGGAAACTCTGCAGGGAGTTGTGGGATGAGGGGCAGGGAGGCAGAGCTTCTTCGAGAATGAAGGGAGCAGAGGAAAGACAGTCACGGGCTGTGCAGAGGTGTGGTTCTGGGGCTTCCAGAAGAGCCGTTTCCACCCAGTTCCTCGTGGGTGATGGGCAGGAAGATGCTTTGATTCTCCCAAGCCCCTAAAGTGGCATCAGCAAATTGATGGCCTAGAGAGTCACCTTAAAATGGAAAGAAGGAGCCACCCCAAAGGTCAGAACAAGAAAGGCACTGGTTGGAAAGGAGAGCAAAGGTGAAGAAGTGGCAGATACTGACGTTTTCAGCCTGGACTAAGCTCATTAAGTGGCTCCAGGCAGGCCAGGCGTGGTGGCTCACCCCGTACTTTGAGAGGCCGAGGTGGGAGGACTGCTTGAGTCCAAGAGTTCAAGACCAGCCTGGGCAACATAGTGAGACCCCCCCCGACCCCCGCCTTTACAAAACATTTTAAAAATTAGCCGAGCGTGGTGGTGTGCTACTCAGTAGTCCTGGCTACTCAGGAGGCTGAGGTGGGAGGATTGCTTGAGCCCAAGAGTTTGAGACCAGCCTGAGCAACATGTCAATACCCCGTCTCTCTACAAAAAGTTTAAAAATTAGTCTGGCTTGGTGGCATGCACCTGTAGTCCCAGCTACTGGGGAGGCTGAGATGGGAGAATCACTTGAGCCCAGGAGGCAGAGGTTGCAGTGAGGCAAGATCACGCCACTGCACTCCAGCCTGGGCGACAGAGTGAGTCCTTGTCTTAAAAAAAAAAAAGAGAGAGAGAGAGGTAAGTGGCTCCAGCCTGTCGGTCAGAAACAAATCACAATAATAGGCATTGTATCTTCTACCATTAAAGCAAACCAACCAACCAACCAACCTACCTCCCCAGGAGGCTCTGATGGGCCGCTGGGCAGGGTCCACTGCCTGCCATCAATCCCTGCCCACATGTGGACAGCCCTCTCCTCAGCTGCTGGGTCAGCCTCGTCACTCCTGTTTGGTGCCTGGGAACTCCTGGGGCCTCATGCTTACCTTAGCCCCCTTCTCTCCTGCAGATTTCTTCCAGGGCAAGCACTTCTTTCTTTACGGGGAGTTCCCTGGGGACGAGCGGCGGAAACTCATCCGATACGTCACAGCCTTCAATGGGTGAGTCTCCAGGGACTGGGGTGGGGAAGGGGTGATGGATCCAAGGGAACGCTCAGGGACCTGCTGGGAGGGGTGGGGGTGTGGGAAAGAAGACCATCAGGAGGATGGAGAAGGGCCATGCCCAGCAGGTGGGCACAGGTCATGGAATCCGAATGCTAGCTTGCCCACCACCGGCAGCCCAGGGTGCATTGCTTGCCTCAGTTTCCTCTTCTGTATGGCGAGGATCCCTACCCCTACCCCTGCTTCTGAAAGGGACAGCCTGAGGATTAGCCACTGTGGGAGCTCTGGTCATTGTGGCTGTGGCAAGATGGATACATGAAAGAATGGAGCCTAGAGGCAACCTAGAGGCGCATAGGTGGGGACAGTGTGGGGACAGCCATTGAGAGTGGCTGGGGAGTAGGACGTCAGTGCTGATTCCCTGATGTGCCTTCTACCTCTTTTCTTCTCTCCCGCCAGGGAGCTCGAGGACTATATGAGTGACCGGGTTCAGTTTGTGATCACAGCACAGGAATGGGATCCCAGCTTTGAGGAGGTGAGTACCAAAGAGGCAGAGAATGGGAGACCCGGGCACACCTTTGCATCTCCTCCGTCCTCCCCTCGATGACACATTCCCGTATGGACTCCACCCCACCCTGCAGGCCCTGATGGACAACCCCTCCCTGGCATTCGTTCGTCCCCGATGGATCTACAGTTGCAATGAGAAGCAGAAGTTACTTCCTCACCAGCTCTATGGGGTGGTGCCGCAAGCCTGAAGTATGTGCTATACACACACACACACACACACACACACACACACACACACGATGCATTTAATAAAGATGAGTTGGTTCTCATCCAAGAGTCTCCCAAAACTCTAAGAGGCTCCCTGGGACCTGGGGAAGAATGCTGGGCACCTCCGTCAGAGATCTGGTAGAGAAGGAACTCTTTGTCTCTTCTGCTTGGCCCCTTATCCCTGTGTTGGCAAGAGGCAGGGAACTGGGAATCTGACCCTCAGCACTGCCCCTCAACTTTTTCTGGCCCTCTGAGCCACACCTGTATCTTGGCTGTCCCTTTGTGGCTGGAGGCCTGGGTACCCATGAGGCTTGTCTCTCTCCTGAAGCCTCAGCGTCCCCAGGCCAGGGATAGTGCCTTTCCTCCAGGGTTTTCAGAAGTAGCTGTATAATGAATGTCACCACTGTGGTTTTACATCACCTAATTTAGGAGGTAGAATGGGAGGAAGGGACATTTTAAGCAACCTACCCAAACCCTGCACCCCCTTCAAGGCTCCACCACATTTAAGTGGGAATTGAGGTGATTGTGAGGGAATCAGGGCAGAGGATGGGATGGTGCTCTAGGCAGAGGCCATAGCATGGGCCAGGAGGTGGGAAGCAGCCTGAGGCAGGCAGAAGAGCATTGCTGCCTTTGGCAAAGAGGCTTTGGGGGCAGATTTAGAAAGCCAGGCACAGTCCTTGCAGCTCTGCTGTCCAGTGTGATCACCACTGGGTACAGGTGGCTATTTAAATTAATTAAAATGAAATGAAATGAAATGTAAACTTCACTTCCATAGTCACACTGGCCATGCATTTCAATTGCTCAGTGGCTATTGTATTAGGCAGTACAGAGAACATTTGCATCAGTCTAGAAAGGTCTTTTGGACAGGGCTGGCCTGAAGGTCTGCGAACTCCAGGCTGAGAAGCCTGGACTTTAATCTGAGGGTGGGAAGGTTGGGAGGGGGTTTGAGCAGGACAGAGGCCAGGGTCAGAGGTAGGTTTGAGATCTGACCTTTGGGTAACCTTTTATTGGACATTCCAAGCCCTTTCCCAACTTTTGCCTCATCAACCAAGGGCTACCAGTCTCACTCCTGTCTCTTTCTGGACCTTTGTTTTTGCATCTTTAAGATGAGGGTGGTTTATTATTATTATTATTATTATTATTATTATTATTATTATTAGAGACAGGGTCTTGCTCTGTTGCCCAGGCTGAAGTGCAGTGGTGCAATCATTGTTCACTCCAGCCTCGAACTCCTGGGCCCAAGCGATCCTCCTGCTTCAGCCTCCTGAGCAGCTGGGACTATAGGCATGTACCACCACACCTGATAAATTTTCTATTTTTTGTAGAGATGGGCTCTCACTATGTTGCCCAGGCTGGCCTCGAACTTCTGGCCTCAAGCAGTCTTCCCGCCTTGGCCTCCTAAAGTGCTGGGATTACAGGTGTTGAGCCACACTGCCCAGCTAAGGGTGGCTTTAGACTTCATGTTCACTCATTCGTTTGCTCATTCACACTCCCACCGATAACTCACCATGTTAGTTTTGTACTACTGCTATAACAAATTATCACAAGCTCAGTGGCTTAAAATAATAGAAATTTATGATCTTACAGGTTTGGAGGTCTGAAGTCCAAAATGGGTATCCTTGGGCTAAAAATCAAGGTAGGCAGGGCTGCGTTCCTTCTGGAGGCTTGAGGGGAGAATCTGTTTTCTTGTCTTTTCCAGCTTCTAGAAGCCACCCACATTCCATTCACCTTCTATATTCCAGGCCTGCAATGGCCTGTTGAGTCCTTCTCACATCCCATCACCCTGACCTTGACTCTTCTGTTCCATACTTCCACATGTAAAGATCTTTGTTATTGTAGGCCAGGCGCAGGGGCTCACGCCTGTAATCCCAGCACTTTGGGAGGCCGAGGGGGGTGGATCACCTGAGGTTGGGAGTTTGAGACCAGCCTGACCAACATGGAGAAACTCCATCTCTACTAAAAATACAAAATGAGCCGGATGTGGTGGCATATGCCTGTAATCCCAGCTACGTGGGAGGCTGAGGCAGGAGAATCGCTTGAACCCGGGCGGCGGAGGTTGCAGTGAGCTGAGATCATGCCATTGCACTTCAGCCTGGGCAACAAGAGATCTTTGTGATTACATTAAGCCTACCTAGATCATTTGGGATAATCTCCCTGTTTTTTTGTTTTTGAGACGGAGTCTTGCTCTATCACGCAGGCTGGAGTGCAGTGGTGTGTTCTTGGCTCACTGCAACCTCTGCCTCCCAGGTTCAAGCAATTCTCTGCCTTAGCCACCCGAGTACCTGGGATTCCAGGCGCCTGCCATCATGCCCAGCTAATTTTTGTATTTTTAGTAGAGACGGGGTTTCGCCATGTTGGCCAGGCAGGTCTCGAACTCCTGACTTCAGGTGACCCACTCGCCTCAGCCATTCAAAGTGCTGGATTACAGGCGTGAGCCACTGTGCCCAGCTGGGATGTGAACATCTTTGGGAGGCCATTACTCTGCCTACCAAAGCCACCATGTGGGGGACACTGGGAAGACAGTATGAAAAAAACAGTAGTCCCCGATCTCATTGGCCTGACATTGTACAGGGGGAGAGAGATGGTGCACGTGCAATGCAACCTTGGACAGTGGGAAATGCTGTGAGAGCAAGGAAAATAGAGCATTGTGAGTGACAGAGCAATGGCAGGGTCCTGGTAGTTTATAGATAGGATGATTGGGGATGGCCTCTTGGAGGACTTACCCCTCTGCAGGGACCTGGGAGAAGTAAGGAGTATCTGAGAGAGCCCTTCCAGGTAGAGGAAAAGCAAGTGCAAAGGCCCCGAGGCAGGAGCGAGCATTATGTGTTCAAGGAACAGCTGGGTGGGTGTCAGGCTATCAAGAGACCTAGGATCCACCTAGACTCAGGTACTGCCCTGTGGTTTGGTTGCCAATAAATCTCATCTTTCCTGGCCTCATTTCCCCAATCTGTAAAAGTAAGGTTGGACCAGATCAACGCCCTCTCACATGAGTATGTGTCTTTGAAATTTTGCTGCTGGTGTGGTTGCTTTGGAGAAATTCTTCCGGACAGTTCTCTGCATAAACGTGGATACAAGCAGCACTGCTGGGTTGGGAGGACAGAGTAGAACCCTTACCCCTCCCAAAACCTTCCCCGAAATGCCTTACTGAGTAGAGTGCAGTTCAGCAGCCTGCTCAGTCCTAGCCCTTAGGCTGGACACTTTCTTTTCTCCTACTTTTATTTTAAGTTCGGGGGTACATGTGCAGGATGTGCAGTTTTGTTTCATAGGTAAATACATGCCATGGTGGTTTGCTGCACAGATCATCCCATCACCTGAGTATTAACCCCAGCGTGCATTAGGTATACTTCCTGATGCTCTTCCTAGCCCCCCACCCCCACCCCCTGACAGGCCCCAGTGTGTGTTGTTCCCCTGATGTGTTCTTTTTTTTTTTTCTGAGGCAGAGTCTCACTCTGTCGCCCAGGCTGGAGTGCAGTGGCATGATCTTGGCTCACTGCAACCTCTGCCTCCTGGGTTCAAGGGATTCTTGTGCCTCAGCCTCCCGAGTAGCTGGGATTACAGGCGTTTGCCACCACGCCCAGCTAATTTTTGTTTTTTAGTAGAGGGGGGTTTTGCCACGTTGGCCAGGCTGGTTTTGAACTGACCTCAGGTGATATGCCCGCCTCCACCTCCCAAAGTGCTGGGATTACAGGCGTGAGGCACCATGCCCGGCCATGTCCATGTGTTCTCATCATTCAGCTCCAACTTATAAGTGAGAACATGCAGTGTTTGATTTTCTGTTCCTGCGTTAGTTTGCTGAGGATAATGGCTTCCAGCTCCATCCATGTCCCTGCAAAAGATGTGATCTCATTCCATTTTATGGCTGCATAGTATTCCGTGGTGTATATGTACCAAATTTTCTTTATCCAATCTATGGACACTTTCTACTCTCTCACTCCTTCCACCACAACTTTCAGATCTCAGTTCAGACATTACATCCTCAACAAGGCCTTTCCTAACCTCCACTGTATAATAGGATATGCCAGGTACACACTCTTAAAATACTATATCTCATCCATCCTAGTCATAACTTTACATTCATTTATGGTCACATTTACCCATGTTTTCATCTATGATTTACATTCTTTTGTCTCTTAAGGATACTGTCTCTACTTCTGGAGTTACTAAGATAATTCTTCTTATTTCCATGTAAATATTTTTGAGTTCTTCTCTTCAGATTTAGATCTTAAACTCCCAGAAACTTGTTTTTGCATATGGTGTGAGGTAGGGATCTGCAGTAGTTTCCCATTGTTGCTGTAACAAATTGCCATAAGCTTAGTGGTTTTAAACTACACAAGTTAATTTTATTATAGTTCTGGAGGTCAGTAGTCCAAAATCAGCCTTATTGGGCTAAAATCAAGTGTCAGCAGGGCTGCAATCCTTCTGGAGGCTCTAAGGAGGAATTTATTTCCTTGCCCTTTGTAGGCAAAATTCCTTGACTTGGGGCCTTTCATCACTCGAATGTTTGCTTTCATGATCACCTCTCTCTGTCTTCTGCGTCCTTCTTTCCCATATAAGGACCTTTGTGATTATATTGGGCCTATCTGAATAATCAGGATAACTTACCCATCTCAATCACATCTGCAATGTCCCTTTTGCTACATGCAAGCTAACATACAGGTTCTGGGGATTCAAATGTGGATATCTTTGGGGGATCATTCTTCTACATACCAGGGGATTCAACTTAATTTTTCCCCATGTCTCTTAGCCTTATTTATGATTAGTCTGTCCATCCTCCACTCATCCATGTCAAGGCTCAACAAACTATAGCCCATAGGCAAAATCCAGCCTACCTAGTGTTTTGGTAAATGTTTATTGGAACACAGCCATGCTCATTCATTTATGTATTGTAATGTGTGTGGCTGCTTTCCTGCTACAGTGGCAGAGTGGAATAGTTGTGGAAGACACTGTATGGCCTGCAAAACTTAAACATATAACAGATGCAGCTGGGCTTGGCGGCCCACGCCTGGAATCCCAGGACATTGGGAGGCCAAGACAGGAAGATCACTTGAGGCTAGGAGATTGAGACCAGCCTGGGCAACATAGTGAGACCCCATCTCTACAAAAAAATTTACAAAAAAAATTTAGCTGGGGGCTGGGCGCAGTGACTCACGTCTGTAATTCCAGCACTTTGGGAGGCCAAGGCAGGTGGACCACTTGAGGTCAGGAGTTAGACCAGCCTGGTCAACATGGTGAAACCCCATCTCTACTAAAAATACAAAAATTAGCTGGGCATGGTGGTGCACACCTGAAATCCCAGCTACTCAGGAGGCTGAGGTAGGAGAAGCTTGAGCCCAGGAGGCAGAGGTAGGTTGCAGTGAGCGGCGATCATGCCACTGCATTCCAGCCTGGACAACAAAGCAAGACTCCATCTCAAAAATAAATAAGCCGGGTGTGGTGGTGCTTGCCTGTAGTCCCAGCTACTTGGGAGGCTGAGGTAGGAGGATCGCTTGCGCCCAGGAATTCAGGGCAATGAGCTGCGATTGTGCCACTGCACTCCAGCCTGGACAACAGAGCAAGACCCTGTCTAAAAAACAAAACAAAACAAAACAAAACAAAAAAAACCCAATGCCCTTTGACTTACAATGATGCTACATCCGGATGAACCCATCATAAAGTTGGAGAATCCTGAAATCAAACCATTGTTAAGTCAGGGGACATCTGTACTCTTTGGCCCTTTATAGAAAAAGGTTGCCACTCCCAGGTCTACAGGTCCAGTTTGTCATATGTCAGCATAAGCACAGGTCTGTTTCTGAGCTCTCAATTGTCTTCCACTGGCCCGTTTTCAAGCCACCACCACCAATTTCATTACTGCACAGCTTTGTAATCTTGTATCTGGGTTGAGGGGGTGGGGAGCCAAGGCTCTCCTACTTGTTCTTCTAAATGGACTTGGGGCCGGGCATGGTGGCTCATGCCTGTAATCCTAGCACTTTGGGAGGCCAAAGTGGGAGTCCAGAAGTTCAGACTAGCCTGGGCAACATAGACCCTGTCTCTACATACATACACACATGGATGAATGAATGACTTGGCTGCTGCTGCTTTTTTTTTTTTTTTTGAGGCAGGCTCTCTGTCGCCCAGGCTGGAGTGCAGTGGTGCAACCTTGGCTCACTGCAACCTCGTCTCCCGCGTCCAAGCGATTCTCATACCTCAGCCTCCCAAGTAGCTGGGATTACAGGTGCATGCCACCATGTCCAGCTAGTTTTTGTATTTTTAGTAGAGATGGAGTTTCGCCATGCTGACCAGGCTGGTTTTGAACTCCTGACCTCAAGTTATCCGCCTGCCTCAGCCTCCCAAAGTGCTGGGATTACAGGCCTGAGCCACTCTGCCTGGTCTGCTGCTGCTTTTTAAAATTAGTGTTCACTTTCCTCACTAGACAAGGTCTGTCTTCAATGCTGTGTCCCCAACACCCCATGCAGGGACCAGCACACAGGAGGTGCTTAGTATTTGTGGAATGAAGAACATTCCAATGTTAGCTTGTTCATCCTTATTTTATAATGAGAGAAACAGGCTCCATAAGGGGAACTGACTTTGCCTGAGGTGTTGCTTGCCCCTTACAAATGCCTTATAACCCACCCATTTTACAACAAAGGCATCTGAATCCAGAGGAGTGACAAAGCTTGTCCAAGGCCTGGCAACTTGTAAGAAGTGGGTCAGGGATGGGTCTGAATCTTGGGCTTTTTTTGTTTTTCTTTTTGAGATGGGGTCTCGCTCTGTCACCCAGACTGGAAGGCAGTGGCACCATCACAGCTCATGGCAGCCTTGACCTGCCAGCTCAAGTGATCCACCTTCCTCAGTCTCCCAAGTAGCTGGGACTAAGGTACATGCCACCACAGCCAGCTTTTTTTTTTTTTTTGGTAGAGATGGTGTCTCGCTATGTTGCCCAGACTGCTCTTGAACTGGCCTCAAGCTAACCAAAGTGCTGGCATTATAGGCGTGAACCACCACACCCAGCCTGAAGCTTGGGCTTTTGAATGTCTTTAAATGGTCAGTGGTATATACCCTTTGTTCTTGCTCTTATCACCTAGTGTATCGGAGATTTTTCCACATCAGTACATATAGCGCTTCCTTTTTTCCTATGGCTACCTATTCCATTCCATGGCTGTAATTCAATAGTCGGTCCCCTGTTCTTGGGCACTTGAGTTGCTTCCAGTCTTTGGCCACAACAGTCGCACTGCAGTGAACACCCTTAACACTATGCTTTTTTTTCACATTCATGAGTTTATAGAATAAATTCCTACAAGTGGAAGAGTTGAGACAAGCATGTATGTATTTTCAATTTCTTAGATACCGTCATATGGCCAAAGTGGAGACACCAGTTTAAACTTTTAACAAGAGAGCCTGTTTGCCCACAATCCTCATCAACCCACGATAGTAGCAGACTTTTTACCTTTGCCATGTAAGTGTGTGGGGAGAAGCAGAGCCAGCGCTGTCAAACCACAGCTCCACGTCCATGGTTTGAGATCTCCCCAAAGCAGGGGAGCAAAGAGTTCCTCGGGCTTCTGAGCTCGAGCCCAGTATAAATGGCCAATCCCTTGCCCTGCCCTCTGCCAGCTATCTGGAAGAGGCGAGCTCATACAGTCGGTCTTAGAAATCCCACCTCTTACTGGCTAGGGCTGGCGGCAGAAGGGGACAGTGAGCCAAGGGAGGGCTCAGTCTCTCTCCCCCTTGTGCTCCACCTGGTGGTGGCTGCGTTGATGAAGGAGCAGTAAGCGTCTCTGGCCAAAGGCCTGGCCGCAGCTGGAGCATCGGTGCCAGGCAGTCGCCTGGCTGCCGGGCGCGGTTGGGGGGTCGTGACATAGGCGATGGGCGGCCAGCTTGGAGGGAAATGAGAAAGCCTTGGGGCAATGCGGGCAAGGATAGGGGCGGGCGTCGGTGGCGTGGTGCGTGTGGCGGTGGGCCGCCAGCTTGGAAGGGTAGCAGAAGGACTTGGGGCAGTCGGGGCACGGGTAGGGGCGGGTGGGTGCGTGGGTCCAGAGGTGAGCCGCCAGCTTGGAGCGGTGGCCAAAGGACTTCGGGCAGTGTGGGCACGGGTGCGGGCGGGCGCCGCTGTGCGTGAGGCGGTGGGCTGCCAGCTTGGAGGGGTAGGAGAAGGCCTTGGGGCAGTCTGGGCATGGGTGGGGTCGGGCGCCTCCGTGTGCTAAGCGGTGCGTGGCCAGCTTGGACGGGTACGAGAAGGCCTTGTCACAGTCGGGGCAGCGGTGCGGGCGCTGGGGCGGGGGCCGCCGGCGAGGCCGGGGAGGCGAGCCCGCGGACGCGGTGGGCCCTGGAGCTGACTGGCTGGGCTTCTGCGGTGGGCCCTGGTGGGGAGCTGGGGGACAGGAGGGCTGGTGGGCTCCAGGAAGCAGCCAACGCCCTGGGCCTAGGCCAGGCTCCGCCACGACTTTGATATTCGTGGGGCTCCTCCAAGTGTACCTGGGCACCTCAAGCATCACATTGAGACTCCCCAAATTGCATGTTTCTGCTCCCCCCTCCCCCCAGGCGTCATTCTGAGGGACTCCAAAGGGTTACTTTCCTGGATCCCCAAAGCTACTAAGGCTTCCTCAAAGCTACCAAGGTATCCGTTTCTAGTATCTTCCCAGTGATCACCCTGACATCCCGCATGTCATCCCTGACCCGTCCCTTCTGTAAGGCTCATTTCCTGAGCCTTAGCAAATGGTCACTGAGGCTCTCTCTGAGCCAAATGGGAGGATTTCCCAGAATGTGGCAGTTTTGGGGATCCCAAATAGTCATCACCCTAGGGCCCTCAAATTTTCACCCTGAGATTCCCCCAGAATGTGATTATTTTGGCCCCCGTTCCTGGAGAATGCTCCCTACTCACAGGCGGGGCACTCTCACCTTCTTTGGTCACTGGTTCCTTGCCAGTGGGACTAGGATCGGTAGCCCCGGCCGCGGACTCCGCGCCTCGCTCCAGCATCTTGCTGGCACAGGAACCTAGGGGCAGGGCGCGGGGCGGGGGTGACGCCGGTGATGACCAGGCTGATGGGGATAGGGTTGGAGGGCCTAAAATGAGGGATCACACTGTTTAGGAGCAAGGTCTGCAAGTATGGGATGCTAAGGCGGGGGCAGGCTTAGCGGGGAGGCGGAGCCTAAGAGCACAGTGAGCGGGGCTATGCAAATTCAAGCCAGAGGCAGTCCCTTCGCTATCTAAACCCAGGGTTGGAGTCTTTCAGCAGAGTGGGCGGAGTCTCCACAACTAACTCAGCGGCCGTCTTAAGCGCGGAGCCGGCGGGGCCTATGCGCAGAGTGGGCGGGACCTTCCCCACCAGACCCTGCAGTCCTGGAATGGGCGGGGCTGTACAAAAAAAGTCTTGTTCTGAAACTAGACCCAGGGGGCGGGGGCCTTCGAGCGGAGTGGGCAGGTCTTTCATCACCGTCCCAGGGGAGGGGCCTATGGGCACAGTGGGCGGGGCTTCACGTCGAAGACCTAGCTTTACCCGGCTTTTGACTTAGTCTCAGTTCATTGACGCCGCGTCAACTGCGCCCTTCTTGCCGTTAAATTTCATCCCTGGCTTGGATGGGGCCGTGGAGGATAGAGGGGGGACCTGGAGGAAGATACGGAAGGAACCTGGCATGCGTCGCGGTCCAGAGACCCCTAATGGACTTTTCCCTCAGAGTCCCAAGCGTAAAGGATTCAATGCACCCCTCGGAATCAGACATTCAGGCACCGATGCACCCTCCCGAGGCTCTGGCACCAATGCACAGTCCCTCCAGCATCTCCAGAATCTAGGCGTCCGGACCACAACCGATCTCCCTCGGGGTGATTCTGGCATTCAGCCTGCAAGCCAATATCCGCGCCCGAACCCCTGCGCCCTCACCTGCAGGACGGCCCCTCCCCGGGGGCGGGGCTTCCGGCTCCTCCCGCCACGGCCACGGCCGCAGCCGCTGTCGCCGCTGCTGCACTGCCCTCGGACCAGCGGAGCTGCCCCGCCCGGCGCGCGTCCGGCGTCGGGGGAGGGCAGGCAAGGGAGCGCGCGCAAGCTGCTTAGCCCAACCTCATTTCCATCCCCTCCTCCCACGCTGGACCAAAGGGGGCGTCAGAAAGCATGCGCAGTGCGGGCTGGCAGAGGCTGCAGAGAGGGGGAAGAAGGAATGGAAGGAGGGGCTGGGTGCGCCAGCCAGGCAGGCAAGTTCGTGAGCAAGCGCGAAGCTACCGTATCGACAGAAAGTGCACCGCCGGTGGCGGGGCCTACGGTGGCTGACTGGAGTCAAGCATGTACAAGACTAACATGGACAAACTGCGCTTGGAAATCAGTGCATGCACCCGTCTTTTTAATGTCCCTCTTCTTTTCGAGAATTCCGCTGAGTTCCATCTCCAGAGGCAGTTTCAAGAGCTCGCTGCTAATTCTACCCTTCAAGGCGTTTGCAAAAAGTCTGGCCAGTTCTTCGAGAGAGGGCGGGGGCGGGACTCCGGGCTCAAAGAGAGCCAGTGCCCAATAAAAGGCACGTTATTTGCACAGCGCCTTGGCACACCTCGCTATTGGGTGATTCAAGATTCTCAGCCACGCACCCATCTACCTTCCCCCTCGGAAGCCTGGGTGGTCCCGAGGTGCCCTGGCCCATGCTCTTGGTGCCAGGCCTGGGGTGGCATGCAGCTTAGCATTCTTCCCGAGCAGTGGCGGTGCACCTTCCTGCCTGGTGCAGAAAGGACCAGGAAATGCCCATAAAAGTCCTCTGCATGGGTGGGTCTCAGTCCGATAACCCGCAAGGTCTGGCGATCCCTGGGAGTTTGGCGGGGTTATTTGGACTCTGGAGCCAGATTGCCTGGGTAACTGGTTTGGAATACGGCTGTGCCACTTTCTAGCCGTGTGACCCTTTCTAGCTCTCTTTCTAGGCCTGTTTCCTCATCTATAAAATGGAGCGTTTTTAGGATTAAATATGATAATCAATGGAAAGTGTTTAGACTAGAAAGTGCCTAGGCCGGGCTCCCTGTCTCATGCCTGTAATCCCAGCACTCTGGGAGGCAGAGGCGGGCGAATCACTTGAGCCCAGGATTTCCAAACTAGACGGGGGCTAGGCACGGTGGCTCACGCCTGTAATCCCAGCACTTTGGGAGGCGGAGGTGGACGGATCACCTGACGTCAGGAGTTCGAGACCAGCCTGGCCAACATGGTGAAAACCCGTCTCTACTAAAAATACAAAAATTAGTCAGGCATGGTGGCACACGCTTGTAATCTCAGCTACTCCGGAGGCTGAGGTGGGAGGATGGCTTGAACCTGGGAGGCAGAGGTTGCAGTGAGCCAAGATCAAGCCACTGCACTCCAGCCTGGGCAACAGAGTGAGACTCCGTCTCAAAAAAACAAAAAAACCAAAAACCCAAACAAACAAAAATCCCAGCCTAGGCAACATAGTGAGACACCTCCCCATCTTAAAAAAAAAAAAAAAAAAAAAAAAAAAGTCTGGCTTAATGGCAGCCTGTAGTCCCAGCTATTTCACGGGGGTAGGGAGTGGGGACTCACCCAGGAGTTCATGTCTGCAATGAGCTATGATTGTGTTACTGCATTCCAGCCTGCGCAACAGAGTGATACCCCGTATCTTTAAAAAAAAAGTTTTTAAAATAATTATTCACTCATGACCAGTATTGTTTGATTTACCCCCCATCCACTCTTCCCAAATGATTCTGAAGCTAAATGTCAAACATCATATCTCATAAATATCTTTTTATTACACTTGATTTGCTTGACTTAAGATCTAAATGAGCTCCACACATTGTATTAGTTTGAAGTGACACTTCGGTCTCTCTCTCTCTCTTTTTTTTGAGATGGAATCTCGCTGTGTCCCCCAGGCTGGAGTGCAGTGGCGCAATCTTGGCTCACTGCAACCTCTGCCTCCCGAGTTCAAGCGATTCTCCTGCTTCAGCCTCCCAAGTAGCTGGGATTACAGGTGTTCACCACAACACCCAGCTAATTTTTGTATTTTTAGTAGAGACAGGGTTTCACCATGTTGGCCAGGCTGGTCTCGATCTCCTGACCTCGTGATCCACCCGTCTTGGCCTCCCAAAGTGCTGGGATTACAGGGGTGAGCCACTGTGCCCACCTCTTTCTTTTTTTGCACGGAGTCTTGCTCTGTCACCCAAGCTGGTGTGCAGTGGCGAGATATCAGCCCACTGTAACCTCCACCTCCCAGGTTCAAGTGATTCTCCTGCTTCAACGTCCTGAGTAGCTGGGATTACAGGTGCCCGTCACCACGCCTGGCTAATTTTTTTTTTTTTTTTTGTATTTTTGGTAAAGATGGAGTTTCACCATGTTGGCCAGGCTGGTCTCAAACTCCTGACCTCAGGTGATCCGCCCACTTCGGCCTCCCATGGTGCTGGGATTTCAGGTGTGAGCCACCGCGCCCAACCTCTAGGGCCACAGCTATTTTCAAGAACCATGATTTTAAGAAGGCAGAGTAGAAGCCAGAAGACCAGTGAGGGTATTGTTATATATTAATTACAGTATTAATTGCTAGCACTTATTATACACTGGAAACTGTCCTTATGTGCATTAATTTATTTAATCCCCATAGCAATGTTTTAAGAGGAGGTGCTACTATCATCCTTGTACAGAGGAGGAAAATGAAGTGTGGAGGGGAAGGTCATCCCAGCCAGGAAGTATCAGAGCCAGGATTTGAATCCCTCAGCCTGGCCCTGCAGTCCAGGCAATTTGCATTTATGCTTTGCTGCCCCTTGAATGGGGCAGAGGGTGTGATAACAGAAAAGTGGCCTGGTTAAGATAGGTTAAATCTGGCTGGGCACGGTGGCTCGGCCCTGTAATCCCAGCACTTTGGGAGGCTGAGGCAGGTGGATTACTTGGGGTCAGGAGTTCCAGACCAGCCTGGCCAACATGGTGAAACCCCATCTTTACTAAAACTACAAAAATTAGCTGGGTGTGGTGGTGTGCACCTGTAATCCCAGCTACTTGGGAGGCTGGGGCAGAAGAATCTCTGGAACCCAGGAGGCGGAGGTTGCAGTGAGCTGAGATTGCACCACCGCACTCTAGCCTGGGCAACAGAGCAAGACTCCATCTCAAAAAAAAAAAAAAAAAAAAAGAGAGAGAGTTTAACTCAGCAGGGCCTGGAAGTGGGTGGAGGTGGCAAGGGTAGGAAGGAGTCAAGGATAGTGACAAAATAATGATGGGCAGTTCCCATTGAGAGCCTGTGCTATGTCAGGCTATTGAACTATTTTCAACCTCATTTTGTAGATAAGAAAACTGGAACCCAGAAGAAGATAAGTTTTCAGCCCAAGGTCCTACACCTGAGAAGGGTGAAGCCAAGTCTAACTCTTAGAACATCTCACAGCTGAGCCTATAAACCCTGCCTAGGGTGTGTCTTCAAAGGACACATAAATGGTCTAGAAATTCTGCAAAAACAACGGGAAAGGGTGCCAGGGGCGAGAAGTTCTTATTTGGGGGACCCTCTCAGTAAGGAGTGCCTGAGGGTCTTCCTTTCCCTGGCTCCTCCCTCCCCTGAGTTCCCCAAATCCCTACACCTCCCTGTGTCTCAGACCTGCTTTCCCTACCTCTCTCGCCTACCAGCCAGACTGAGTCACCTCTGGGTCCTCAGCTTTGTCTAGCTTGAGTCAGGCATGCATGAGACCTCATGCCTGGAATTTTTTTTTTTTTTGAGACGGAGTCTCGCTCTGTCGTCCAGGCTGGAGTGCAGTGGCACGATCCCGGCTCACTGCAAGCTCCGCCTCCCGGGTTCACGCCATTCTTCTGCCTCAGCCTCGAGAGTAGCTGGGACTACAGGCATCCGCCACCATGCCCGGCTAATTTTTTGTATTTTTTTTGAGTAGAGACGGGGTTTCACCGTGTTAGCCAGGATGGTCTCAATCTCCTGACCTCGTGATCCACCCGCCTTGGCCTCCCAAAGTGCTGGGATTACAGGCGTGAGCCACCGCACCTGGCCTTTTTTTTTTAGACACTCTCGCTCTGTTGCCCAGACAGGGTTTTGCTATGTTGCAGAGGTGCAATCTTGGATCACTGCAAACTCTGCAACCTCTGCCTCTTGGGTTCAAATGATTCTCATGCCTCAGCTTCCCAAGTAGCTGGGTCTACAGGCGTGCCCCACCACGCCCAGATAATTTTTTTGTATTTTATTTTATTTTTTTCAGTAGAGATGGGGTTTTACCATGTTGGCCAGGCTGTCTCAAACTCTTGACCTCAAGTGATCTGCCCACCTAGGCCTCCCAAAGTGCTCAAAGTGCCTGTGCATGAGCTCAGCCATATGCTTTTTTTTTTTTTTTTTTTTTTTTTTTGAGATGGAGTCTCCATCACCCAGGCTGGAATGCAGTGGCACGATCTCAGCTCACTGCAACCTCCACCTCCCGAGTTCAGGCAATTCTCCTGCCTCAGCCTCCTGAGTAGCTGGGATAACAGGTGTGCACCACCACACCCAGCTAATTTTTATATTTTTAGTAGAGATGGTGTTTCACCATGTTGGTCAGGCTGGTCTTGAACTCCTGACCTCGTGATCCGCCCGCCTCAGCCTCCCAAAGTGCTGGGATTACAGGCATGAGCCACCGCGCCCAGCCGGCCACATAAAATTTTAATGAAGCAATTTGATAGGCTTAAGGAAAAGCAGGCCTTCTCTGTGTAAAGGCATTCACACAGGGGCTGCTCTGAAAATAGCTCCAGGGACCATTCCCTGGAAACTCCAGAATTAAGATAAATGTTGTTGCAGGAAACCCCTCCTCAGAAGCTGTGGGACAGGATAACTCAGTGGTTCATACCTGTAATCCCAGCATTTTGGGAGGCCCAGGTGGGAGGACCATTTGAGGCCAGGAGCTGGAGACCAGCCTAGGCAACATAGCAAGACCCCTGTTTCTACAAAAAAAATTCTAACAATTAAAAAAAAAAAAAAAAGCTCTGCCCCTAGGCTGGAAATCAAGGCTGCTCTGATGTCACAAAGTGACATAGATCCTCCAGATGAGAGTGGGATGTCCTATTCTCACTACTGCTACGATTACAAAGAGCAGACTTTCTGACAGCTCATGACTTGAGACTACAGTTTTTCAGCCCCAGGTCCTTGGTGTAAATGAACACAAGCTCTTTTCAGAGGTTCACACCCCAACAGAAGATGAATAATCCCCAATCTGATTATTCAAGAGATAATGCAAAATTATCTTTTTTTTTTTTTTTAAGATTTCTTCCTGGAAAGAGAGAAACATTCCTGATAAAATGCTTATGCAATTTCTGGATGAACTTTAATGGGATCAAGTGTTGTTCTGGTAACCAGGCACCCACTCAAAAGTCCCTCAAGATATTAATGACCTGGAACCGAACGAATATCTTTTTTTTTTGAGACAGAGTCTCCCTCTGTCGCCCAGGCTGGAGTGCAGTGGCGTCATCTCTACTCACTGCAACCTCTGCCTCCCGGAACCGAACATCTTTTTCTAACCATGACTATCCTACCACCTGCTAGAAAACGGCCCCACGGGACGCGGTGGCTCACGTCTGTAATCCCAGCACTTTGGGAGGACAAGGTGGGAGGAACGCTTGAGCTCAGGAGTTCGAGATCAGCCTGGGCAACATAGTGAGAACTCCGTCTCTGCAAAAAACAAATTTTATATACATGTATGTGTGTGTGTGTGTGTATATATATATATGTATATAAATATATATATAGATATAAATATATATATATAAAATGTCGGGTGTGGTGGCAACGTGCCATAGTCCCAGCTACTCGGGAGGCTGAGGTTGGAGGATCGCTTGAACCCGGGAGTTTAAGGCTGTAGTAAGCTGAGATCGAGTCACTGCACTCAAGCCTGCGTGACAGAGCGAGACTCTGTCTCAAAATAAAACAAAAGAAAAAGGAAAAAAAACGGCCCCGAGGCTATGAGTGTACTGGGGCCTCTCCCTGGGTTTCTACTTCTCTCCCTATCTCTGTTCCTACATGAGTATGTCTGTGTGTCTCTGAGCGTCTGTCCCTCGCACTTTGAGTGTCTCCCTGTTCTCTGTTTTTTCTGGGTCTCAAAGCGTCCAGGCATTGCACTCTGGCTTTCCTCGGTCTCGCCCTCGCCCCAGTCCCGCTCGGCGGTCCCCCGCCCTCTGCCCCAGGCGTCCGTGGCCCCTTTAAGGCGTGCTCCGCCCCCGCCCCGCCCTTCCCGGGGTCAGTGCCGTAGCGCCCGGCTCCTGCAGGCGCTCGGCCTCCGCTCATTCCTGACCCCGCAGTGGGCGCGATGGCGGAGGCTGTACTGAGGGTCGCCCGGCGGCAGCTGAGCCAGCGCGGCGGGTCTGGAGCCCCCATCCTCCTGCGGCAGGTGCGGGTGGCTGGACCTAGGAGGGGACTGCTGGGCACTAGGCGGCAGCAAGGACGGAACTCCGGGGTCTCTTAATAGGGAGAGATCCGGGGGGACCCACGCCTGCATCTTGCGGAAAGCGGGGTGGAGGTTTAGGGCTGGACTCTTGGGTCCTTTAAAGGTGAGTGGTCTGGGGGCCTCTGGGCTTGGGGCCAGACCCCTGGGTCCTCTATGAAAGAACGTGCTGGGGACCCTGATTTTGGGATGTTAGGAAGTTGGAACTCTTTTGTTCTGATAGGGGAAGGTAGTGGGGCTCCGGACTCCCGACTCCCGGGGAAAGAGTGGGCTGGGGTTTCTGCTTCTGGATCTTAGGAAGAGGATAGGGTCAGTCTGGACTACTTGGCCTCCAGTGGGTGGAAGTCCGGTTCTGCGCCCTCACCTGGGTCCCCCGTTCCCAGATGTTCGAGCCTGTGAGCTGCACCTTCACGTACCTGCTGGGTGACAGAGAGTCCCGGGAGGCCGTTCTGATCGACCCAGTCCTGGAAACAGCGCCTCGGGATGCCCAGCTGATCAAGGAGCTGGGGCTGCGGCTGCTCTATGCTGGTCAGTCCGGGGACCAAACTCATGGATCCCAGCGGGGCTGGGCTGCAGCGTCAGTGGAATGGGAAGCTGGGGCCCAGAACTCCTGAGTCTGAGGGAGAAGGATCTGGGCTGGGACTCCCAGGTCCTTTCTGTACCCTCCGGACCTGTCCCTCCTCTCTCTCCCAGTGAATACCCACTGCCACGCGGACCACATTACAGGCTCGGGGCTGCTCCGTTCCCTCCTCCCTGGCTGCCAGTCTGTCATCTCCCGCCTTAGTGGGGCCCAGGCTGACTTACACATTGAGGATGGAGACTCCATCCGCTTCGGGCGCTTCGTGAGTTGGGTGCTGGGTCCCCAAGAGGGTGGTGGCCTGGACTTCTTAAACTTAAGGGAAGAGGGGACTGGGGGCCTGGGATCCTGAGTCCTTGGGGAGGAGGGACCTCAGGACCTGGGTTTCTGACCCCTGAGCTCATATTTCTGGGAGGGGGGCACCATAAACCCAGGTGGGGCACTGGGGCAAGAGGCTCTGGGCAGGTGGGGCACTGGCGGAACTCCTAAGTCAACAGCATTTAAGGAGTTTCCTTCCTAAAGCTTAGGGGCAGCCCTTTGGCCTGGCATGCATCTCCATAAAAGTTGATTAGGGGCTGGAATTCTGAGGGCAGGGCTGAGAAGGAAAGAGACCCAGTCCTGTCTTGCGGAAACCTCCGTTTGAGGAAGGAGCATCTGGGTGCTTAGAACCCGGAGCCCAGGACTAGGAAAAGGACGGTGAGGACCCTGGAGTGCAACATTTAAGGAGGCACTCGCTCTCAGGGTCCTGTAAGTGCAGGGTCCGCACCTGTGAGTGAGCGCCTCCTTAAATCTTGCACCAACAGCCTCACCCTAGTCCTAGCCCTGCCGTTGCCTCACACTGGGAAGTCTAAAGGTTCCTGCCTTCCTCACTTTATTTGCCACAGGCACCAGCGGGTTTCCGGCCAGAATTGCAACCAGGCCGAAGGAGGGAGGGCCAGGGGAGTTGCCCTCAGAGAGAGGGAAACAGCTGGCAGGGCATTCTTCTGATCAATTGCTAAAGATGTATAATAAAGTTTGGCTGACTTTGGGGACAGAATGTCAGGTGACAGAAGACAGCCTCCAGGTTAGAGAGTTTTGCCAAATAGGGACAGTTCATTTGAGTCAGAGTGTTTAGAGGAAATGAGGGCTGTGTGTGGGAAGAGAGTTCAGCTACAATGGTTACAGAAGCTTTATTTCAAGCCTTTCTCTGGAAGCAGGCAAAAATGCATTGTACATGTATGTACATTGTACATAATAGGTGCTAACAAACATGTCTTGAAATGAACGAAGGGTTTAGCTATGGTAGATTTAGCTTCAGTGTTTTTTTTTTTTCTTTCTTTCTTTCTTTCTTTTTTTTTTTTATTTGAGACTGGGTCTCTGTCACCTAGGCTGGAGTGCAGTCAGCCTTGACCTCCCAGGCTCAGGTGATCCTCCCACCTTAGCCTCCCTGGTAGCTGGGACCACAGGCATGCACCAGCACGCCTGGCTGATTTGTGTATGTTCTTGTAGAGACAGGGTTTTGTTATGTTGCCCAGGCTGGTCTTGAACTACTGGGCACAAGTGATCCTCCTACCTTGGCCTCCTAAAGTGCTAGGATTACAGGGCTTCTGAAAGTGCTGGGATTACAGGCATGAGCCACTGCACCCACCCTTTTTTGTTGTTGTTGTTTGTTTGTTTGTTTTTGAGAAAAGGTCTTGCTCTGTCACCCAGGCTGGAGTGCAATGGTGGGATCATAGCTTACTGCAGCCTTGACCTTCTGGGCTCAGGTGATCCTCATGCCTCAGCCTCCTAAGTAGCTGGGACTACAAGCACCTGCCACCATACCTGGCTAATTTTTTAATTTTTTGTTGAGCTGTAATCTCACTATGTTGCCCAGGCTTAATAGCTTTATTGATATAACCCACATACCATATAATTTATCTATTTCGAGTGCACAATTCAATGACTTTTAGTATATTCAGAGTTGTACATCCATTACTACCATTAATTGGAAAATGTTTCCATTACTCCAAAAAGACCCCACACCCCTTAGCCATCACCCCTATCCTTCCCTTTTCCCCCCTCAGCCTTAGGCAACTTTTTTTTTTTTTTTTTTTTAATTTGAGACAGGGTCTCACTTTGTTGCCCAAGCTAGAGTGCAGTGGTGCGATCTTGGTTTACTGCAACCTCCACCTCCCGGGTTCAAGTGATTCTCTTGTTTCAGCCTCCCAAATAGCAGGGATTACAGGCGTGCGCCACCAAGCCCAGCAAATTTTTTTGTTTTATTTATTTATTTATTTATTTGAGATGGAGTTTTGCTCTTGTTGCGCAGGCTGGAGTGCAATGGCGCTATCTCAGCTTAGCGCAACCTCAGCCTCCCGAGTAGCTGGGATTACAGGCATGCGCCACCATGCCTAGCTAATTTTGTATTTTTAGTAGAGACGGGGTTTCTCCGTATTGGTCAGGCTGGTCTCCAACTCCCTATCTCAGGTGATCCGCGCGCCCTGGCCTCCCAAAGTGTTGGGATTACAGGCATGAGCCACTGCGCCCAGGCACATTTTTATTTATTTTTTTGAGACAGTCTTGCTCTGTCACCCAGGCTGGAGTGCAATGGCAAGCTCTCAGTTCACTGCAGCCTCTGCCTCCTGAGCGCAAGCGATTCTGCTGTCTCAGCCTCCCAAATAGCTGGGATTCCAGGCATGTGCCACCATGTCTGGCTAATTTTTGTATTTTTAGTAGAGATAGGGTTTCACCATGTTGGCCAGGCTGGTCTCAAACTCCTGACCTCAGGTGATCTGCACACCTTGACCTCCCCAAAGTGCTGGGATTATAGGCGTGAGCCACCATGGCTGGCTTGTCTGAGATTTTGGAGATGGGGGTCCATTTTTCTCTCCTTTATTTTTCCTTCTACTTTAAAAAAATGAATTGTTAGCCTGGGTGTGGTGGCTCATGCCTGTAATTCCAGTACGTTGAGAGGCTGAGGTGGGCGGATCACTTGAGGTCAGAAGTTCGAGATCAGCCTGGCCAACATGGTGAAACCCTGTCTCTACTAAAAATACAAAAATTAAGCGGTATGGTGGTGAGGCACCTGTAATCCCAGCTACTCAGGAGGCTGAGGAGGCAGGAGGAGAATTGCTTGAATCCGGGAGGCAGAGGTTGCAGTGAGCCAAGATCGCACCACTGCACTCCAGCCTGGGTGACAAAGCGAGATTCCATCTCAACAAACAAACAAACAAACAAAACCGAGTTGTTAACATTCATGGAATGAAAGGAGTCCACATATTATACATGTGTATGAGTACTTACCCAGATCCCGATACAGAACTTGCCCATCACCCCAGAAGTCTTCCTTGCCTCCCTTTCTGGCCAATGACCGCCCTCCTAAGGCACCATTCTTCTGATGCATTTAACCACAGGCCGGTTTTGCCTGTTCTGACATTATAAACAGGACTTATACAGTGTACTCTTTTGTGTCTGGCCTTTTTTCCACTCTACATGATGTTGGTTTATACTTGGAGTTCTTTCCTTCTTATTGCTATAGAGCAGCAGTTGGCCACCTTTTTCTGTGAAGGACCAGATAGTAAATATTTTCAGTTTTTACAGGTAGTAGGGTCTCTGTGACAGCTACTCAGCTCTCTTATTGTGGCATGAAAGCAGCCACAGACACTGCATAAATGAATAGGCATGGCTGTGTTCTAATAAGACTTTATTTGTGGCCTCTACATTTGGATTTTAGGTCAGGCTCATGCCTGTAATCCCAGCACTTTGGGAAGCTGAGGTGGGTAGATCACCTGAGGTCAGGAGTTCGAGACCAGCCTGACCAACATGGTGAAACCCCATCTCTACTAAAAATACAAAATAAGCTGGGCGTGGTGGGGTGTGCCTGTATTCCCAGCTACTCAGGAGGCTGAGGCAGGGGAATCGCTTGAACCTCCCCCGGGAGGTGGAGGTTGCAGTGAGCCCAGATGGTGCCATTGCACTCCAGCATGAGTGACAAGAGCAAAACTCCATTTCAAAAAAAATAAATAAATAAAATAAAAAATAAAATTTGGATTTCATATAGGTTTTTTTTTAAATTTGTTTGAGACAGGCTCTTGTTCTATTGCCCAAGCTGGTATGCACTGGCGTGAGCATAGCTCATTGCAGCCTCCAACTCCTGGGCTCAAGTGATCCTCCTACCGCAGCCTCCTGAGTAGCTGGGACTATGGGCATGTGCCACCATGCCCAGCTAATTTTTAAACAATTTTTTGTAGAGACTGAGTCTTGCTGTGTTGCTCAGATTGGTCTCAAACTCCAGGCCTCAAGCAACCCTCCTGCCTCGGCCTCCCAAAGTGTTGGGATTACAGGTGTGAGCCCCATCTAGTTTTTACATGTTACTTTGATAGTTTTCAATGTGAAAAAAAGTTAAAATGATTCTTAGCTTACAGGCCTTACAAAAACTGATGGCAGGCCAAATTTGGTCCACTGGCCATAATTTTTGCCCTACAAAATGGGCAGGTTGTGGTGGCTCCTAGGCTCAAGCGATCCTCCTTGCCTCAGCCTCCCAAAGTACAAAGTGAATTACAGGCATGAGCCACTACACCCTATTTTCCTTCTGATTATTCAGTTTTTGGCTACCACGAATAATGCTGCTATGAAGATTCTTCTGCTAATATCTTAGGGAACATTGTCATGAATTCTAAGGACTGGATTTTCTGGGTCACTGAGTCGACAAATGTTTAATTTTCATAGAAACTCCCAGTTTCTTGAACTGGTTGTTCATCTTACATAAAAGATGGGACAAATTTAAGTGGTTTCATTGTAGAATGAGTTTTCTTTCTTTCTTTTTTTTTTTTTTAGAGACAGAGTCTCACTCTGTCCCCCAGGTTGGAGTGCAGTGGCACAATCTTGGCTCACTGCAATCTCTGCCTCCCTCTGGGAGCCTCAGTTCCCTGCGCTAAAACACAGGGTTTATCACAGCACCTTCCTCTTGAGGCTGTTTCAAGGATTAGCTGGCTGCCTTCAGGATCTCCAACCCAGAGGTTCCCCTTCTAGGTGTGAAGCCCAGAGACACCCTTGCTCATGTGCACAAAAGACAGCAGGGGTGTAGGGCAGGGGACAAAGTACACAGCAGGGGACTGTTTAATACATGATGACGCTACAAGGCAGTGGATCGCCAAAACAGGAGTAATTCTTTTTTTTCTGAGACAGAGCCTCACTCTGTCACCCAGGCTAGAGTGCAGTGGCGCAGTCTCGGCTCACTGCAACCTCCGCCTTTCGGTGATCCTTCTGCCTCAGCCTCTCCAGTAGCTGGGATTACAGGTGCGCACCACCACATCTGGCTAAATTTTATGTTTTTATTAGAGATGGGGTTTCGCCATACTGCCAGGCTGGTCGTGAGCACCTGGCCTCAAGTGATCTGCGTGCCTCAGCCTCCCAAAATGCAGGGATTACAGGAGTGAGCCACCGCACCTGGCCCAAGTTTTCTTTTTTTAATAAACTGATTGAGAAGTGAACATCTTAGCTGCCACAGGGTGGCCGAATCAGAAAGTTAGGTTTGCTGTTAAATATGCTGGCTTAGAGAAGTACTGCTGAAAACACTGATCCCCCAGGTCCCTTAGAATCAGAGAGTCTGATTTAATTGTTCTGGGTGGACACAAGGAATTGGCATGTTTTAAAAGCTCCACCATTGATTCTTATGTGGCTCAAGTGTGGGTTTCAATACTTCCTCCTTTTAACATTGTGAAACGAGTAATTTTTCTTCCAACATTTTATTATGAAAAATTTCAAGCATAGAGAAAAGCTGAAAAAAAATTTTTTTTTTTTTTTGAGACAGGGTCTCACTTTGTCATCCAGGCTGGAGTGCAGTGGTGCAATCATAGCTCACTGCAGCCTCAACCTCCTGGCTCAAGCGATCCTCCTGCCTCAGGCTTCCAAATAGCTGGAACTACAGGTGTGCACCACCACTCCTGGCTAGTTTTTGTGTTTTTTGTAAAGACAGAGTTTTGCCACATTGCCCAGGCTGGCCTCGACCTCCTGGGCTCAGGCAATCCTCCCTCCTTGGCCTCCCAAAGTGCTGGGATTAGAGTGAGCCACTGCACCAGGCTTAAAATTTTTTTTTACAGTGTACATCTCTAACCATCCATCACTTCATCTTTTTTTCTTTTGAGATGGAGTCTCACTCTGTTGCCCAGGCTGGCGTACAGTGGCACAATCTTGGTTTACTGCAACCTCTGCCTCCTGGGTTCAAGCGATTCTCTTGCCTCAGCCTCCCGAGTAGCAGTAGCTGGATTTACAGGCGAGTGCCACCACACCCAGCTAATTGATTTTTAAAAGATTTTTAGTAGCGATGGGGTTTCACCATGTTGGCCAGGCTGGTCTCGAACTCCTGACCTCAAGTGATCCACCTGCCTTGACCTCCCAAAGTGCTAAGATTACAGGTTTGAGCTGCTGTGTCCGACCTATTCTTTTTTTTTTTTTTTTGGGTGGGGGTCTCGCTATGTTGTCCAGGCTGGTATTGAACCCTGGCTAAGGTGATCCTCCCGCCTCAGCCTCCCAAGTAGCTGGGCCTACAGACGTGCACCATCATGCCTTGCTGTAATTGTTCTATTTTATTATTAGTTATTATTGATTTATTAATGTGCCTAATTTATAAATTAAACTCTATCATAGGTGCGTATGTATAGGAAAAAGCATAGTGTGTAGGGTTCTGTACTATCTGCGGTTTTAGGCATCCACTCCGGGTCTTGAAATGTATCCCAGGCAGATAAGAGGTGTTTACTATAGTTTTGAGTAATGAAGGGAAAGAACTTGGGAACCAAATGGAAAAGAAGCTGAGAGCTTACTTGCCACCAGGGGGCAGTGTAGGCCGTGGGAACTCCAAGGCCAGCAAGCTGAATGCTTTACAGGATTCCTTCTGGGTTATGTTTCTTTGATGGGGGTAGTTTCAGGTTTAGCTGCTGCAGGCAACAGATGAAAGAAAAGCTCTGGGGATGTGTCACAGACATGATGCATCATGGAAGGGAAGAATGAATTTGTTGAAAGAATTTGGGGTTAGGCAGGCTGGGCTGTTGCGGAAATCACTCGACAAGTTTCAGGGACAATGAAGGCTGCTTTAGGTCAAGATGTTATATGTTCCCCACCCACAATTTCTTATTTTGAATTTTTTAAAATCTACATTGAAATAATAGTACAAAATATAACAATACACAAGCACAGGCCGGGCGCGGTGGCTCACGCCTGTAATCCTGGCACTTTGGGAAGCCGAGGTGTGCGGATCACCCGAGGTCAGGAGTTTGAGATCAGCCTGGCCAACATGATGAAACCCCGTCCCTACTAAAAATACAAAAATTAACCGGGCATGGTGGCACGCTCCTGTAATCCCAGCTACTCAGGAGGCTGAAGCATGAGAATCACTTGAACACCCAGGAGGTAGAGGTTGCAGTGAGACGAGATCGCACCACTGCACTCCAGCCTGGGCCACAGAGCAAGACTGTCTCAAAAAAAAAAAAAAAAAAAAAAAAAAAAAACAAGCACAAATTTCATCAGCCATCAGAGCAATTATGTCACTATAGGTCATGAAACTTTTAGAACCGCGCCCCTCTCCCCCAAATGTTTTTGGGGAATGCGAGTGAAAATGGGCAAAAAGTCCAAAAATCGTTTTGATTTTGCAGAATGTCAGGGTTCTCTAGGCTATACTTTGAGACTTCCTCTTTTACAAAACCTTTGTCACGTCTAACAAAATATGCAGTAACTTTTTTTTTTTTTTTTTTTTTTTGAGACAAGAGTCTCGCTCTGTCGCCCAGGCTGGAGTGCAGTGGTGCGATCTCGGCTCACTGCAAGCTCCGCCTCCCGGGTTCATGCCATTCTCCTGCCTCAGCCTCCCGAGTAGCTGGGACTACAGACGCCCACCACCACGCCCAGCTAATTTTTTTTTTTGTATTTTTAGTAGAGACGGGGTTTCACCATGTTAGCCAGGATGGTCTCGATCTCCTGACCTCGTGATCCGCCCGTCTCGGCCTCCCAAAGTACTGGGATTACAGGCGTGAGACACCACGCCCGGCCAATATGCAGTAACTTTATATCATTATTAAATATTCAGCTGTGTTCAGATGTCTCCAATTACCCGAGGAATAATTTTTACAGCTTTTTTTTTCTTTTTTCTTTCTTTTTTTGGTAGAGATAGGATCTCACCATGTTGCCCAGGCTGGTCTCAATCTCCTGGGCTCAAATGATCTTCCCCTCTCGGTGACTCAAAGTGCTGTAATTATAGGTGTGAGCCACGGTGCCCAGCCTACGGCTGTTTTTAGGAACCAGGATACAATTGAGCTTAGTGTTTGGCCATTATGTCTATTTAGTCTCTTTTGTGTGTGTGTTTGTGTTTTCTTTTTCCTTCTTTTCTTTTTGTTTTGTTTTCTTTTTTATTATTTATTTATTATTTTTTATTTATCAAAAATCTTTTTGGATCTAGAACAGTTTCATATCCTTTTGCCCCAGGATATTGACTTTTTTTTTTGAGACAGTCTCGCTCTGTCACCCAAGCTGAGGATATTGACTTTTGTTTTTTGTTTTTTTTTTTTGAGACGGAGTGTTGCTCTGTCACTCAGGCTGGAATGCAGTGGCATGATCTCTGCTCACTGTAACCTCTGCCTCCCAAGTTCAAGCAATTCTACTGCCTCAGCCTCCCCAGTAGCTGGGACTATAGGCATGTGCCACCACGCTTGGCATGCTTGGCTAATTTTTTTTTTTTTTTTGAGGCGGAGTCTCACTCTGTCACCCAGGGTGGAGTGCAGTGGCGTGATCTCAGCTCACTGCAGCCTCCGCTTCCTGGGTTCAAGCAATTCTCCTGCCTCAGCCTCCCGAGTAGCTGGGATTACAGACATCACCACCACGCCTGACTAATATTTGTATGTTTTGTGGAGATGGGGTTTCACCATGTTGGCGAGGCTGATCTTGAACTCCTGACCTCAGGTCATCCACCTGCCTTGGCCTCCCAAAGTGTCGCGATTAGGCGAGCCACCGTGCCTGGCTTCGGCTAATTTTTGTATTTTTAGTATGGATGGGGTTTCACCATGTTCACCAGTCTGGTCTCAAATTCCTGACCTCAAGTAATCTACCTGCCTCGGCCTCCCAAAGTGCTGGGATTACAGGCGTGAGCCACCGTGCCTGGCCGCATTTAATACATTTAACCTACTGAACATTATAGGTTAGCCTACTTTACCTTAAAGTGGTCAGAACATTTACATTAGCCTACAGTTGGGCAAACTCATCTAACACAAAGCCTTGTATTTTATACAAGAGTGTTGAATATCTCATGTAATTTATTGAATACTGAATTGAAAGTGAAAAACAGAATGGCTGTATGGGTGCATGGAATATGATTTCTATTGAAAGTGTATCACTTTTGGCTTGGTGCAGTGGCTCATGCCTGTAATCCCAGCACATTGAGAGGCTGAGATGGGAGGATTGCTTGAGGCCAGGAGTTCAAGACCAGGCTGGTCAACATAGTGAGAGCCCATCTTTACTGAAGAAAAAAAAAGACAAATGAAAAAAAGAAATAAAATGTATCACTTTCACATTATTGTAAAGTCAATAAATTGTTAGTCATCGGGCACATCACACCTGTAATCCCAACACTTTGGGAGGCTAGTGTGGGCAGATTGCTTGATGCCAGGAGTTCAAGACCAGCCTGGTCAACATGATGAAACCTCGTCTCTACTAAATAACAGTACAAAAATTAGCTAGACACAGTGATGCGTGCCTGTTATCCCAGCTACTCAGAAGGCTGAGACACAAGAATCACTTCAACCCAGGAGGCCGAGGTTGCAGTGAGCCGAGATCATGCCACTGCACTCCGCAGCCTGGGCGACAGAGAGAGACTCTATCTCAAAAAAAAAAAAAAAAAAGAAAAAAAGAAAGAAAAAAAAGCCAGGCATGGTGGCTGACTCACACCTGTAATCCCAGCATTTTGGGAGGATGAGGCAGGCGGATCATTTGAGGTCAGGAGTTTGAGACCAGCCTGGCCAATGTGGTGAAACCCCATCTCTACTAAAAAGACAAAAATTAGCCAGGTGTGATGGTGAGTGCCTGTAATCCCAGCTACTCAGGAGGCTGAGGCAGGAGAATCGCTTGAACCCGGGAGGCGGAGGTTGCAGTGAGCCGAGATCGCACCACTGCACTCCAGCCTGGGTGACAGAGTGAGACTCTGGTTAAAAAAAAAAAAATCATAAGTCAGACCATCTTAAGTCAAGGACCACATGTATACCAAGGGTTGAGCCACAGGGTATGTGTAGATTTAGCTTTAGTAGAAACTGCCCAGTAATTTTGATTTGTAGATGATCTTTATATATTCCGGATCCAAGAACTTTGTTGGATCCAGTACAACTCCTTTACCTGTGGTTTCACTTTCTGTGGTTTTAGTTATCTGTGGTCAACCATAGCGTGAAGATATTCAATGGAAAATTCCAGAGATAAACAATTAGTAAGTTTTAAATTGTACATCGTTCTGAGTAGCATGATAAAATCTCACACCATCCCACTCAGGACATGAATTATCCCTACGTCCAGTGTATCTGTGCTGTATAGGAGTATGTTACCCATTCGTTAATCACTTAGTAGCCTTCTTGATTATCAGATGAAAAAAAAACATAGATTGGCCGGTCACGGTGGCTCACGCCTGTAATCCCAGCACTTTGGGAGCCTGAGGCGGGTGAATCACCTGAGGTCAGGAGCTTGAGACCAGCCTGACCAACATGGTGAAACCCTGTCTCTACTAAAAAATACAAAAATTATCTGGGCATGGTGGTGGGCACCTGTAACCCTAGCTACTTGAGAGGCTGAGGCAGGAGAATCACTTGAACCCAGGAGGGGGAGGTTGCAGTGAGCCAGGATCATGCCATTGCACTCCAGTCTGGGTGACAGAGCCAGACTCCGTCCAAAACAAAACAAAACAAAACAGTATTTATAGGGTTTGTACTATCTGAGGTTTCAGATATCCACTGGGTTCTTGGAGGTATCCCCTGCGGATAAGGAAGGACTACTGTTTATGTTTGTAAATATCATTTTCCACTCTGAGGGCTACCTTTTCACTGTCTTTTTTTTTTTTTTTTTTTAAGGCGGAGTTTTGCTCTTGTCATCCAGGCTGGAGTGTGATGGTGCAATCTTGGCTCACTGCAACCTCCGCCTCCCGGGTTAAAGCAATTCTCCTGCCTCATCCTCCCAAGTAGCTGGGATTACAAGCATGTGCCACCATGCCTGGCTAATTTTTGTATTTTTAGTAGAGATGGGGTTTCACCACATTGGCCGGGGTGGTCTCGAACTCCTGACCTCAGGTGATTTGCCCGCCTCGGCCTCCCAAAGTGCTGGGATTACAGGTATGAGCCACAGCGCCCAGCCACCACTGCCTATTTTTTATTTTTAAAAGTGTAAAACATTGAATTTTATTTCAACGGTATTGCTTTTAATGACTGTTGGGTATTCCATTTTTATATTAGTGTGCTTACCTTTTTAAAATTGGTTTGCAAGATCTGTTTGTATATTAAGTATATTGACCACTGTGTGGTATGTATATGTTACAAATATATTTTCCCAGCATATTGGTTCTCTTTAGATTTTGTTTATGGTGTTGCTGCCATTCAGAACCTTCTGACTGATCTTTTCCTTAATGATTTATCACTTTAGGTATCACATTTGAATATCCCTTCTGTATTAGTCTGTTCTCATGCTGCTAATAAAGACATACCTGAAGGCTGGGTGTGGTGGCTCACGCCTGTAATCCCAGCACTTTGGGAGGCCAAGGCAGGTGGATCACGTGGTCAGGAGTTTGAGACCAGCCTGACCAACATGGTGAATCCCCATCTCTACTAAAAATATAAAAATTAGCCAGGTGTGGTGGTACATGCCTGTAATCCCAGCTACTCAGGAGGCTGAGGCAGGAGAATTGCTTGAACTGGGGAGGCAGAGGTTGCAGTGAGCCAAGATTGCACCACTGCACTGCAGCCTGGGTGACAGAGCAAGACTGTCTCAAAAAAAAAAAAAAAAAAAAGACATACCCAAGACTGGGTCATTTATAAAGAAAAAGGGGTTTAGTGGGCTCACAGTTCCACCTGGCTTGGGAGGCCTCCCAATCATGGTGGAAGGCAAAACAGGAGTGAAGGCATGGCTTACATGGCGACAGGCAAGAAAGTGTGTGCAGGGGAACTGCCGTTTGTAAGATCATCAGATCTTGTGAGACTTATTCACTATCATGAGAATAGCATGGGAAAAACCCACCCCCATGATTCAATTACCTCCCACCGGCTCCCTCCCACAACCCATGGGGATTATGGGAGCTATAATTCAAGATGAGATTTGGGTGGGGACACAGCCAAACCATATCATTCCACTTTGGTCGCTCCCAAATCTCATGTCCTCACATTTCAAAACCAATCATACCTTCCCAACAGTCCCCCAAAGTCTCAACTCATTTCACTATTAACTCAAAAGTCCACAGTCCAAAGTCTCATCTGAGGCCGGGCATGGTGGCTCACACCTGTTATCTCAGCACTTTGGGAGGCCAAGGCAGGCAGATCAGCTGAGGTCAGGAGTTCAAGACCAGCTTTCCCAAAATAATAAAACCCTGTCTATACTAAAAATACAAAAATTAGGCAGGCATGGTGGCACATGCCTGTAGTCTCAACTACTCGGGAGGCTGAGGCACAAGAATTGGTTGAACCTGGGAAGCAGAGGTTGCAGTGAGCCAAGATTGCACCACTCCATCCCAGCCTGGGTGACAGAGTGAGATTCTGTCTCCAAAAAAAAAAAAAAATCAACAACAAAATAAAGTCTCATCTGAGACAAGGCAAGTCCCTCCCACCTATGGGCCTGTAAAATCAAAAGCAAGTTTAGTTATTTCATAGATACAGTGGGATCCAGGGATTGGGTAAATACATCCATTCTAAATGGAAGAAATTGGCCAAAATGAAGGGGCTGCAGGCTCCGTGCAAGTCCTAAATCCAGTGGGGCAGTCAAATCTTAAAGCTCCAAAAAGATCTTTTACTCCATGTCTCAAATCCAGGTCATGCTGATGCAAGAGGTGGGTTCCCATGGTCTTGGGCAGCTCTGCCCCTCTGGCTTTGCAGGGTACAGCCCCACTCCTGGCTGCTTTCACGGGCTGGTGTGGAGTATCTGTGGCTTTTCCAGGCACATGGTGCAAGCTCTCGGTGGATCTAACACTCTGGGTTCTGGAGGGCGATGGCCCTCTTCTCACAGCTCCACTAGGGGCAGTGCCCCAGTGGGAACTCTCTGTGGGGGCTCCCACTCCACATTTCCCTTCTGCACTGTCCTAGCAGAGGTTCCCTATGAAGGCTTCACCCCTGCAGCACACCTCTGCCTGGACATCCAGGCATTTCCATACAGCCTCTCAAATCTAGCTGGAGGCTCCCAAACCTCTGTTCTTGACTTCTGTTCACCAGCAGGCCCAGCACCACGTGTAAGCCACCAAGGCTTGGGGCTTGCACCCTCTGAAGCAATGGCCTGAGCTGTACTTGGCCCCTTTTAGCCCCGACTGGGATGCAGGGCACCAAGTCCTGAGACTGCACAAAACAGCAAGGCCATGGGCCCTGCCCATGAAACCATTTTTTCTCCTAGTCCTTTGGACCTGTGTTGGGAGAGGCTGCTGTGAAAACCTCTGACATGCCCTGGAGACATTTTTCCCATTGTCTTGGTGATTAACATTTGGCTCCTCGTTACTTATACAAATTTCTGCAGCAGGCTTGAATTTTTCCTCAGAAAATGGGTTTTTTTTTCTATCACATTGTCAGGCTGCAAATTTTCCAAACATTTATGCTCTATTTCCCTTTTAAACATAGGTTCCAATTCCAAACCATATCATTGTGAATACATAAAACTGAAGTGAATGCTTTTAACAGCACTCAAGTCACCTCTTGAATGCTTTTAACAGCACTCAAGTCACCTCTTGAATGCTTTCCTGCTGAGAAATTTCTTCTACTAGGTACCCTAAGTCATCTCTCTCAAGTTCAAAGTTCCACAGATCTCTAGGGCAGGGGCAAAATGCTGCCAGTCTCTTTGCTAACACATAACAAAAGTGACCTTTACCCCAGTTCCCAAAAAGTTCCTCATCTCCATGTAAGACCATGTCAGCCTGGACTTCATTGTTCATATCACTCTCGGCATATTGGTCAAAGCCACTCAACAAGTCTCTAGGAAGTTCCAAACTTTCCCACATTTTTCTGTCTTCTTCTGAGCCTTCCAAACTGTTCAAACCTCTGCTTGTTACCCAGTTCCAAAGTCACATTTTCACATCTCCTTATAGCAGCACCCCACTTTACTGGTACCAATTTACTGTATTAGTCTTTTCTCATGCTGCTAATAAAGACATCCCTAAGACTGGGTCATTTATAAAGAAAAAGAGGTTTAATGGACTCATAGTTCCACATGGCTGGGGAGGCCTCACAATCATGGTGGAAGGCGAAGGAGGAGCAAAGACCTGTCTTACATGGCAGCAGGCAAGAGAGAGTGTGCAGGGGAACTGCCCTTTATAAAACCATCAGATCTCGTGAGACTTATTCATCATCACGAGACAGCATGGGAAAAACCTGCCCCCATTATTCAATTACCTCCTGCCTGGTCCCTCCCATGACATATGAGGATTATGGGAGCTACAATTCAAGATGAGATTTGGGTGGGGACACAGCCAAACCATATCACCTTCCTAACCAGAGGTCAGATATTATTTGTATTTTTGTTGTTGTGTGTCACAGCTTTGCGGTTTTATTTTTCATGCATTTAAATCTTTAATCCACTTGGAGTTTACTCTGATAATATAAGATTACAGCCTGGGAATCTACATTTTTTACCAAAATGTTTATCTAGATAAGACCCTGGGGTAGGGTGGGGCTTTGGGGGCCAGTTTCATCTAGAAGGCTTCTTGGTGACTATCTCTGTACTCTTCCACCCCTGCCAGGCGTTGGAGACCAGGGCCAGCCCTGGCCACACCCCAGGCTGTGTCACCTTCGTCCTGAATGACCACAGCATGGCCTTCACTGGAGATGCCCTGTTGATCCGTGGGTGTGGGCGGACAGACTTCCAGCAAGGTGACCAGCTCCTTTATCCAGCCCAAGATCTTCATATAGTTACGTGTGTGTCAAGTGTTGAAGTATCTGTTACAAGAATGAATGGATGGACATTAGACTTTTAGGGGGCTTCAGTATTAAATTCAAGGAGTTTACCTGCTAGAACAGTGGTCCCCAACCTTTTTGGCACCAGGGACCGGTTTCGTGGAAGACAATTTTTCCATGGACCATGGCAGGGCATAGTTTCGGGGATTCAAATGCATTACATTTATTGTGCACTTTATTATTACATTGCAATAGATAATGAAATAATTATGTAACTCACCATCATGTAGAATCAGTGGGAGCCCTGAACTTGTTTTCCTGCAACTAGATGGTCACATCTGGGAGAGACGGAAGATAGTGACAGATCATCAGGCATTAGATTCTCATAAGGAGAACGCAACCTAGATCCCTCGCATGTGCAGTTCGCAATAGAGTTTGTGCTCCTATGAGAATCTAATGCTGCTGCGGATCTGACAGGAGGCAGAGCTCAGGTGGTAACGGGAGTGATGGGGAGTGGCTGTAACTACAGATGAAGCTTTGCTCACTCACCCACCGCTCACCACCTTCTGCACAGCCCAGTTCCTAACAGACCACGGACCGGTACCCAGGGTTAAGGACCCCCATGCTAGAGTATGGGAAGAGTTAGATTCAGGGGCTTAGCTGTTGGGGGACAGTTAGATTCAGGGGTGTGTTAGTTACCTATTTGAGCCCAGCTTGGGCAACATAGTGAGACTCCCTCTCTAAGAAACAAATATAGCTAAAAAAAAAAAAAAAACAAAGGGCTGGGCATGGTGGCTCACGCCTATAATCCCAGCACTTTGGGAGGCCGAGGCAGGTGGATCATGAGGTCAGGAGTTCAAGACCAGCCTGGCCAAGATGGTGAAACCCCGTCTCTACTAAAAATACAAAAATTAGCTGGCCATGGTGGTGGGTGCCTGTAGTCCCAGCTACTCGGGAGGCTGAGGCAGAGATTTACTTGAACCCAGGAGGCGGAGGTTGCAGTGAGCCAAGATTGCGCCACTGCACTCCAGCCTGGGTGACAGAGTGAGACTTCATCTCAAAAAAAAAAAAAAAAAAGATAAAAAAAGAAGTTGTTAAAGCCAGCGGTTTAATTGCCAGGGAGCAATGAATGATCCATTTGGAGTCTAGCTGCTAGGGGCAGTTAGATTTAGGAGCTTCCCTGTAGAAAGCGAGTATAGTTTCAGAATCTCAGGGTTGGGCCATCCTTTGAGCATGTGTGTGAATGTGGGGTTAACACTAGGCCTGGAATTTAGCTGTCTTGTGGGGAGAGGTGAGGCTGGATGAGAGGGAAAGACAGAAGCCATGATGAGATGGCCGTGGAAGCCACATCCCCAGGCCTCTTCCTCCCTCTTCCCTCTCTCCTTATCTCTGCATCTCAGTCTCTGTCTTTTTCTCTCCAAGGCTCCCAATCTCCCATTTATCCATTCACAGTACAGTCAGGAAGCTGAAGGATTTAGGCCGAAATGCAAGGTGGAATAGAGGTTTGCCCCCTACTTAGGACTCAGAGCTGCTTGTGGGGACCATGGCTTCACACTCTCCTCCTGGGCCTCATGTCCTCATGTCTGCAGTTTCTTTCTTCTTCTTCTTCTTTTTTTTGAGACGGAGTCTCGCTCTGTCGCCCAGGCTGGAGTGCAGTGGTGCAATCTTGGCTCACTGCAAGCTCTGCCTCCTGGGTTCACGCCATTCTCCTGCCTCAGCCTCCCGAGTAGCTGGGACTACAGGCGCCCGCCATCACGCCAGGCTAATTTTTTTGTATTTTTAGTAGAGACAGGGTTTTACCATGTTAGCCAGGATGGTCTCGATCTCCTGACTTTGTGATTCACCCACCTCGGCCTCCCAAAGTGCTGGGATTACAGGCGTGAGCCACCGCGCCCAGCCTTTTTTTTTTTTTTCTTGAGACAGAGCCGCGCTCTATCTCCCAGGCTGGAGGGCAGTGGTGTGATCTTGGCTCACTGCAACCTCCGCCTCCTGGGTTCAAGCAATTCTCCTGCCTCAGCCTCCCAAATAGCTGGGATTACAGGCATGGGTCACCATGCCTGGCTAATTTTTGTATTTTTAGTAGAGACAGGGTTTTGTCATGTTGGCCAGGCTGGTCTCGAACTCCTGACCTCAGGTAGTCCACCCACCTCAGCCTCCCAAAGTGCTAGGATTACAGGCATGAGCCACTGCACCTGGCTTTGTCTTCAGTTTCTTACCTTCTAGTCCACCTTCCTTGTTCAGAACCCTTACTTGACATCCCCTGGGTGACAGCCAAGGTCACAAATGACACTCTTTGGTGCTTCACGGTGTCATTCCAACCCTATTTACAGCCATGCTGAATTTCTTGACATTCCTCAATTCTTTGTATATGCTGTTCCATCTGCCTAGAATGCCTTTCCCTGTTCTCTACTTAGACAAAGGGATATTGGCAGGACACGAAGGAGAGGGTTTAGCTATAGTGATTTTATCCTCCTACCCTTTTCTTGAAGGAAGGGGTTAGAGTCTTCTGTCCTGTTGATCCACTGACCTCTGATCTTTCCTTCCCCAGGCTGTGCCAAGACCTTGTACCACTCGGTCCATGAAAAGATCTTCACACTTCCAGGAGACTGTCTGATCTACCCTGCTCACGATTACCATGGTGAGGGCTTCCTGGAAGAGGTGTGGGGCGTACATAACTTTGAAAGTGGAGTGTAAATCTCTGTAATCCTTGTAGGGCATGAAGACGACCAGTCTCAGAAATTTCTCTGGCCAAAAAAAATTAAGTGTTTGAGGCTGGGCAAGGGGGCTCACACTTGTAATCCTAGCACTTTGGGAGGCCAAGGCAGGAGGCTCATTTGAGCCCAGGAGTGAGTTCGAGACCAGCTGGAGTAACATGGCAAAACCCTGCCTCTACAAAATACAAGAAATTAGCCAGGCATGGTGGCATGCTGCCAGCTACTTGGGAGGCTGTGGTAGAAGGATTGCTTGAGCCTGGGAGGTTGAGGCTGCAGTGAGCTATGATTGTACCACTATATTCCAGCCTGGGTGACACAGCAAGCCCCTGTCTCAAAAAAAAAAAAAAAAAAAGAGATAAAGTGCTTGAGCCTGCTGTGTGTGGATGTAGAAACTATGTGACTGCCAGATGCCTAGAATTCTGCAGGGCATGGGTTTTCCTGGGCCTTACTTGTGGAGCTTAGGGAACTGGGGGAAAACTAAATTTCCCATAGTGTCCATGGAGGAGGGAAAGCAATTTTAGGAATATTCTGGGAAGAGCCCCTGCCAGAGAGGCACCCAAGGCCTCCTGGGGAATGTAGTTCTGAGAGGCCTGAGGCACTAGACTCCTTGACTTTCCTTCCCCTCCCTTGGCCCCTAGGGTTCACAGTGTCCACCGTGGAGGAGGAGAGGACTCTGAACCCTCGGCTCACCCTCAGCTGTGAGGAGTTTGTCAAAATCATGGGCAACCTGAACTTGCCTAAACCTCAGCAGATAGGTGAGCAGCTGGGGACCTGGACTTCTGGGTCTGAGAGAGGAGGGGCTGGGGTCTTGGACTCCTGGGTCTGAGAGAGGAGGGGCTGGGGGCCTGGACTCCTGGGTCTGAGGGAGGAGGGGCTGGGGGCCTGGACTCCTGGGTCTGAGGGAGGAGAGGCTGGGGGCCTGGACTCCTGGGTCTAAGGGAGGAGGGGCTGGGGGACTGGACTCCTGGGTCTGAGGCAGTAGGGGCTGGGGGCCTGGACTCCTGGCTCTGAGGGAGTAGGGGCTGGGCTGGGGGCCTGGGCTCCTGAGTCTGAGGGAGGAGGGGCTGGGGGCCTGGGGTCCTGGGTCTGAGGGAGGAGGAGCTGGGGGCCTGGACTCCTGGGTCTGAAGGAGGAGGGGCTGGGCTGGGGGCCTGGGCTCCTGGGTCTGAGGGAGGAAGAACTGGGGGCCTGGACTCCTGGGTCTGAGGGAGGAGGAACTGGGGGCCTGGACTCCTGGATCTGAGGGAGGAGGGACTGGGGACCTGGGCTCCTGGGTCTGAGGGAGGAGGGACTGGGGGAGGAGGAGCTGGGGGCCTGGACTCCTGGGTCTGAGGGAGGAGGGACTGGGGACCTGGGCTCCTGGGTCTGAGGGAGGAGGGGCTGGGGGCCTGGACTCCTGGGTCTGAGGGAGGAGGGGCTGGGGGTCTGAACTCCTGAGTCTGAGGGAGGAGGGGCTGGGGGACTGGACTCCTGGGTCTGAGGGAGGAGGGGCTGGGGGACTGGACTCCTGGGTCTGAGGAAGGAAGGGCTGGGGGACTGGACTCCTGGGTCTGAGGGAGGAGGGGCTGGGGGTCTGGGCTCCTGGGTCTGAGGGAAGAGGGGCTGGGGGTCTGGACTCCTGGGTCTGAGGGAGGAGGGGCTGGGGTACTGGACTCCTGGGTCTGAGGGAAGGAGTGGGCTCAGGACCAAAACTCTAGTTTCCTGAAGAGGAAAGGTTCCTAGGATTTCTGGGTCTCCAGTGGGGCCTGGAACTCTACCTAGGCCCCTTAGTTTTAACCTTGATTTCTTCCTTTCAGACTTTGCTGTTCCAGCCAACATGCGCTGTGGGGTGCAGACACCCACTGCCTGATCTCACTTCTGTCAGATGCTCCCATCCACTATTAATGCACTAGGTGGGAGGAGAGGGCGGCAATGACACTGCACCTCTCCTTTCCCACCGCATTCCCTGGAGCTCCCTAAATAAAACTTTTTTTAACGTGAGTCTGACTTCTACCTATTTTCTGGGGGAACCAATTGGGTTTCTGGGCCGAAAGGGGTGGGGTTCTGGTCCTATGGAGAGGCCAGGGAGCCTGCAAGATTTGTTTTCTTTTTCTTTTCTTTTTTTTTTTGAGATGGAGTCTCCCTCCATTGCCCAGGCTGGAGTGCAGTGGCACGATCTCGGCTCACTGCAACCTCTGCCTCCCGGGTTCAAGCGATTCTCCTGCATCAGCTTCCCAAGTAGCTGGGACTACAGGCGCGTGCCACCATGCCCGGCTAATTTTTTCATATTTTTAGTAGAGACAGGGTTTGACCATGTTAGCCAATATGATCTTGATCTCCTGACCTCGTGATCCACCAGCCTCGGCCTCCCAAAGTGCTGGGATTACAGGTGTGAGCCACCGCGCCCAGCCCGGGAGCCCACAAGATTTCTAACTCACAAGATCAAAAACAAACACAGCTATCTGGGGCAGGTCTTCTCATCACCTTGGATTAGAACACCGGCTTGCTTTTGAGCCACTTCCCACTTAGCCCTGGGGTAAGTTACTTCACTTCTCTAGGCCTCAGTTTTCTTATCTCTAAAATGGAAGGAATAATAATGGGGTGTTGTGATGCTCTGATGAGTCAATGTGTGTGAGTGCCTGGCACATGGCCTATCAGTGTTCACCATTAAAGTTACTATCATTTAGAATGATCTTTTGGGTACTTCCTGGCTTGTAGTGACAGTATACGCAATGGTTAAGAACATGGACTTTTGAGAGAATGAAGCCTGCATTTTACCACTTACAACATGTGTAGATGTTGGCTACATTTTTTTTTTTTTTTCTGAGATGGGGTCTTACTCTGTCGCCCAGGCTGGAGTGCAGTGGCACATTCAAGACTCACTGCAGCCTCGACCTCCTGGGCTCGAGATATCCTCCTGCCTCAGCCTCTGGAGTAGCTGAGATGACAGGTGTGTGCCACCACGCCTGGCATAATTTTTGTATTTTTAGTAGAGATGGGGTTTCTCCATGTTGCCCAGGCTGGCCTTGAACTCCTGATCTCAAGCAATCCACCTGCCTCGGCTTCCCAAAGTGCTGGGATTACAGGCCTGAGCCTCTGTGCCCAGCCAACCTTGGGTGCATTTGTCCTCCTCAGCTTGTATCCCCAAGTGTAAAATGGAGATAGTAGGCCAGGAGCGGTGGCTCACGCCTGTAATCTCAACACTTTGGGAGGCTGAGGCAGGCAGGTTGTTTGAGCCCAGGAGTTCAAGATCAGCCTGGGCAACCTGGAGAAACCCAGTCTCTACTAAAAAAAAAGAAATGGAGGTAGTAATCACTTTCTCGCTGGACAGCTTTGAGGGTGAAATTAAATGACTGGGTATAAAGTGTTTCACACAGCTCTTGACTTCTAATCATCCCTTTTCATATACCAGTTATTTTCCTGTTTTCATTTTCCTGTTTTCGCCCAGAGAGGAAAGGGTCTGGCTGAGACCTTTAACCTCTGCCCTCCACCCCATAGCAAAGTTGTGGGGGGGTGGCGGTACACTTCCCTCAGTCTCTGGGCAGGTGTCTGACTCAGTTCAGGGCACCCCTTCCCCTTGTCCAGCTCCCCAAACCGGTCAGGGCCCTTCTGAAGGGCTCATTAGAGGGGAGACGTCCCCATCTCCATTCCTGCCTTCCTTTCTGAACTCCCAAGGTCTGGACATTAGAGAGGCTCCCATACAGAGGTGGCCAAGACTCCTCCAGGGGGGCAGGAATGAGGGGCTCGAGGGAGACTGGGAGGTCGCGATGCTGAGTTCCACGAGGGTGGGGCCGGGCCGGGGCCGGTGGGGCCGGGATGGCCGGATGCCGAGGCCACGGGTGGGGCAAGCCCGTGGCTCCCTCCTCCCTCGGGAGCTGTTGGACCTGTTGTCCCCCCTCCACTTCCGGGCTGCTGGGGAGGGGGACCGGGCGGCCTCTCTCCTCCCTCTTCCCCTGCCACCTGTCTCATAGGCAGAAGCGGCCGTGCCCAGCGCGCAGAGCGGAGCGCGCCGAAGCCTGAGCTCGTGAGGGGGCCGAGGCTGTGGGGAGGTGGCAGTTGGACTTCGGAATCTCAAGGACTCCGACTCCTGGCTTGTTCAGAGAAGGAGAGCCCCGACTCCTGGATCCCTGGGTGAGGCGGCGTGGGCACGGTTGCCCTGCACAGTGGGGTCGGGACTAAGACTACGGGGCTCCGGGAAGGATGGGGCGGGAGCCGAACTGCTGAGTCTCGGAGGGAGAAGATGGGTCGCTCTAAGCGAATCCAAGAGATTGTAGGGGGCTGCTGGGAGGGTACAAGGCCTGACACCTAGAGATGAGGGAGGGGAGGCGGGGTCGAAGAGGTCAGTAGGGGGCGTGCTACGACCCGGACTCAAATTCCGGTCCCGTCTCCGGTGGCGTGTCGCCTTGGAGCCATCAAGCCCCGCCTCTGGAAACTTCAGGACACGCCTCCGTAACGCTCAGTTCCATCCTTTGAACTCTTAGGCCCCGCCTCCTTGGGGGGGGGTCTCCGCGCCCCGGAGCAGACGCGAGCGGCGCTCAGCCGTCCTAGGCCCCGCCCCCGGAGCTTCTGGTCCCGCCCACCCCGCAGGAGTCCCAGCGGCCATGGGGACGCGAAGCAGCCCCGAGGAGGGGACCCCGCCGCCGCTGGTCCCGGAATGCGACGTGGAGGTCCAGCCCCAGGGCCATCCCGAGGAGTCCCGGGAACAGGAGGCATCCGAAGTCCTGGCGGAACCTTCGAGCCGCGGGGGAGCTGAGCAGCAGGCAGAGGAAGAAGAAGTGGGAGAAGGCAGCAGCACTGAGAGCAGCCGCGACGCGGTGAGGGGCCCGAGGGCGACAGCGCGGGGGGCTTGGACCGACGGGGACCCAAACAGGTGGCCAGACAGGTAGACAGGTAGAGGGAAACCAGAAAGACAGAGACCCGGAGACAGGGAGAGAGACCGAGTGATAGCAGAGACTACTGAGAGAGAGATACACCAGGACACGGAGCCAGAGAGGCAGAGGCACAGACAGACAGAAACCAGATACAGAGACAGAAACCAGATAGAGCCACGGGGAGGCCCCAAGAACGGAGATAGACCCAAACGGGCGACAGAGACAGAGAGACTAGTATAGAGGAACCAGATAGGTGGCTCACGCCTGTAATCCCAGCACTTGGGGAGGCCGAGGGGAGGATTGCTTAAGCCCAGGAGTTCGAGACAAGTCTGGGCAACATAGCAAATCCCTGTCTCTAGAGAAAAAAAAAATACAAAAATTGTCCAAGCGCAGTGCCGCGTGCCTGTAATCCCAGCTACTCGGGAGGCTGAGGCAGGAGGATCGCTTGAGCCCAGGAGTTGTAGGCTGCGGTGAACTATGACTGCGCCACTGCACCCCAGCCTGGGACAAAGCAGAACCTATCTCTAAAAATGAGAGAGAGAGAGAGAGAGAGAGAGAGAGAGAGAGACCAGATAGACAGACAGGAGAGACTACAGAACAGAGAGAACCAAACGAGTAAGAGATGCAGAGAGATCAAGAAGCCAGACAGAGACCCAGAGACATGGAGACTGAGAGACAAAGACCCCAAAAAGACAGAGACACAGTGAGACTAGAGTCAGAGAGAGGGGAATCGAGACAGAGGGAAACCCAGAAATAAATGGCAGAGATGCTCAGAGAAACAAATAGACAAAAACCTCGAGAGAGGGACATACTCCGAGGAAGAAAGATCTAGTGATTCTAGTGGACAGATCTAGTGGACAGATACCGAATCTGAGAGACTGGGGTCAGGTGGAGAGACAGAGACAGATCCAGGCACTACAAGAAAGTGACGCCAAGAGAATAGGACCTGATAGAGAAAAAGAAACACCTTTCATAAGTCGGCTTTACACCTGCTCACCCTCCATACGGTACTGCAAGCCTCTGTGGTCCGTGTGGTTGGGTGGTCACGGGACTTGCACCCTCCCCCACTCCGACCTTAAATACAGGGGTCTGAGGCCGGGCGCGGTGGCTTATGCCTGTAATCGTAGCACTTTGGGAGGCCGAGGTGGGAGAATCCCTTGAGCCTAGGAGTTTGAGACCAGCCTGGGCAACATAGCATCGCCCCCTCTCTGCCAAAAAAAAAAAAAAAAAAAAAGAGCTTGGCGTGGCGGTGCGCGCCTGTAGTCACAGCTACCTAGGAGGATGAGGCAGAAGAATCGCTTGAGCGAGGGAGGTCGATGCTGCAGTGAGCCGTAATCGCGCCACTGCACTCCAGCCAGTGAGACCCTATCTCAGGACAAAAAAAAAAAAAAGATAAGAAAGAAAAAGAAAAGAGCCTGCGACAGATTATGGGAGTGGTGGTTGTGTTAGGTAAGTGGACTGATGGACTGAGACCCGCAGAGGGTGATGTTGGGTGGGGACCAGACCTACTTAGTGATTGCAGGGGGCGAGGCATCTCCACTTAACCACGCCCCCCTCAACTTCAGCCCGAGGCTACGCCTCCGATAGCTATGGCGGCCACACCTCCCGCATCCACCTCTTCGCGGGAAGGGGTGCGAGGGGCGGCGCGGCGCCTGCAAGGACAGCAGCTGGAGGCATTGACTCGTGTGGCCCTGATGGAGCAGCGAGTGAAGGAGCTACAGCGCCAGAGGAAGGAGCTGAGGATCGAGGTGAGGCTGCGGACCCCTTGGGAAGCCTGGCCCCAACTCAAGCGGAACCCGCAAAGCCGGACTCCCAGCTTTTTCCTCGGGTGGGATCAGATTTTAGGCCCTCCGCTCTTCCTCCCTCCAAATTCAGGTCCCTGGAGTCCATCCTCCCTTCGAATCCGGTAGTTCAGGCCCTGGGCCTCTTCCTTGGACCTAGGCGTCCGAGCCCCCAGCCCTGGCATTCTCTCCGCAGATGGAGGTGGAGGTGGCCTTGCTGCGGGGTGAGCTGGCTGGGGAGCGAGTGGCCGCTCGCCGGGAGGAGGAGCAGCTGCGGGAGCTGCTGGAGCAGCAGGCGGCCTCGGAGCAGCGCGGCCGCCAGCAGCGGGAACAGGTCTGTTTGGCTCACCGGGTCTTCATCAGCAGTGTCCTTCCTGGTCCATGGATGTTGGTGTGCTCCTAGCCACCTGCGCCCCGGGGTTGTCCCCATTCCCCAAAGGAAGACATTTGGGCTCCTGAGAGAGTGAGGGGCAGATGCCCCTCCTGGTTTTCCTTCTCCCTCCCTGGGCGAGATTTTTGGGGCTCTTCCTTTGTCCCCTGTCCGTTTGCTATTTAAATGTGGGTGTGTAAAAACTTCCAAACTGGCCGGAAGCAGTGGCTCACGCCTGTAATCATAGCACTTTGGGAGGCCGAGGCGGGCGGATTGCCTGAGCTCAGGAGTTTGAGACCAGCCTGGGCAACATGGCGAAACCCCGTCTCTGCTTAAAAATACAAAAATTAGCAGGGCGTGGTGGCGGGCGCCTGTAGTCCCAGCTACTTGGGAGGCTGAGGCAGGAGAATCGCTTGAATCCGGGAGATGGAGGTTGCAGTGAGCCAAGATCGCACCATTGCACTCCAGCAGCCTGCGTGACAAGAAGGAGACTCCGTCTCAAAAAAAAAAAAAAAAAAAAAAGAGAAAAAGAAAACTTCCAAACCCACCCCACAATAGTCAGGCAGCTCCCATGTCCTGTGCCCACCAGCTTCATCAATGATTAATATTCTTACATTCTTGTTTCATTATCTCCAATTTGTTCTCGTCCCCAGTTTTAAAAGCCAATCCCAGACATCATATGGTCTGTACATATGTTTAGAGTGTATCATTGACAGATAAGAAATCCTTTTAGGCTGGGCCAAGTGGCTCACACCTGTAATCCCAGTACTTGCGGGGTGGGGGGGGGGTACGGGGGGCGGGGCAAAGTGGGAGGATCGCTTGAGGCCAAGACTATGAGACCAGCCTGGCAATATTATAATAAGACACCGTTTCTGTGAAAAATAAAAATACAAAAATTAACCAGGCATGGTGGCATGTGCCTGTGGCCTCAGACTCAGAAGAGTGAGGTGGGAGGATCAATTGAGCCCAGAAGGTAGAGGCTGCAGTGAGCTGTGATTATAACATTGCACTCCAACCTGGGCGATAGAGCAAGACCCTGTCTCAAAAATAAAAAATTAATAAGTTCTTAGTATTGTCTTATTTCTGGTTAGTTTTTGTGTTTCCCAGACAGTCTCAAAATGCCAGTTAACAGGTGGCTTGTTTGAATGAAGTCCCCAAAGTTCAGTGTGATTGGCTGATACGTCTTGCCCATTGTTTTATCTCTGGTGGTTCCTACCCGCTGTGTCTTCCCCATACTGTTTATTGGAAAAATCCAGTCTTCTGTCCTATAGGCAGAGCATGGCTGATCGCATGCCTGTGGTGCCCTTGAACATGCCTCTGTTTCTGCAAGTGGGTGTTGGTTAGAGGGAGAGGTTTGATCGTATTCAGAAGTGCTTTAGTGCTTCCTGAGCCAGTGTTGGGAACCTCATCTCTGGTTGTCCCGACCTAATAAGATCACCCTAGTCTCTTTTTTTTTGCGAGACACAGTTTCGCTCTTGTTGCCCAGGCTGGAGTGCAATGGCGTGATCTTGGCTCACCGTAACCTCTGCCTCCCAGGTTCAAGCGATTCTCCTGTCTTAGCCTCCCCAGTAGCTGGGATTACAGGCATGCACCACCATGCCCGGGTAATTTTGTATTTTCAGTAGAGATGGGGTTTCTCCATGCTGGTCAGGCTGGTCTCGAACTCCTGACCTCAGGTGATCTGCCCGCCTTGGCCTCCCAAAGTGCTGGGATTACAGGTATGAGCCACCGCAGTTCGAGGCCAGCCTGGCCAACATGATGAAACCCCATCTCTACTAAAAATACAAAAAATTAGCTGGGCGTGGTGGCAGGCACCAGTAATCCCAGCTATTCGGGAGGCTGAGGCAGGAGAATTGCTTGAATCCGGGAGGTGGAGGTTGCAGCTCCCAGGAGCCAAGATCACACCACTGCACTCCAGCCTGGGCAACGGGAGCAGAACTCCATCTCAAAAAAAAGAATCTTTTATCTGAAGATTGTAACATCCATCAGTGGTCATTGCTTGGGTCAGTTACCATTATAGGTTGGAAAATGGTGACTTGTGATTTTGTCAGTTTTTTTCTTTGCAAGTGTCGTGTATGTTGGAATTTTATGAGGCTGGGTCCTAGGCCCTCATTTATCCTCAAAGATCACATATTTCTCCCAGGCCCTCTCTCCTGAGACAGAAATGTGCTCTTCTTCCTAGGGTACTGGCTACTTCATACTCCCTTCTCACCCAGATCCAGAAATCTCGGTCGCAGCCCCTTCTCCCTCTGTCCCAGGAGTCCAGACCCCCAGCTCCTCCTCCCTCAAACCCAGAAGTCCAGACCCCCAGATCCTCCTTCCTTAGATCCAGGAATCCAGGCCCCAGCCCCTCCTCCCTCTGACCCAGGAGTCTGGCTGACCTCAGCAACTCCCTTCTCCACACTGTTTGTCTTGCTGTCCCTTTGGTCACCAGGCCAGAGTCCTGGACTTTGCCCTGTACACTTCCCTGTCTCTCACCTCCAAGCCCGTCAACCACCATGTCCTATCCTTTCTGCTTCCTGATCCTCTCTGTCTAGTCCATCTATTTTTCAGCCCCACCGCCCAGGCCCCAGCTTAGGTCTCACCCTCATTGCTTGGAGGACTCCCGAGGCAGCTGCTCTCCACCCCTGTAACCCATCTCCCAGAGGGATGATTCCTAGCTCCTACCCCATCCTTTCAGTCCTTCTGAGGCTCCCCATATCCCCAGGTTGACCAAACCCCCCGTGAGCTGGACGAGCTGGCCTTCCCACTGTCCTCTCCCACCACGTTCTTCCCACCACCACATCCTCTTCCACCCTGGCTGGAGTTTGTCCCCCAGACTTCTTGTACTTTTCAACTTTCATGCATTTGTGCCAAGCCGCTTCCTCTGCCCAAAATGCTCTTCTAGCTCCTTTTATTTTCCCAGATCCAAATGCTCCCTGATTGTTTTGTTTTGTTTTGATTTTGAGACAGGGTCTCACTGTCGCCCAGGCTGGAGTGCAGTAGTGCAATCACTGCAGCCTCAACCTCTGGCTGACATTGTTCTTCATTCTGGGTTCCCACAGTCTCTGGATTTTACTGCCCTGATCTTTCCAACTGGCTGTGTTCCCACTTGGAGGACAGGGCCCAGACACAATCCACTTCTGCATCCACCGTATCACATAACATGAATATGTTTTGCATTCATTAATTTTCTTTCTTCTTTCCTTCCTTCCATCATTCCTTCCTTCCTTCCTTTTTGTTTCTCTTTCTCCTCCTTTCCTTTTCTTTCTTTTTCTTTCTCTTCCCTCCCTCCCTCTTTTCTTTCTCTCTCTCCTTCCTTCGTTCCTTCCCTCTTTCTCTCTTTCTTTCTTTTCTGTCTTTTCTCCTTTCCTTCCCTTTCGAGACAGTGTCTCCCTCTGTCACCCAGACTGGAACAGTGATGCAAACACAGCTCAGTGCAGCCTCAATCTCCCTGGCTCAAGCAATCCTCCCACCTCAGCCTCCCGAGTAGCTGGAACTACAGGCGTGCACTAACACACTCCACTAATTTTTTTGTTTTTTTGTAGAGATGGGCTCCCCCTATGTTGCCCAGGCTAGTCTCAAACACCTGGGCTCAAGAGATCTTCCCACTTTGGCCTCCCACAGTGCTAGGATTACAGGTGTGGGCCACCACACCTGGCCTCATTCATTTCTTTAAAATCTTGGTGCTGACTGTGAGGCAGGCCTGCACAGGAGTGAATCACATAGATGAAGTCCCTGCCTTTGTACAGCCGACACCCCAGGCAGGCTCTGAGATATGGCTGGCTGCTGCTTCTCCCGCTATGCTTAAGCTGAGGGTGAGAACCTTGTTGTTCTTTCAGGAACAGAGGCGGCTGAGCCAGGAACGGGATCGCCTAGAGGGTCTTCGCCAGAGACTCCGCAAGGCCCAGGGACAGCTCGACTCACAGCCAGAGGACCAACGCGAGCGGCTTCTGCAGGGTGTGCAGGAGGTAATGGCATCTGGTTCTTTCTTTTTTGTTTTTTTTGAGACAGAGTCTCGCCTCGTTGCCCAGGCTGGAGTGCAGTGGTGCGATCTCGGCTCACTGCAACCTCCGCCTCCCAGGTTCAAGCGATTCTCCCATCTCAGCCTCCCGTGTAGCTGGGACTACAGGTGCGCACCACCACACCCAGCTAATTTTTGGCATTTTAGTAGAGACGGGGTTTCACTATTTTGGCTAGGCTGGTTTCGAACTCCTGACAGGTGATCCACCTGCCTCGGCCTCCCAAAGTGCTGGGATTACAGGCGTGAGCCACTGTGCCCAGCTGGCCCTCTGATTCTTAGCCCCCTCCTCCCCAGGACCCAGGAATCCAAGTCCTCAGTCACCTTCTTCCTCTGACCAGGAGTCCCAGCCCCAGCCCACTACTCCCTGGGGTCTTAGGGATTCAGGCCTCCACCCTTTTTGTGTTCCGACCTATAGATGAGGGAACAACTGGATGTGGCCCAACGTGCCTATGAGGACCTGGAGTTCCAGCAACTGGAGCGGGAGAGCCGGCAGGAGGAGGAGGATCGGGACAGCCCTGGGCCCCAGGTGCCAGACCCCAAGGTCCAGGAACTCCAGGCCAGCATGGCGCAGCACAGAGTGAGTCATGCCTGACCAGCGCTGCCCCCCTTGCTGCTCCTCTCTGTCTCCCCTGCTCTGTGCCTGCCTTTTTCTCTGTCCTTGTTTCCTGCCTGTCATGTTCTTCTGAATAGTAACAACAAGAGCTGATACTAATGAAACATTTACTATGTGCCAGATATGGTCCTGAATATTTCATGAGCATTTCCTCACTGAATCCTTACAACAAACTTATGAGGCAAGTTCTATTACGTTTTTTTTTTTTCACGTTATAAATAAAGAAGCTGAAGGTCAAGGTGCTTAAGTAATCTTTTCCAAGTTTCCTTAGTAAGGGACAGAGCCAGGATTTTTTTATTTTTATTTTTTGAGATAGCGTCTCACTCTGTCACCCAGGCTGGAGTGCAGTGACACGTTCACAGCTCACTGCAGCCTCCACGTCCTGTGCTTAAGCGATCCTCCCACCTCAGCCTCTCGAGTAGCTGGGACCACAGGTGCGAGCCCCTACACCTGGATAATTTTTGTATTTTTAGTAGAGACAGGGTTTCACCTGGTCTTAAACTCTTGGATTCAAGCGATCCTCCCACCTTGGCCTTTCAAGATGCTGGGATTACAGACATGAGCCACCGTGCCTCGCCACAGCCAGGATTTGAACAAACTTGGTATTCACCACCACATTCTTTGCCTCTATTCCAAAAAGATGCTTCATCAGATCCTTCCTGGGAGCCTCACATTCAAGGGTCTGACTTGTGAGACCCTTGGGAAAAAATGGGCATGTTTGACCATATTTAACACAGAGTTTCCCAAAGTTTTGGATTAGAAAGCTCGGCCGGGCTCGGTGGCTCACTCCTGTAATCCCAGCACTTTGGGAGGCCGAGGCAGGCAGATGACCTGAGTTTGGGAGTTTGAGACCAGCCTGACCAACATGGAGAAAGCCCATCTCTACTAAAAATACAAAATTAGCTGAGGGTGGTGACGCATGCCTGTAATCCCAGCTACTCGGGAGGCTGAGGCAGAGAATTGCTTGAATCCGGGAGGCGGAGGTGGCGGTGAGCCGAGATTGAGCCATTGCACTCCAGCCTGGGCAACAACAGCAAAACTCCATCTCAAAAAAAAAAAAAAAAAGAGCTTTTCTTGGGTCTCCTTTCCCCACCTGCTTCTGGATCTTTTTCCTCTCCCGCTGGCTTTTCCTTCGTCTCGGGTTGTCTCTACTTGTCTCTGTTCTATTTCTATCTTTTCTTTTGCCTGAATCTTTGTCTACATCTCTGTCTTTTGGGGCCTGTCTTGGTTACTGTTCTCTCTGTCCATCCCTTTCTCTTCATCTTCCCCAGATCTCTTCTGGACCCTCAAAAGGGAAGAGGGTCCAGGGAGCTGAACGCTGGGTCCCCAGCCCTGGACACTCCGATCCCATGGTCTCTGGGAGTGGCTGGAGTAAACCCCAGCCCTCCAGGCAGATGTGGTTCTGTGGGAGGGTGGCCTGGAGAGCTGGCTGGGGCCGTGACAGATGAGTAACCGGGACAGAGGGGTGCTCTGCAGCACCGGATCCGGGTCCTGGAAGAGCAGCTCAAGTCACTGGGGGAGCAGATGGCAGCCGAGAGCCGGGGGTTGAGCCGGAAGAAGGAGGAGGCCCTTCAGGCCCTGTCACAGGTGAGCTACCTGTCACCTGCCCTACCCTACCGTCCTCACTTCCCCCTGGGGCATCCCACCACCTCCCTGCACCCCAGATGTCTCCTGACATTAGGGAAAGCAGCTGGGACAGCCCATTCTGACTTTGACACGTAGCTGTCCATATCTTCTGGTAGGAACGGAGCCGGCTGCTCGAGCTCAATTGCCTTCAGGGAACACCTGGCGGGGACTTCTCTGAGCCCAACCCGGCCCTCACTAAGGTATGGGGATTTTGTATGCCTCTCAGTCCCTCCTCCCTCAGACTTGAAAGTCCAGTCCCCAGCCCCTCCTCCCTCAGACGCAGGAGTCCAGGCCCTAGCCCCTCCTCCCTCAGACCCAGGAGTCCAGGCCCCAGCCCCTCCTCCCTCAGACTCAGGAGTCCAGGCCCCAGCCCCTCCTCTCTCAGACCCAGGAGTCCAGGCCCCAGCCCCACCTCCCTCAGACCCAGGAGTCCAGCCCCCAGCCCCTCCTCAGGGAGCCAGGAGTCTCTGCCCACAGCCCTACATTGGGAGACTGGACACGAAGGACCACATTCCATCTCTCCTTAGTTTTTCTTTCTGAGAAATGGGTGGCACTAGAGGCATGGGCCAGAGCACGTGGAAACTGGCAGTTGCTCTGGGGTCTCTCCTGCTCCCACGAAACTTCACCCCATCTCTTGCAGCTGCTGTTCACCCAGAAGACAGACCGCCAGCTGCTGGTGCTCCAGGATGCCGTGGCCCACTCCGCTGCCACCCCTACTTCTTCCTGCCTCTTTTCTGTCCACAGCTCCCTGCAGGTGCCTCCCCCACGGCCTCTGTTTCCCCATATATCTTATTGGTCAGTGAGGAGGGAGGGGCTAACAGCAGAGTCCCCGAACTGGGGTCTCCAGAACTTCCACTCTGATTTTCTGTATGGGGCCGGTGGGGGATAGGGAAGGTTGGCCAAGGGTTATTCCTATGACTCCAGCTTTATTATTGTTATTTTTTTTCTGTGTAACACCCACCCCTGCCCTGGCGAAATGGGAACATGTGCACCCAGGAGTAGATTTTAAAAGCAACCAAACAGCATATTTTAATAAGGTCTCCCCTTCTCAGAAGTAACGCAGCTACTTGTGTTTTGAGAATCCTTCTAGACTTCCTTAAAACTGCGGGGGTGGTGGGGGGGCAGCTCATTTATAGTTAAAACAGGCGCCCAGCATGGTGGCTCATGCCTGTAATCCCAGCACTTTGGGAGGCCAAGGCAAGCGGATGACCTGAGGTCAGGAGTTCGAGACCAGCCTGGCCAATATGGTGAAACCCCATCTCTACTAAAAATACAAAAATTAGCCAGGCATGGTGATGCAGGGCTGAGGCACGAGAATTACTTGAACCTGAGAAGGCAGAGGTTGCAGTGAGCCGAGATTATGCCACTGTACTCCAGCCTAGGCGACAGAGTGAGACTTTGTCTCAAAAAACAAACAAAAAAAATCCCTAATCCAAAATGCTCAAAAATCTGAAACTCTTTGAGTGCCTACATGATACTCCAAGGAAATGCACATTGGAGCAGTTTGGGTTTCAGAGTTTTAGGTTAGGGATGCTCAACCCAAATATTCCAAAATCTGAAAAAAAATCCCAAATCTGAAACCCTTCTGGTCCCAAGTATTTTGGAGAAGGGATATTCAACCTGTCCTTCTGAAAAATGTGTATATTAGCTACTAGTTGGCTTTTCTTTTTAAAAATGATATATTTGGGACATATTTATGGGGTACATATGCTATTACATGCATAGAATGTGTAATAAGTCAGGGTATTGGGGTATCTATCACCTCAAGTATTTATCATTTCTGTGTGTTGAGAACATTTCAAGTCCTCTTCTAGCTTTTTTTTTTTGACAGAGTCTCACTCTGTTGCCCAGGCTAGAGTGCAATGGTGGGATCACAGCTCACTGCAGCCTCAACCTCCCAGGCTCAGGTGATCCTCCTTGAGTAGCTGGGACCACAGGCATGCACCACACACCACCATACACAGCTGATTTTTGAAGTTATTTTTGTAGAGTTGGGGTCTTCCTTTTGCCCAAGCTGGTCTTGAACCCTTAGGCTCAAATGGTCCTCTTGTTTTAGCCTCCCAAATTGCTGGGATTACAGGCATGAGCCACCGCGCATGGGTCCAATTTGTAGAGATAGGGTCTCACTGGCTTTTATTTTATTTATTTATTTATTTATTTATTTATTTATTTATTCTGAGACAGAGTTTCACTCTTATTGCCAGGCTGGAGTGCAATGGTGCGATCTCAACTCACTGCAACCTCCGCCTCCTGGGTTCAAGCGATTCTCCAGCCTCAGCCTCCTGAGTAGCTGGGATTACAGGCATGCGCCACCAAGCCTGGCTAATTTTTGTATTTTTAGTAGAGATGGGGTTTTGCCATGTTGGCCAGGCTGGTCTCGAACTCCTGACCTCAGGTGATCTGCCCACCTTGGCCTCCCAAAGTGCTGGGATTACAGGTGTGAGCCACTGTGCCTGGCCCACTGGTTTTTATTTTTTAACTTAACTCTATCTTGGAGATTGTTTTACATTGATACATTTACAGTTGCCTCATTTTTAATGACTTTACAATAATAATAATAATAACATTAACAATAGCAATAATAATAACAATGGTTTTATTGAGTCATTATAGTGTGCAAGGCATGGTTACAAATGCTTCATGCTGATTGGCTTACTGATTTGTCTTTGCAACAAATCTGTGAGCTAGGTTCTTGTTTCCATGTTATAGGCAAAAACACCAAGAGAGGTTAAGTTGTTTAACCAGCTAGTATGTGGCAGAGCTGGGATTTGAACCCAGGTACTCTGTTTTCAGAACTTAGGTTCTTTTTTCCTTTTTTTTTTTTTTTTTTTGAGATAGGGTCTGGCTCTGTCACCCAGGCCAGAGTGCAGTGACACGATCTGCCTCCCAGGCTCAAGCCATCCTGCAGTTTAAGCAATACTGTTAAGAATACCAGTGTGTGGGCTGGGCTTGGTGGCTCATGCCTGTAACCCCAGCATTTTGGGAGGCTGAGGCAGATGGATCACCTGAGGTCAGGAGTTCCAGACCTGGGCGACAGAGTGAGACTTTGTCTTAAAAATAAATAAATAATAACAGTGTGCGTCAGCTCATGCCTGTAATCCAGCACTTTGAGAGGCCGAGGTGGGTGGATCCCTTGAGGACAGGAGTTCAAGACCAGCCTGGCCAACTTGGTGAAACCCCATCTCTACTAAAAATACAAAAAATTGGCTGGGCGCGGTGGCTCACACCTGTAATCCCAGCACTTTGGGAGGCGGAGACAGGCGGAGCACGAGGTCAGGAGTTCGAGACCAGCCTGGCCAACATGGTGAAACCCCGTCTCTACTAAAAATACAAAAATTAGCCGGGTGTGGTGCATGCCTGTAGTCACAGCTACTTGGGAGGCTGAGACAGAAGAATCGCTTGAACCCGGAAGGCGGAGGTTGCAGTGAGCCGAGATCATGCCACTGCTCTCCAGCCTGGGTGACAGAGCGAGACTCTGTCTCAAAAAAAAAAAAAACAAAAAAAAAAAAACGGCCAGGTGCAGTGGCTCACGCTGGTAATCCTAGCACTTTGGGAGGCAGAGGCAGGCAGGTCATAAGGTCAGGAGATCGAGACCAGCCTGGCTAACATGGTGAAACCCTGTCTCTACTAAAAATACAACAAATTAGCCTAGTCCCAGCTACTCAGGAGGCTTTGGCAGGAGAATTGCTTGAACCTGGGAGGCGGAGGTTGCAGTGAGCTGAGATCATGCCACTGCACTCCAGCCTGGGCAACAGAGCGAGACCTTGTCTCAAAAAAAAAAAAAAAATTAGCTGGGTGTGCTGGTGCGTGCCTATAATCCCAGTTACTCGGGAGGCTGAGGCAGGAGAATAGTTTGAACCCAGGAGATGGAGGTTTCGGTGAGCTAAGGTCGCACCACTGCATGACAGCCTGGGCAACAGAGCGAGACTCCATCTTAAAAAAAAAAAATCTTGTTATTTATTAATCAATATTAATAACACTAATTTTAAAGCACTTAATATAGGTCAGGGTCTGTTCTAAACCATTTTATCACTTTGAATCTTATGGAATTGCTAATATTTGGAGGCAAGAAACAGTCGTATACTGGCAATTCCCCTGGCTCAACCTAATATATAAAATTTCATTTTTTCTTGGGAAGAACCCTCACAAGCAGGTTCCGTTATTATTTGGGTGAAGGGTTAGCAGATGTTCTTCTGTATGGGAAATTAACTTTCTGGCTGCTTCCCCTGGAAACCTGATGAAGGTAGGTGTCAGCTGTGTTGCCAGGCAACGTGACTTAGGATAGCAATTACCCTTATTAGTAAATTGCATATATGAAAATATTTGGTGGGACGCCATGTCCAGTCCTATGGAGTTGTCACCTGACTTGTTGGCCCCTGTGCACAGAAGGCCTCTAAGCCCAGGTGCACCCTGTACCCACCAATGTGGATCATTGCTTAGCTCCTGGATCTCACCTGGGGGCCATGCATGCTTCTACATGCATTGCAGGAGGTCACTCATTTAATCCTTGCAACAACCCAGGAAGGGCAGTGAGATGTTACCCACTTTACAGAGAGGACACCTCGCTTGAGAAGAGAAATGACTTGCCTACGTCATGCACCCAGGAAGTGGCAGAGCTGGGATTTGAACCCGAACCGGCCTGTTTCTATGGCCTGCTGATGGCTTATGCAGTTCCTACAACATAAGTGCCCTGCAGACAAAGCTGGGGTCTGACCTGCCCACTTGGTTCCTCAGTGCCAAGTATCTAATATCTCCCAGCTAGGAAGTGCTGGGAATGTGGCTGGAAGGAAGGAAAAAGTCAAGTAAAGCACGGGGATTTGAGCCTCAGTTTCTTCTCTGTGAAGTGGAGCTAACATTTCTCAACTCCCAGAGTTTTTATTTTTTTTAGTTTTCAATTTTTGAGACAGTCTCGCTCTGTCGCCCAGGCTGGAGTGGAGTGTAATGGTGCGATCTTGGCTCACTGCAGCCTCTACCTCCCAGACTCAAGCGATTCTCCTGCCTCAGCCCCCCAAGTAGCTGGGATTACAGACATGCGCCAGGCTAATTTTTGTATTCTTTGTAGACATGGGGTCTCACTATATTGCCCCAGTCTGGTCTCAAATTCCTGAGCTAAAGTGATCTGCCTTCCCTGGACCTCCCAAAGTGCTAGGATTACAGGTGTGAGCCTTCATGCCTGGCCCATTATTTTCTTACCCATGATTCCCCTTAACCCCTAAATATTCCTAAATTTACTACCTAATGTCAAGCCCATTCTCTTACACAACCACAGTTCAATGATCGATTTCAGGAAACTACCACTGAGACAACACTATTAGAATCCACAGACCTTATTTGTATTTTGTCAGTTGTTCCACCAATGTTTTTCCCTCCCTCCCTCCCTTCCTCCTTCCCTTCCTTCCTTCCTTCCTTCCTTTTTCTCTCTCTTGCTCTTTCTTTTTTTTTTTCCTTTTTGGCAGAGTCTTGCTCTGCCGCTCAGGCTGGAGTGCAGTGGTGTGATCTCGGCTCACTGCAACCACTGCCTCCCTGGTTCAAGTGATTCTCCTGCCTCAGACTCCCGAGTAGCTGGAATTACAGGTGCCCACCACCACGCCCAGCTTATTTTTGTATTTTTAGTAGAGACGGGGTTTCACCATGTTGGCCAGGCTGGTCTCGAACTCCTGACCTCAGGTGATCTGCCTGCCTCGGCCTTCCAGAGTGCTGGGATTACAGGCATGAGCCACTGTTCCTGGCCCCACCAGTGTTTTTTCTAGCAAAAAATTCACAAAAAAAAACAAACTTTTTTTTTCTTGGCTCAGGAACACAGGTTGCATTTAGTTGTCATGTTTATTTGCTTTTAAAAAGTTAACATTCTCCTCGTTCAAAATTCACATGGTGTGGGAGGATATTCAGAGAAGACTCTGCGGCTCTTGTTCCCCCTCCTACGCTGTTCACTTCCTGAGGGCCACCAGGGTTACCAATTTCCCATGTGTTCCCCAGAGATATTCTGTGTTGACACAGCTAGTCATGTATGTACTTTCTCCCTCTTTTATGCATACCTAGTTTATTCTATGCTGTTCTGTACTCGCTTAAAAAAAAAAAAAAAAAAACTTTAAGAGATAGATCTCACTGTCGCCCAGGCTGGAGTGCAGTGGCATGATCATGGCTCACTGCAGGGTCAACCTCCTGGGCTCAAGTGATCCTCCCACCTCAGCCTCCTGAGTAGCTGGGACTACAGGTGCACGCTACCACACCTGGCCTTGGTTTTCTCTTGGATATTATGTTCTGTTTTTTTTCTTTTCTTTTTTGGATATTATGTTCTACCTGGATGTAGGATGCATCTTCCTCTTGTTCTACACTGCAGAATTGTCCTTAGAGTCACTTGGGTGCGGTGGCTCACGCCTGTAATCCCAGCACTTTGGGAGGCCGAGGCAGGTGGATCACTTGAAGTCAGGAGTTCGAGACCAGCCTGGCCAATATGGTGAAACCCCATCTCTACTAAAAATACAAAAATTAGCCTGGCGTGGTGGCACATGCCTGTAATCCCAGCTACTCGTGAGGCTGAGGCAGAAGAATCGCTTGAACCCAGGAGGCGGAGGTTGCAATGAGCCGAGATTGTGCTACTGCACTCCAGCCTGGGCAACAGAGTGAGACTCCAACTCAAAAAAAAAAAAAATGGTCTATGGAGTGCATAAGCCATGGTTCATTTACCTTGTCCCCTTCTGATGGGCATTTAGGTGGTCTCCAGGCTTTTGCTAGCACAGATGGCACTGCAGGGAATCACCTTGAACTCAGATCACTTTGCATGTGTATGAGTGTATCCATCCGCTGAATTTCTAGAATTGGAATTGGGGCTCCATGGTTTATGCATTTGTCATTCAGATTTTTTTTAAAAAAGCCAAGTTGCCCTCCATAAAGCTTGTTCCAGTAGAACACCCCCAGTATCATGTGAGGGCATCTGGGTTTCCTACATAGCCACCAGCACGGTGGGTTTTTTGTTTTTTTGTTTTACTTATTTTTTTTGAGACAGGCTGTCACTCTGTCGCCCAGACTGGAGCGCAGTGGCACAATCTCAGCTCCCTGCAACCTTGACCTCCGGGGTTCAAGCGATCCTTCCACGTCAGCCTCCACAGTAGCTGGGACTGCAGGCACGTGCCACTATGCCCAGCTAATTTTTCTATTTTTTTGTAGAGACAGAGTTTCACCATGTTGCCCAGGCTCATCTCCAACTCCTGGGCTCAAGCAATTTGCCTGCCTCAGCCTCAAAGTGCTGGCATTATAGGTGTGAGCCACTGCGCCTGGCTGCAGTGGGACTTTTTTTTTTTTGCGACAGAGTCTCGCTCTGTCGTCCAGCCTGGATTTCAGTGGCGAGATCTCGGCTCACTGGAACCTTTGCCTCCCAGGTTCAAGCAATTCTCCTGCCTCAGCCTCCTGAAAAGCTGGGATTACAGGCATGTGCCACCACACCTGGCTAATTTTTGTATTTTTAGTAGAGACGGGGTTTCACCATGTTGGCCTGGCTGGTCTCAAACGCCTGACCTCAAGTTATTCACCCGCCTCGGCCTCCCAAAGTGCTGGGATTACAGGTGTGAGCCACCACACCTGGCCCACAGTGGGATTTTTAGAAAGAGTTTTATTGAGGCATAATTCACGTCCCTATACAATTCATTCATTTAAAATGTACAGTTCTGTGTCTTTTAGTATATTCAACGTTGCGCAAACATTACCACAATCAATTTTAGAACATTTTCATTATCCCCCAAAAGAAACCCTGCATCCCTTAGCCTCTCGGTTCCCCGATCTACCCCAGTCCGGGCAACCACAATTCTACTTCCCATTTCTATGTTAATTTGCCTGTTCCGGACATTTCTTTTTTTCTTTTCTGTGTTTTTTTTTTTTTTTTTTGAGACAGAGTCTTGCTCTGTCGCCCAGGCTGGAGTACAGTGGCGCGATCTCAGCTCATTGCAATCTCCACCTCCCGGGTTCAAGCGATTCTTCTGCCTCAGCCTCCCGAGTAGCTGGGACTACAGGCGCGTGCCACCATGCCCGGCTAATTTCTGTATTTTTAGTAGAGATGGGGTTTCACCATATTGGCCAGGCTGGTGTCGAGCTCCCGGCCTCAGGTGATCCACCTGCCTTGGACTCCCAAAGTGCTGGGATTACAGGCATAAGCCACTGTGCTCAGCTTGATATTTCTTATAAACGGGATCATACCCCTGTGAGGTCCTTTCACTCAGCACATGGACAGTAGTGTTTTGATTTGTGCTGACTGGGTGGTGGCTTCACTGGGCAGTGCTCTGACTTAGGTTGGAGATCAAGCCTTTTTCCTATGCTCATGAGCCTTTTGTGTTTTCAGGGCTCCATTGGCCTCCAGAGGACTGGGAGCCTGCCCCGGAAAAGGGGGGAGAGGGGGAGCCAGAGAGGATCCCCCCGACCTCTGTCCTTCCATTGTACTGGTGAGGATCCCCCTGTTCCCCACTTCCTTCCCACATCAGCACTCATCCTGCAGCAGAGGATGGAGGAAACCCGCACCTATGCCTGCAGGGGAGAAGTGGATAGGCTCAGGCCAGGGTGTATCCAGCCCTGTAACCTGGTCCCCTCTACCCTAGAATCCCTGGAGGCCTCAGCTCTCCCGCCAGCAGTGGGGGACTCCGGCAGATACCCCCTCTACCAGCTGCTGAACTGTGGCCGTGGGAATAGGTGAGACATCAGAGAGAAGGTGGGGAGATGGAAGAAGAGGCCCAGCCACTGTAACCCACCCCGTCTGTGTTCCCTCCTCCTAGCTGTGGGGCCATCCATCCAGACATTGCCCACATGGAGCGGCTCCTGCAGCAGGCCATGGCGGAGAGGGAGCGGCTGCTCAAGGCCCGGGTGAGAGCCCAGGCCATCCTCTTCGGAACAGAAGACTGCCCCAGCCTCTCCTCCCTCAGACCTGGGAGACCCCCAACTCCACCTCCCTCAGACCCAGGGGTCCAGGCCCCCAGCCCCTCCACCCTCAGACCCAGGAGTCCAGGCCCCCAGCCCATCCTCCCTCATACCCAGGAGTCCAGGCCCCCAGTCCCTGTACCCTCAGAACAGAGAAGCTAGGACATTCTCCAGCCACCCTACCATCTTATGGGCTGGGATCCTCATTGAGTGCTTCATCCTGAATCCACAGGAAGGAACAAGAAGGGGCACGGAAGGTTCCTCAGGCCCTGCTGTTCCTGCCATCACGGTCAGTCCCACCCCCGCCCTCACGCCCACCTCTCCCTGCTCTGTTTCTCCCCCTGACCTATGCCCTTTCTTACATCTGACCCTTTCCTCTCCTCCAATTGAACAGAAAATTGTCCTGGGCTTGGCAAGGGAAAGGGAACTGCAGAGGACCAGTTCCTGTTCCCATGACCGGATGATGGTCATCTCCATGTGTGGCAGGTCCTCGGGTAACTTGCTCTACTCTGCCTCATTTTCCTCTTCTGTACATTGGTGACAATGTCAGCAGTCAGTACAGAAGGAGGACAAGTCCATGCTGGGACTTATTCCTGGCCTCAAGCAATCCTCCTGCCTCAGCCTCCCAGAGTACTGGGATTATAGCGTGAACCACCATGCCCAGTCCATGCTGGAACTTTTAAAAATCATTTAAAATTTTGTTTTTGGCTGGGTGCAGTGGCTCATGCCTGTAATCCCAGCACTTTGGGAGGCCAAGGCGGGTGGATCACCTGAGTTTGCGACCAGCCTGGCCAGCATGGTGAAACCCCATCTCTACTAAAAATACAAAAATTAGCCGGGCATGGTGGCACATGCCTGTAATCCCAGCTACTCGGGAGACTGAGGCATGAGAATCACTTGAACCCGCAGGTGGAGGTTGCAGTGAGCCGAGATTGTACCACTACACTCCAGCCTTGGCAATAAGAGCGAAAATCTGTCTCAAAAAAAAAAAAAAATCAAAACCAAAAAACTGTTTTTATTTTTATTTATTTAAAAAACTTTTTAGGCCGGGCGCAGTGGCTCACGCCTGTAATCCCAGCACTTTGGGAGGCTGAGGTGGGTGGATCATGAGGTCAGGAGTTCAAGACCAGCCTGGCCAAGATGGTGAAACCCCGTCTCTACTAAAAATACAAAAAATTAGCCGGGCATGGTGGCGGGCACCTGTAATCCCAGCTACTCAGGAGGCTGAGGCAGAGAATTGCTTGAACCTGGGAGGTGCAGGTTGCAGTGAGCCAAGATCACACCACTGCACTCCAGTCTTGGTGACAGACCAAGATTCTGTCTCAAAAAAAAAAACAAAAAACCTTTTTACGATAGAAATATTCAAGCATATGCATGAGAGAAGGAGTAGATTAATAGACCCCCAGGTGCCCACTGCGCAGCTTTAATCATTTTCAATATTGAATCTTGTACTTGCCAACTTTTTATTTATTTTATTTAACATTTTAATTTGTGTATGTACTAGGTATATATATTTTATTTTTATTTTTAATATTTTTCTTTTTTTCTCATAAGTCTTCTGCACTCCTATATTTTTAATGTATTTTATTTTTGTAGAGATAGAGTCTTGCTATGTTGTCCAGGCTGATCTCAAACTCCTGGCCTCAAACAATCCTCCCATGTCAGCCTCCAAGCTGCTAGAATTATAAGAATAATTCTAGGGCATTGGTGCCCAGCCACCAATTTTATTTTACTAATCCCATACCTACATCCCACTCTGCACTGAAATATTTTAAAGCAAAATATTGTATCCTTTCACTCAAACATCACTGTGTATCTCCAATAGATAGGCTTGTTTTTTGGGGGACAGAGTTTTACTCTTGTCGCCCAGGCTAGAGTGCAGTGATGTGATCTCAGCTCACTGGAACCTCTGCCTCCCTGGTTCAAGCGATTCTTCTACCTCAGCCTCCCGAGTAGCTGGGAGTACAGGTGCCCACCACCACACCCATTTATTTTTTTTGTTTGTTTTTAGTAGCGATGGGGTTTTGCCATGCTGTCCGGGCTGGTCTTGAACTCCTGACCTCAGGTGATCTGTGTGCCTTGGCCTCAAAAAGTGCTGGGATTAAAAGTGTAAGCCACTGTGCCTGGCCAATAAGTTTTTTTTTTTTTTTAACATAACAAAAATTCCATTGTCACATCTTATGAGATTATTAATTTCATTATATTGTAATATATAGTCCATATTCACATTTCTCTCATTGTCTCCAAAATATGTTTTTAAAAATTTATTTATTATTTTTCTTTTCCTTTTTTTTTTTTTTTTCCAAGATGGAGTCTCACTTTGTTGCCCAAGCTGGAGTGCAGTATTACAATCTCGGCTCACTGCAATCTCCGCCTCCAGGGTTCAAGCGATTCTCCCGCCTCAGCCTCTGGAGTAGCTAGGATTACAGGCGCCCACCACCATGCCTGGCTAATTTTGTATTTATAGTAGAGACGGGGTTTCACCATGTTGGCCAGGCTGGTTTTGAACTCCTGACCTCAGGTGATCCACCCGCTTTGGCCTCCCAAAGTGCTGGCATTACAGGCATGAGCTACCGTGCCTGGCCTTGTTTTCCATTTTTAACAGTAGAGACACTATGTTGGCCAGGCTGGTATTGAATTCCTGGCCTCGAGCCTCCCTTCTGGCCAAAGTGCTGAGATTATAGGCCTGAACCATCATGCCTGACCTAAAATATCTTTTCACAGTTGATTTATTTGAATCTATATGCAAAGCACACGCTATGCATTTGGTTTAATGTCTCTTAAATCTTTTAATCTCTAACAGTTCTGCCTCCCCATTAAAGAAAATGCTATTTATTTGTGGAAATAATCAAATAATTTATCCTGTTGACTTTTTCACATTCTTGATTTAGCTGACAACTCCCTTACATAAATTACATTTTTGCCTATACTAATAACATTCATAGAATCAATGCGTTTTGTTATAAAGAATGATAAAGCTAGGCACCATAGCTCACGCCTATAATCTCAGCACTTTGAGAGGCCGAGGTGGGAGGATCACTTGAGTCCCGGAGCTGGAGAACAGCCTGGGCAACATAGTCAGACCCTCATCTCTACAGAAATTTAAAAAATTAGCAGGTGTGGTGGTGCATGCCTTTGGTCCCAGCTACTCGGGAAAAGGCTAAGGTGGGAGGATTGCTTGAGCCCAGTGGGTGGAGGCTGCAGTGAGCTATAATCGCCCCACTGCACTCCAGCTTCAGTGACAGAGTGAGACCCTGCCTCAAAAAAAAAAAAGAATGATAGATAAAGTATTAAGAAAGTGGTCACTTTCTTCCTGATCTCACTTCTACTGCTGAGAAGCCTTCAAATCTGTGTTTATACTTTTCCACATGCACCAGTCAAGCCATATTTTGTGAATTTGTCTCATAAATAAGCACATCCTTCCCAACCTTTTTGTTTTTACCACCATTTGTCCTTCCCTTATTCATTTCAGCCCATATTTATTGAGTGCCTACTGTGTGCTAGACCCTGGGTCATAGCAGTGACCAAGATAACAATCCCCACCTTTGGGGGAAGCTGATGTTTTAAGGGGGAAGATGGACACAAAGCAACATCAATATGTAAAATAAATAGCATGTCAGAGGCTGATAAGAGCCAGGGAGCAAAATAAGGCAGGAACGGCAGTGGGGTCTTCTGCATTGTTAGGCATAAGCTTGTGCTCATTAAAAACGAAGCACAGGCCAGGCGTGGTGGCTCACGCCTGTAATCCCAGCATTTTGGGAGGCTGAGGTGGGCAGATCACCTGAGGTCAGGAGTTCGAGACCAGCCTGACCAACATGGAGAAACCCCGTCTCTACTGAAAATACAAAAATCATCTGGGCGTGGTGGCATGTGCCTATAGTCACAGCTACCCGAGAGGCTGAGGCAGGAGAATCGCTTGAACTGGGAAGCAGAGGTTGCAATGAGCCAAGATCACACCACTGCTCTCCAGCCTGGGTGACAGAGCGAGACTCTGTCTCAAAACAAACAAACAAACAAACAAACAGAATTGCTCCTGCTCTGGTGTTCTGCCTGGCTTCTAGCATCATCATTTATTAAACAGTCCCCTGCTGTGTGCTTTGTCCCCTGCCGTACACCCCTGCTATCTTTTGTGCACGTGAGCAAGTGTGTCCCTGGGCTTCACACCTAGAAGAGGAACCTCTAGGTGAGAGACCCTGAGGGCAGCCAGCTCATCCTTGAAACAGCCCCAGAGGAGAGTGCTGTGATAACCCTGGTGTTTTAGCATAGGGAACTGAGGCTCCCAGAGGGGCAGGAGTTCTGTGGAGGTGACACAGCCGGGCAGTGGTGGAGTCCCAAGCCCATCCCTGGTCTCCTCCTAGATTGGGGCCCAGCTCCCCTACATCCTAGTTTGGTGACCTTGGAGAGTCACCTCTTCTTAAAGCCTCAGTTTCTTGATCTGTCTAGCAGGAACATTAATGGGTTCTTTTGGAGAAGAAACGAGGTAATCACAGTGACCACTTGGCATAGTGCCTGACACAGAGCGGGAGCTTCCACACACAGTGGTGATCCTTGGTCTTTCTGTGTGGATTTGGGGAGATTGCAGGCCCAGCGGGTACTCTTTAAACCTGGCCTTTCCCTCCCTTCCTTTCCCTCCTCCCTAATCCTTCTCATTTCCCCACCTCACTCTCCTGTCTCCAACCAGCAGATCTCATCTCTGTTTCTCATCCCTTCTTGCTCTGGCCTTGCTTCAGTTTTCTTTCTTTTCTTTCTTTTTTTTTTTTTGAGACATGGTCTCCCTTTGTCACCCAGCCTGGAGTGCCGTGGTGTGATCTCGGCTCACTGCAACCCCCACCTCCTGGGCTCAAGCGATCCTCCCACCTCAGCCTCCTAATTAGCCGGGATCCTAGGCACACACCACCATGCCTGGCTAATGTTTGTATTTTTGTATTTTTTTTTTGAGATGGAGTTTCGCTCTTGTTGCCAAGGCTGGAGTGCAATGGTGCCATCTTGATTCACCGCAACCTCCACCTCCCGAGTTCAAGCGATTCTCCTGCCTCAGCCTCCTGAGTAGCTGGGATTACAGGCATGCGCCACCACGCCTGGCTAATTTTGTATTTTCAGCAGAGACAGGGTTTCTCCATGTTGGTCAGGCTGGTCTCAAACTCCCAACCTCAGGTGATCCCCCCACCTTGGCTTCCCAAAGTGCTGGGATTGTAGGCGTGAGCCACCACGCCCAGCCTAATTTTTGTATTTTTTGTAGAGACGGGGTTTCGCCATGTTGCCCCAGGCTGGTCTCAAACTCCTGGGTTTAAGTGATCCTCCCCTCTTGGCCTCCCAAAGTGCTGGGATTACACGTGTGAGCCACCGCACCCATCCTGCTTCAGTTTTCTAACTCCTTGACACTCAAAGTGTGGCTGGTGGAACAGCAGCATCAGGGCCCACCTGGGAGCTTGTCAGACATGCAGAACCTCTCCCCCTACTCCAGACTCCACCCTGAAATGACTGAATCAGAGTCTGCATTTTAACATTTTAACAAAATCCCCAGCGGATCTGCTTGCATGAAGAAATCTGAGATGTACTACCCTGAACCTCAGTTTGACCTCCGGAATCATACCACTGTTTGCAGGGATTATTTGGGAAGAATAGGTTGGATCAGACCAGCTCATGGTCAGGCTCTCATAAATAGTGGACACTTGTATTGCCTTAAATCCTCCTCCCCAACCTGTATGACCATCTGAGGTGACCACTCTACCTGGTGAGTCCTGGCTCTGTCAGCTCTGGCTGTGTGACTTGTGCCGAGTGACTTAACCTCTCTGAGTCTTGGTTTCCACATCTGTGAAACGGAGATAAATGTACTTACCCCTTCAGGAGAGTTTGAGGGGGCAGAGATTATACCTAGAAAGTACTTAGCAGAGGATTATATTCATTAATTTCATCACAACAATAATAATGTAAACAAGCTCTCTCTTTCTTTTTTATTTTTGAGACAGGGTCTCACTCAATCACCCAGGCTGGAGTGCAGTGGTGCAATCATAGCTCAATGCAATTTCGATCTCCTGGGCTCAAGTGATCCTCCTGGGCTCAGCCTCCTTAGTAGCTGGAACTACAGGTGTGCAGCACTAGGCCCAGCTAATTTTTTGGATTTTTAGTAGAGATGGGGTCTCACTATATTGCCCAGGCTGGTCTCCAACTCATAGCCTCAAGTGATCCTCCCACTTCAGCTTCCCAAAGTGCTGAGATTACAGGCATGAGCCACTGCACATAGCTTCTCTTCTCTCTCTCCTTTTTTTTTTTTTTTTTTTTTTTTTTTTAAATAGAGAAGGGGTCTTCTGTGTTGCCCAGGCTGGTTTCCAACTTCTGGGATCAAGGGATCCTCCCACCGCAGCCTCCTGAGTAGCTGGAATTACAGGCTTAAGCCACCACACAGGCTCCAATCTTCATTTCTTTTTTCCAAAAAAAATTTTTTTTTTTCAGAGACAGGATCTCACTATGTTGCCCAGGCTGCCCTTGAATTCTTAGGCCTAAGGGATCCTCCTACCTCAGCCTCCCAAAGTTCTGAGATTACAGGCATAAGCCACCACACCCGGCCCGATCTTTATTTCTTTTGATAGGCCTCTGATGTTTCAGGGTGAGCTCTAGGGTCAGAAATACCTGGGTTCGTGTCCCAGTTCTGCTGCCTAGAAGCTCTGTGTGACCTCGGGTGCATTATGTCATCTCTCTGTACCTCATTTTGCTCATTTGTAAAATGGGGCTCACAGTTGCCATGAAGTGCCAAGGAGCTGATGTCCATAAAGTCCTGGGCAGAGCATCACAGTCAATCCACGTAGCCGTTGCATTTGTCAGATGGTCCTAGTTAATATTACCCTCTAAAGGCTGTAGCGGGCCTTACATGCAAGCTGCTATGACTTGCTCCCCTCGAGGGGCTCCAGGCTGTAGAATCCCCCGCCCCTTACATCAGCTGCCCCGTCTCTTTGCTCCCCAGGCCCCACCCACCCCACCCCACCCTCCAGGCCCGCGAATCTTGGATCTCCGGCAGCATCTGGAGGGATGGGGCCACAACCCGGAAAACTGCCCACATGTGCAGGTGTCTGGGTGCTGCTGCCGTGGACCCCTGGTGAAGATGGGCGGCCGCATCAAGACCTGGAGGAAGCGATGGTTCTGCTTTGACCGCCAAGCCCGCCGCTTGGCCTACTATGCGGGTAAGCCCAGCCTGGCCACCATGGGCCCCAGGACGCTGGAATTCCACTCCGGAGGCCTTTCCTCTACAGGCACCAGAAGTCCTGGCCCCCACTTTCCATGTTCCCCAGGATCCAGAAGTTTGGTTCCCTAGCTCCTAACTTCCCTACAACCCAGGAGTCCAGGCTCCCAGCTCTCTCTCTCCTCCAGACCCTGGAATCCAGATCCCCAGCCCCTCTTTAAGCCACCCAGAATTCAAACCCCCAGTCCTCCTCAGGGACATAGATAACAGTTTAGTACAATTCAAGCTTCCCAGGGCCCATGTTCCTAAGACACCCATGAGTCTGAACCTGCACTGTCAGCTGCCCCCAGCCCCCCAATGGCCAGGAGTCTGGGGCCCTTGTCCTTCTTCTCTAGGAGAATCAATTATTCCAAACCTCTCCTTGGACACTTTTTTTTGTTTTTGTTTTTGTTTTTGTTTTTTGGAGACAGAGTCTTGCTCTGTCGCCCAGGCTGGAGTGCAGTGGTGCGATCTCAGCCCACTGCAACCTCCACCTCCCCGGCTCAAGCGATTCTCCTGCCTCAGCCTCCTGAATAGGCGGGACTACAGGCTCATGCCACCACACCTGGCTAATTTTTTGTATTTTTAGTAGAGACAGGGTTTCACTGTGTTAGCCAGGATGGTCTCGATCTCCTGACCTTGTGATCTGCCTGCCTCAGCCTCCTAAAGTGCTGGGATTACAGGCTTGAGCCACTGCACCCAGCCTCCTTGGACGCTTGTATTGTCTCAAATCCTTCTTCCCTAACCTGTATGACCATTTGACTCTACTTGGTGAGTCCTGGCTCTGTCAGCTCTGGCTGTGTGACTTGTGCTGGGTGCCTTAACTTCTCTGAGTCTTGGTTTCCACATCTGTCAGATGGAGATAAATGTACTTACCCCTCCAGGAGAGTTTGAGAGGGTTAGAGATTATACCTAGAAAGCACTTGAGCACTCCCTGAGTTCCTTCCCTTCTCAGAGGCCGAGCATTCAGGGCCTAGGATTCCAGCTCCACAGACCCCACTCCCCAATCATGTCCAGTTTCTGTGCCCAGTCTCCCATCCAGCGTTAACATTCACTCACCTCCCAACCTTTAGAGACCTTCAGACTCTTGTCACCATGTTTCTTACCCAAATCCAGTCTCAGGACTTAGGGCCAATGACCCTCACCTCGACACACACAGACACACCTTTCTCACTGGCTCTCTTTTTCTCTTACCTCCCCTACCAGACAAGGAAGAGACCAAGCTCAAAGGTGTCATCTACTTCCAGGCCATTGAGGAAGTCTATTATGACCACTTACGCTGTGCCTTCAAGGTGAAGCCCCTCAATGTCACCCTGACCTCCCAGTTGGAGACTCAGTTGGAGTCAGGCCTTATCTCATCCCTGGCTCATCCTGGGGAAAGCCACCCGCAGCTTCTCCTGTCAGGGTACTCATAGGAGTACGTGTTTGTCGCAGAGAAAACAAACAGGTCACCTGACTGCAGGGACTAAAAATTAAGAGCCCAGACTCTGGCCTTCAGCCACTGTTAATTTTCTTCTTTTTTTTTTTTTTTAAGACAGAGTCTCATTCTGTCGCCCAGGCCTGAGTACAGTGGCGCCATCTCGGCTCACTGCAACCTCCGCCTCCCTGGTTCAAGCAATTCTCCTGCCTCAGCCTCCTGAGTAGCTGGGATTACAGGCACCGTGCCCGGCTAATTTTTGTATTTTTAGTAGAGACGGGGTTTCACTGTGTTGGCCAGGTTGGTCTCAAACTCCTGACCTCATGATCTGCCCACCTCAGCCTCTCAAAGTTCTGGGATTACAGGCGTGAACCACCGCACCACACGTGGCTCTTTTTTTTTTTTTAGATGGAGTCTGGCTCTGTTGCCCAGGCTGGAGTGCGGTGGCGCCATCTTGGCTCACTGCAACCTCTGCCTCCCGGGTTCAAGCGATTCTCCTGCCTCAGCCTCCCAAGTAGTTGGGATTACAGGCGTGCCACCACAGCTGGCTAACTTTTGTATTTTTAGTTGAGATGGGGTGTCACTGTGTTGGCCAGGCTGGTCTCGAACTCCTGACCTCATGATCTGCCCACCTTGGCCCCCCAAAGTGCTCGGATTACAGGCGTGAGCCACCGCACCTGGCCTGTCACTGTTAATTTTCTTGGAGCAAAAGTTTTAGAGCCAAAATATGGCAGACTCTGATGTCCAACTGGGAATAAATGAATGGAGAGGTCACAGCAAGGGTCGGGCAGCCTGGGAGCATCTAAAGGAGATGATCTGCCAGGCGTCGTGGCTCATGCCTATAATCCCAACATTTTGGGAGACCAAGATGGGAGGACTGCAGGAGGCCAGGAGTTTGAGACCAGCATGGTCAACATAGCAAGATCCCATCTCTGTTTTTTTTTTTTTATTTTTTAAATGAAAAATAAATAAAGGAGATGGTTGTTAGTTGGCTCCTGCCAACAGTTGCCAAGTGGGAGTGGGTCCCATGGTGTTGTCTTATATTTATTTTTTCCCAGAGAACTCAGGAATTGGAACTTGTATAAAGCACAGTGCCAAAAATTTAAATGTTGGCAACTGATACAATATTTAGAAAGCTCTGTGGAGAATAACCAAACTGTGGCTTTTTAGCAATTAGGTTGGAATCTCAGCTATGTGACATCAGGAAAGTGACTTCCTTTCTTTAGCCTTTAGCCTTAGTTTTCTTTGTTTCTTTTTCTTTTTTTTTTTCTTGCTCCATAGACCAGGCTGGAGTGCAGTGGTACAATCATAGCTCACTGCAGCCTCTATCTCTCGGGCTCAAGCAATCCTCCTGCCTCAGCCTCCTGAGTAGCTAGGACTATATGTGTGTGCCACCACACCCAGCTAATTTGTTTTGTTTTGTTTTTCTGGTATTTTTTTGTAGAGATGGGGTCTCCCTCTGTTGCCCAGGCTGGTCTTGAACTCCTGAGTTCAAGCAATCAATCCGCTTCAACCTCCCAAAGTGCTGGGATTGCAGGCGTGAGCCACCCAGCCCGGCCGGCCTGAGTTTTCTCACGTGTAGAATGGGTACGCATCAACCCATTCCATCAGGGTTATTGAGAGGGCTAAAAACAGATTATGGACATAAGGGATTTACTCAATTTGGGATTGGCAAGTGGGTACTCAAATAACGGATTCTAGACACTAACTTTTCCCAGGTACAAGGGGACCTAGATTTTGGGGAGGTGGAATTTGAATGCCTGTATTTCTAATATAGGAGAAGTTAGGCTGAGAGAAGGCGTCATAAGTCCTACTTTTAAATTTCTCGGCCTGGCACAGTGGCTCACGCCTGTAAGCCCAGCACTCTGGGAGGCCGAAGCAGGCGGATCACGAGGTCAAGAGATCGAGACCATCCTGACAAACACTGTGAAACCCTGGTCTGTACTAAAAATACAAAAATTAGCTGGGCGTGGTGGCACACGCCTGTAGTCCCAGCTACTCGGGAGGCTGAGGCAGGAGAATCGCTTGAACTCGAGAGGTGGAGGTTGCAGTGAGCCAAGATTGCGCCACTGCACTCCAGCCTGGCGACAGAGCCAGACTCAGTTTCAAAAAAAAAAGAAAAAAAATTTATCTTGCCCCTAATTTATCAATAGCGCTCTACATATGATAATTTTAAGCACTTCCTTGTGTTAATTCATTTAATCCTTATAACCCAGTGAGGTAGGTGGCATCATTTGGGAAGACAGGGAAACTGACATTCAGATACTTAAGTACCTTGTCCAGTGCCACACAGACTATAAGTAGCAAGGCTGGGTTCGCACCCAGACTGTGGCCGGTGTCTTTTGTCTGAATTACCCTCACTTTCTGCTTATTCCAGAGCCCCAACCCCCGCCTGACCTTCTGCGTCAAAACCTACGAACGCCTTTTCTACATGGTGGCTCCGAGCCCCGAAGCCATGCGCATTTGGATGGACGTCATCGTGACCGCCGCTGACGAAAACCACGCCCCCTGAGTGGCCCCGCCCTCTTGGGGGGAAGTCCCTTCGAGGCTCCGCCGGCGCGGGGCGCGGGGGCGTTCCTAGGCCCCGCCCACTGCCGGAAAACTTGGACGCACCGCTTTGGAACTCTCCCGGGAATTCCGCAGGCGCGGCAGTTCAGCTGGCCTGAGCTGCTGCGTTCTGGGTTGCAGGTGCCTTGCCCCCGACGGGATCGCCGGCCCCTAAGGCCCTGCCCGGGGCAGGAGGAAGATTGCAGGGGCGGGAAGAAACTATTTATTGGTGCTCCTGTGATACCGAATTAAATACGGAGGAAAAACAGGAATTGCTGCTGTGGTTTCCAGCCCAGGCATCCGGGGCCCCTTGACCCCTAGGCAGGACATCTGAGTTATCGGTACCTCTGGGAGCCACGCGTCCCACAGCCGGCTCTCTAGGAATGGAGGCCTTCAACTCTTAAGGTCATAGCTGGGAGAAGAGGGTGAGAGGCATGTCCCCCTTAGTGTTTGGCAGTTTTGCTTTTTTAGTTTGTAGGCCCTTCTGTTTCCACCCTTTCTGGCCTGACCGGCTGCTGGAAATTTCTAGGAACTCCTAGGCTTCCCCCCTTTAGGCCTTTGCCTACGTTGTTCCCTCTGCCCTTTTCTTCCCTTTTTTTCTTTTATCTATTTATTTTTATAGAGATGGGGTCTCACTGTGTTGCCCAGGCTGGTCTCCAACTCCTGGACTTAAGCGATCCACTCACCTTAGCCTCCCAAGGTGCTGAGATTACAGGTGTGAGCCACCACGCCTGGCCCCCCTCCTTCCCTTAATCAGCTGCACCTCATTCTTCCAGCCTTAGTTCAGTTGGCACCTCCTTCAGGAAGCCCTCACTGACTTTCCTGGCTGGGTCAGGCACCCCCTTTTGAGCTCTGTCATCCCATCCCTGAGGACCCTGGGTCATCATGGGCGATGGATCTGTGTCCTTTATGCACTGGGAGCTCCATGAGGCAGAGCCAGCATTGTCCTGGTCACTGCTGTTCCCAGCACCATAGAGCATGTCTCATTCCATGAAAGTGGAAAAAAACAAAAAATAAAACTCGCTTCCCTTTCACCTCTGGGCCTTTGTACGTTCTGTTCCCTTTGCTTAGGCACCTCTCCCCATTCCACAAAAGCCCTGCTCATCATTTAGCTTTTAGTTCCTATATTAAGTCTCTTTCTCCAGGAAGCCCTCCCTGATTGTCCTGGCAGGTCAGATGCTTCCTCTGGGCTTTTCTTTTTTTTTGAGACTGAGTCTCAGTCTGTCGCCCAGGCTGGAGTGCAGTGGTGCAATCTCGGCTCACTGCAACCTCCACCTCTCAGGTTCAAACGATTCTTCTGCCTCAGCCTCCCGAGTAGCTGGGATTACAGGCACCCACCACCACACCACGCCTGGCTTTCTTTTTTTTGTATTTTTAGTAGAGATGGGGTTTCACCATGTAGTCCAGGCTAGCCTCCAACTCCCAGGCTCAAGCGACCTGCCTGTCTCGGCCTCCCAAAGTGTTGGAATTACAGGCGTGAGCCACTGCTCCTGGCCCTGGGCTTTTCATTATAGCCCTGACAGCTCCACCTGTGCCTCCCCATTCCCAGCCCTGATCATTCTATCCTGTGCATCTCTCATCATGGCCTTCACTACCTGGGATCATCACTGCTGTTGAGTCTGTCTCCCGCTCTGGCCTGGGAGTGAGTGCTGTCTTGGTCACCACTGAACCCTTGGTACAGCAGAGGGCCTGGTGCATACTGCGTACGGAGGGAACATCTGGTGGTTGAATAAACTGATGGGAAAGTGATGCTAAGGGCTGGGGACTGTCATGAACAAGGCAGGCAGAGCTCTTTGGCTGACTTCATCCTTCAGGTCTCATCTACGGCGCCCGTTCCTTCAAGAAGCTCTCCCTGACCCCTAGGCTGGGTCAGGTGCCTGTTCTGGGCCTCTACAGTCCTCCAGGGTCCCCCACTTGAGCACTCTAGGCTGTCATTCTGGAGACAGCTCTTTCCTGCCTCAAAAAGTTCCCTTGAGGACCCAGATATAGTGCTCTGAGTCCCGGGAGTGCAGACACCCAAATTCCTAGGTCCTCTGGGACTGTAGGTGTCCCTTGGCCTCTACCTTCAGGTATGTGACATCTGGATTCTTGGATCAGTTCATCCCCCAGCCCCTCTGCAAACTGGGTCCCTTACTGAATCCCGCTTCATGGGCATCTGACCAATGTAGACGACAGCTCCCCGTGTTCAGAAGAGCCCTGCTCTTGGGTTTAATGCTCTGTGGTCACTGTGTAGAAATTCGTAAATGTATCTTTGAATTTCTGTTTTGTAAGCTAAGACTAATGAGATAATGAAAGCATGATGAGGCAGCCTCACCTCTCTGGGACAAGTTTCCACTCCTGTCCCCACCTCTTTTTTTTCTTGAGACGGAGTCTTACTCTGTCACCTAGGCTGGAGTGCAGTGGCGCGATCTCGGCTCACTGCAACCTCTGCCTCCCAGGTTCAAGCGATTCTCCTGCCTCAGCCTCCTGAGTAGCTGGGATTTTAGGCGCTGGCCACCACACCCGGCTAATTTTTGAATTTTTAGTAGAGACAGGGTTTCACCATGTTGGCCAGGCTGGTCTGGAACTCCTGACCTCAAGTGGTCCGCCTGCCTGGGCCTCCCAAAATGCTGGGAATACAGGTTTGAGCCACCGTGCCTGGCCTGTTCCCTTCTTAACTCTGCCCCGTGATCACTGGCACTCTCCACTCCTGCTGCAGGCACGCCACAAGAAGATCAGGGTTGGGTACCTGTGCCTCATGGTATCTTGGGGTGGAACATGGCGGTGGGCATCTGGTGGGATGGGGAACCCAGCCAGGCTGCCCACGTTGTGGGGCAGGGTCCCTAGCCACCTTTGAAGATCTGTGCTGGTCCCACAAGTATCTCTGTGCCCAAGGGAACATAACATTAAACACCATGAGGGGTCAAGAGAAAGGCTGAGGGCCAGGTGCAGTGCCTCATGCCCGTAATCCTAGCATTTTGGGAGGCTGAGACAGGAAGATCACTTGAGCCCAGGAGTTTGAGACCAGCCTGGGCAACATAACAAGACCCTTTTTCTACAAAAAAAAATTTAAAAATTAGCTGGACATGGTGGCACACACCTGTAGTGGCAGCTACTTGGGAGGCTGAGGTGGGAGGATTGCTTGAGTCCGGGAGATAGAGAGGCTGCAGTGAGCTGTGAGCTGCATGCCAGCCTGGGTGGCAGAGTGAGACTGTCTCAAAAAAAAAAAAAAAAAAAAGATTGAGGCAGAAGAAAGGAAAAAAAAGTGTTTCTATTTTAGTACCTTTAACAGCACTCTTTCCTGTTTTTTTTTTTTTTTTTTTTTTTTTTTGGTGAGAATGGAGTTTTGCTCTTGTTGCCCAGGCTGGAGTGCAATGGTGCGATCTCAGCTCACTGCACCCTCCGCCTCCTGGGTTCAAGCGATTCTCCTGTCTCAGCCTCTGGAGTAGCTAGGATTACAGGCACACGCCACCACACCTGGCTAATTTTTTGTATTTTTAGTAGAAATGGGGTTTCACCATGTTGGTCAGTCTGGTCTCGAACTCCTAATTTCTGGTGATCCTCCCACCTCGGCCTCCCAAAGTGCTGGGATTACAGGCGTGAGCCACCGTGCCCGGCCTCTTTTCCTGCGTTTTGAACCAGGTCTCTAAATTTCATTTTGCACTGGGGCCCGAAAATTATACAGTCAGCCCCATCCCTGACTCCACTCCTTCCCTAACTTGTCACAAACAGTGTGTCCCAGAGGGAGTGGGCCTGAGTCAGGCTGGGAACCTCACTGGCGTCAGAGCCTGGTCTGCCACAGGGAGACGAGAAATCCAGAGTGAATATGGTCCTGGGCTTGTCTGAGGCCTGGGAGTGATCTGTATTGCTGGCAGCTGCCTCCGCACTGACCCCTGAGCCAGATTCTAGATTCTCTGCCATAAAATCTGCAAAGGACCCAGAAGAGCCAGCCACCTACCACGCAGCAGGCTTAAGTGGTGCCCTGCATTCAAACCTCCTTCTGTTCTCTGGTCATGGGCCAGGCGGGGGTCAGCGCCTAGAATCTGGGCAGGCCTGAGCAAGAGGTACCTCTCCACCCTGGGTCCCACTCCCTCCCGAGATGCTAGTTCTTCTGGTCTGGCCAGTTGGGGTTCCTCCCTGAAACTCTCCCACACAGCTGGGACCTGCAGGGCCTCCTGCTTCAGAGCAGCACACAATAATAATGCTAGTCTCACCCTGCCTGTCACTCACTGGGTCCCCGCTCTATCCTTCAGGAGGTAGGGGTTTTCAGGGGAAGTTCAGAGAGGGAGATGGAGTTGCTTGAGGTTACACAGCAAGAGGGTGGCAGAGATAGGATTAAAATGTGTCTGTCCACTTCCAGACTTGATATTTTGCCCACTGCCTTACCCTACCAATGAAAGATAGTCCTTCTTTTATTATAAAAAAGACACTTTGGGCCCGGCATGGTGGCTCACGCCTGTAATCCCAGCACTTTGAGAGGCCGAGGCAGGCAGATCACCTGAGGTTGGGAGTTTGAGACCAGCCTGACCAACATGGCGAAACTCCATCTCTACTAAAAATACAAAAAATTTGCTGAGTGTGGTGGTGGATGCCTGTAATCCCAGCTACTCGGGAGGCTGAGGTAGAAGAATCGCTTGAACCTGGGAGACAGAGGTTGCAGTGAGCTGAGATTGCGCCATTTGCACTCCAGCCTGGGAAACGAGTGAAACTCCGTCTCAAAAAAAAAAAAAAAAAAAAAGACACCTTGGAGGCTCAGAGAGATGAAAGCATTTATGCAGCATCACACAGCAAAGCAAGAATCAGGGCTGAGATTCCAAGGCTGGGAGGCGGGCGGAGGGAGGGGGAAGGGGACAGTGCTGAATGAATGACTTCACAAGAAGTCATTCACTTTCTCTCTCTCAGCTTCAGCATGATGCCAAGTGACCTCACCCAGGTGACTGAAGTGCTCGTCATTGTTGGGAACGGGGGTGCCTCACAGGGTCTGGAGAACAGATAATATCTTTATAAACACGACCGCTGCTTGTCTCGTCATCAGACAGTGAGCCAGCCCCCTGCAGCCGGGTCTGACATCTGACTCTGCCGCTTCCCTTGCTGTGTGAACTTGAACAGATACCTTCCTCTCTCTGGGTCTCAGAGTCTTCCTCTGTGAAGGAGATCTTCCTCTCTACCCCCTCGTTAGGAATTCAAGGCAAGATTGCTTGTATAAGAGCTGACCACCCTGTGTGGCACACGGTTGGAGCTCAAGAAGTGAGGGCTGTTAATAATAATAGTTATACTAACAATCTATTTATTATTATTATTATTGAGACAGGGTCTCACTCTGTGACTCAGGCTGGAGTACAGTGACGTGATCACAACTTACTGCAGCCTTGACCTCCCAGGCTCAATGCGATCCTTCCACCTCGGCCTCCCGAGTAGTTGGATCTACAGGTGTGCACCACCACACCTGGCTACTTTTTGTATTTTTTGTAGAGATAGGGTTTCACTATGTTGCCCAGGCTGGTCTCAAACTCCTGGGCTCAAGTGATCTGCCCGCCTCAGCCCCCACAAAATGCTGGGATTACAGGCACCAGCCACTGTGCTTGGCCCTTAACCTATTATTAGTAATAAAAACTAATGCTTTCATAACTCCTAGAATTTGACCCTATTTTAATCATTTCACATATATTTAACATTGATGCCCTAGCAGTATAGTATTTCACATATATATAACATTGATGCCCTAGCAGTATAGCACCTAGTATGATGTGGGTACTACTAAGACCCTCATTTTATGGATGAGGATGAGGGCACTGAGGCACACAGGGGCCAAGTAATTGTCAAAGTTTCACAGCTGATATCCAATGGACCCATGTACCTAATTATAGGTACTGTTAGTTAAGCCAGACTGCCTGAGTTCAAATACTGTCTCCTAGCATTGTGACTTCCTAGCTTTGTGACCCTGAGCAAGTTGTTAAGCCCCCCATGCCTGCCTCGATTTCCCCATTTGTAAATTGACCATCATAGAAATCTCTCATAGGATTGTGTGTAAAGGGTGTGGAAAGTTGCCTGGCACAGAGGAAGCACTGAATGCATGTGCTTTTGTCATAGTCTTTGTTTAGACAGGAAGCCTCTGAACATCAAAGAATTGGAGTCACTTGATCAAGTCACACAGCAGATTAGGGGCAGAGTTGGTATTCAAATGCATGCCTGTCTGGCTGTAAAACTAAGGGTCATTGCAAAATATAATCTCAGGCCTAAAGCCAGGCTCTGACTTTGGCAAATGGCATGGGGGCCTTTGGAGACAGCCCTGGATTCAAATCCCAGTTCTGCCACTTCCAAGCCTCTCCCAGTCTCAGTTTTCCCATCTGTGAAATGAGACTTAGTTCTCTCTTTGCAGAGCTGTCGTGACATTCAGAGAGGATTCACAGAAAGTGCTAAGCACAGAGTAAGTGGTTAATAAATGCTAATAACCATACTTACAGGTGAGGATTAAATGAGATAATGCATGCCCCCTGTTCAAAACAGTTTCTGGGAAACAAACACTTGATACTCAGTCACTGTTGTTATTATGACTTTTGTTACCATTGTTATTAATGTCATGATGTGGTTTATGGCAAGAACTGTCTGGAATTAGCTTGGAAACCTCCCACTTCCTCTTCCCTCACATTGGATCCATCAGTAATCCCTACCTGTTCTTCCTCCTAAAATATTTTAGATCTTTCCACTCTTCACCTTTCCTTTGGGACACCCTTGGCTAAGTACATCTGCTCTGGCCTGTGTCAATGTTCTCCACCAGGGACACACCTGTGGTTGAACAAGTTGGGTTTATTGCTTCTTGCAATGAGGGAGAAAACACACCATGAGGTAACTGTGAGGTGTCTAAGTAAAAGGGTGTTAGAAAGGATTGATTTTTTTTTTTTTTGAGTCAAAGTCTTGCTCTGTCACCCAGGTTGGAGGGCAGTGGCGCAAATCTCGGCTCACTGCAACCTCTGCCTCCTAGGTTCAGCGATTCTCCTGCCTCAGCCCCTACTCCCCAGGAACTGGGATTACAGGTGTGTGCCACCACACCCAGCTAATTTTTTGTATTTTTAGTAGAGACGGAGTTTCACCACATTGGCCAGTCTGGTCTCGAACTCTTGAGCTCAGGTGATCCACCCCCTTGGCCTCCCAAAGTGCTGGGATTACAGGTGTGAGCACCTGGCCAGAAAGGATTGATTTTAAGATTTGGGCTTGTGTGTGGTGGTCTTGGGAATGGTGCAAGGAAGTGGGACCTCGTTCTAGTTTGGATACTGTTAAACAGAGGAGGAGTAATGCTGTGGTTGGGCATTTGCATAAATCTCATTTATGAGGCAGGAGAAATAAAGTGAGGTTAAAGTTGTAACTTTAATATAATATAAGCAGTCATTTATATTAGCCAGGATATGGGGATGCTTAGTCATTCTGCGGTTTGCACAATGACCTTGTTTGTTTCTGTGTTCAGACATGGCTATGGATTGGTCTTGATTTTGTTTTTCTTTGTTTTTTGTTTTTTTGAGACAGGGTCTCACTCTGGTTGCCCAAGCTGGAGTGCAGTGTCGCAATCTCAGCTCACTGCAGCCTCAACCTCCCAGGCTCGGGTGATTCTCCCAGCTCAGCCTCTCAAGTAGCTGGGATTATAGGTGCACACCCCCACGCCCAGCTAATTTTTTGTATTTTCAGTAGAGACGAGGTTTCGCTGTGTTGCCCAGGCTATTGATTTGTTTCTTGATCCTTTACTGTCGCAGTGTGGCCTTGTCCAGGTTGGTGCTCTGTGAAATTATCTAGGCGCAGTTGAACTCCATGGCCTCACTATGTGTGTCAGGCCAACTCCCAGCTGTTAGGGGCTGTTTTTCTCTTTCTTCCATGGAAAACTACACGGCCCCCTGTTGGTTTCCTGGCCTTCTCTCTCACCCCTTCTAGAGTCATTTTCCTTTTTTACACAGAGTCCACAGTGACATTCTTTACCTTGTTTTTATTGAAGAATAACATACGTCCAGTGACAGGCCTGAGTCAGTGATTCTCAACGTATCTGTACACACATGCAGCTGTCACCTAGATGAAGATCGTGGGGGCTCCTCCCTGTTGCTCCTTCTGGGGCCATGCCCTCCCAAAGGTAACATGTGTTCTGATTTCTATCACCACTGGTTAGTTTTGTCTGTTCTGAAACTTCATATATATTCAGTTACACAGTATGTTTTGTTTGTTTGTTTAAGGCTTTCTAAACTCAACACCAAGTTTTTTCTTTTTTTAAAATAAAATGAGATGGGATCTCACTATGTTGCACAGCCTGGTCTCAAAACCCCTGGGTTCAAGTGATCCTCCCACCTTGGTGTCTCAAAGTGCTGGGATTACAGGTGTGAGCCACTGTGCCTGGCCCCAACACAAAGTTTTTGAGATATGTTGCTGCATATATCAGGTGTTGGATCTTTTCTATTGCTGTGTAGTATTCCATTGGCCGAACCAACCACTCTCTTTTGCCATTCACTTCTTTTTCTTTTTCCTTTTTTAAAATCATATATCCTACTCTCAGATCCATTTACTTTTTTTTAATTTTTAAATTTTTAAATTTTTTTTTTTGAGACAGGGTCTCACTCTGTTGCCCAGGCTGGAGTGCAGTGGCGTGATCTCAGCTCACTGCAACCTCCACCTCCTGGGCTCAAGTGATTCTCCTGCCCTACCCTTCCGAGTAGCTGGGACAGCAGGTGCACGCCACTGCACCTGGCTAATTTTTTTAAATTTATTATTTTTTTTTAATAGAGATGAGGTTTCGCCATGTTGCCCAGGCTGGTCTCAAACTCCTGATCTCAAGTGATCCACCCAGCTCGGCCTCCCAAATTGCTGGGATTACAGGCATGAGCCACCGCGCCCGGCCTCCATTTACTTCTTGATGGCTAGCTGCACTATTTCTCAGGTTGATCATATTAGGAAGCAAATCTATTATGTCCTCCAGCTCATTTAGACCCTCTTAAAGGTTCTCTACTATTCTCAAAATTAATCCAAATCTCTTGTCGGGGCCTCTGATGCCCTGAGTGTCTCGGCCTCTGCCTGACTCTTTCATCTCAGTTCCTGCCCTTCTCTCATGGACTTCTGAGCTCAGGAGCACTGCTCTCCTTTCCATGTTTGAATGGTCCATCCTACCTCCTACCTCCAGGTGCTCCCACGTGCTGTTCCCTCTGCTTGTAAAGGGCTGTGTCCCTCTCTTGACCTGCTCTAGCTGGCTACATCCTGCATGCCCTTGAGGTTGCATCTCAGATAACCTCAAGGAAGCCCTCACCGACCAGCCCCCACTTCTAGACTGCACATCTCCTTGTATCACTACACTTTTTCCTTCAGTGTCTTAGTCTCTTTGGTAAACACCAATTTGTACGATTATTTGATTAGCATCTGTCTCCCCCATCAGACTGTGAGCTCTGCCAGGACAGGCACTGGTTCTGTCTTCATCTCCAGCATTACCTAGACCAAAGCCGGGCACACTGTAGATGCTCATTTAACAGTTACCGAACACTGAATGTCGAGTAGCCCCAGCCTGTCTTTAAGCCCCACTACTCTCCCACTCCAAACACACACAGACTTTCTCCCGCGAGCTGTCAGGGAACCTCAGCTCCCACCCTTTCCCTCCTTGGCAACTTCACAGGGCAGGGACCGCTCTCCCTTGGATGACGCGCCTAGGGGCGGGGCCCCGCCCCACAGCCGACGCTGAGTTGGCCCGGTTGGGCAAGGCTGGGGTTGCCTGGGGCGAGGTTACTCATCCTGGGCTCAGGTAAGAGGGCCCGAGCTCGGAGGCGGCACATCCAGGGGGGACGCCAAGGGAGCAGGACGGAGCCATGGACCCCGCCAGGAAAGCAGGTGCCCAGGCCATGATCTGGACTGCAGGCTGGCTGCTGCTGCTGCTGCTTCGCGGAGGTGGGTCTGCTGCCCGGAGAGGTGGAGGGGGTAGAGTGGGGGCTCTTAGGGAGGAGGCTCCTCTGGCCCCGTACAGAGAAGGCTGTGGGAAGGATCCCCACATAAGCAGAGGGCACTGTGGGCAAAGTTCCCCCATCCTAAGCAAGGGAGGCAGAGGGAAGGGTCCTCCACCATGGGCCGTAGGAAGGGTTCCCCACCACGGACAAGGGGAGCTGTGGGCAAAATTTTCCTATCCTGAAGCTGCAGAAAGAAGTCCCCTGTTCCTAGGCCGGGCGCGGTGGTTCATGCCTGTAATCTCAGCACTTTGGGAGGCCGAGGCAGGCGGATCATGAGGTCAAACGATCGAGACCAGCCTGGCCAACATGGTGAAACCCTGTCTCTACTAAAAATACAAAAATTAGCTGGGCGCGGTAGCGCGAGCCTGTAGTCCCAGCTACTCGGGAGGCTGAGGCAGGAGAATCGTTTGAATCCAGGAGGGGAGGTTGCAGTGAGCCGAGATTGCGCCACTGCACTCCAGCCTGGCGACAGAGCGAGACTCCGTCTCAAAAAAAAAAAAAAGAAAAAAAGAAAAAAAGAAAAAAGTGTTCCCTGTCCTGGGCAGAGAAGCTGTGGGTAGTGTTCTCTCATTTGAGCAGAAGGGGGCTGTGGGAAGGGATCCCTCACTGAGCACAGTCTACTGTGGGAAAAGTTCTCCCACACACTGTGGGAAAAGTTCTCTCATTCTGAGCAGAAAACCGTGAGGAGGTATCCTTCCTACCCCGGGATGAGGGGCTTCATGGCGGGGATCGCCTACAGTGGGCATACAGGGCTGTCGGAAGGATGTGCCCACAGTTGGCATAGTGGGTGTGAAGGAAAAGGGTCCAGTGATTCCCGTGCTTCCAGATTTGTGGAAAGCTTTTCCCTACTCCTGCCCTGGAAAAGTGTGTGCAATAAGACTGTCTAATCCCGGGACAGAGGGCATGGGAAGGACTATTTCTCCTTGGGGGTGGACGCTTTAGCAAGGAGGGCTCAGGTCTATTCGGCTCCGCTCCCCCAGGAGCGCAGGCCCTGGAGTGCTACAGCTGCGTGCAGAAAGCAGATGACGGATGCTCCCCGAACAAGATGAAGACAGTGAAGTGCGCGCCGGGCGTGGACGTCTGCACCGAGGCCGTGGGGGCGGTGGAGACCAGTGAGTGGGGACCCCCGGGCCACGCACACCACTGCAGGCTCCTCCGGCCCAGCCCCGCCTCCTTATAGTCCTTTCTGGATCTGGCCACGCCCCTTTAACGCGGCCCCACCCCTCCCTTTCAGCCTGGCCGGGACCCTACGACACAGCCTTGCAGGCCAGGCCTTCTCTATTAACAATTACAAGCGCGAGGAGCAGAGAGTTGAGAACTGGGTGGGGCGGACGGGGAGAGCTCGGGTTTGGAACGAGGTCACGTCCTATGCACTTTTTCTGCTCCACCAATGAGACCTCCCCATCCCTGCCTGTCAACCAGGCTGTCTCCTCCGACTCAGCTCTTTGAGGTTCCGCCCCCGTTCCGTGACCCCGCTCCTCCCTGCTTCGGTCGTTCTTTCCGCTCTGAGCGGCTCTTTGGGGGCGTCCATCCGCCAATTCCTGCCTGTCGGTCCTGTGGTGTTGGCCTATTTGAGGCCCCGCCCCTCCCAGACCCTACCCAACTCTGGGCCACGCCCCATCTGAGACCACGCCCACAGCTAATCCCGCCCTTGTCCCTCTCCCTAGTCCACGGACAATTCTCGCTGGCAGTGCGGGGTTGCGGTTCGGGACTCCCCGGCAAGAATGACCGCGGCCTGGATCTTCACGGGCTTCTGGCGTTCATCCAGCTGCAGCAATGCGCTCAGGATCGCTGCAACGCCAAGCTCAACCTCACCTCGCGGGCGCTCGACCCGGCAGGTCCGTGGGGGCCGGGCCGTAGCTGCGGGGGCGGAGCCACATTCGGGCCTGCCAAGATAGAGGTGGAGCCGTGGCAGAGGCGGGAGTACTCGACCTGGGCTGGGGGTGGGGTCACACTCTGGGGCGGGGCCAAGAGGCAGCAGGAGGGACTTTCTGGCTGTAGGCGCCGCGAGGTTGCGCGCTGGGGCGGGGCTACTAGTAGGCGGGGTCATCGATAGTGCCGGGGCCAGGCCTTAGGGGCGGGGCTAGAGGACGAGCTGCGGTTCCCGAACCCTTTCGACACCTTTTCTTCCTCTCGGCTCCCCTCGCAGGTAATGAGAGTGCATACCCGCCCAACGGCGTGGAGTGCTACAGCTGTGTGGGCCTGAGCCGGGAGGCGTGCCAGGGTACATCGCCGCCGGTCGTGAGCTGCTACAACGCCAGCGATCATGTCTACAAGGGCTGCTTCGACGGCAACGTCACCTTGACGGCAGGTGAGGGAGCCCCGGAGCACGGGACCTACGGGAGTTGTGGTAGCCCTTCTGAAGCACCCTGGGCGGTAGGGAGCCCTTTACCCAAAGCGTTTCCTTAACCTGCGACGCATTCTGGGAATCGTGGGGCCTAGGTGCTTGTATCGTAGGGCATCATGGAAAATGCAGTCCCTTCCCCCAACATATTAATAGTGTGGGGATAGTGATGCTTTGTCCCAGAGTGTTTTGGAGGGAAATGCATTTCCATAGAGGGCTGCCAGGTACTTAAGAGGTATTTAAGCCTCTAAGCTTCTGCCCAGGCACTGCGGGGAATCTCTAGTTCTTAGCCCTTAAAACTCAAGGGGTCCCCCGCCTGTCCCAGACTATTGAGAAATGTAACCATGGAAAATGAAGTTCTTCAAATCCCATCCCCTGCCAGTTATGCTATGGAAGATGTAGTTCTTTTTTATTTTATTATTACTATTTTTTTTTAAAGACAGCATCTTGCTCTATCGCCTAGCCTGGAGTGTAGTGGCGCAATCATAGCTCACTGCAGCCTCTACCTCTTGGGCTCAAGCAGTCCTCCCGCCTCAGCCTCCCAAGTAGCTGGGACTACAGGGTGCACCGCCACGACTGGTTCCTTTTATTTTTGGTAACAGTGGGGTCTTGCCATGTTACCCAGGCTGGTATTGAACTCTTGGGCTAAGAGATCCCCCTGCCTAGGTCTCCCAGAGTGCTGGGATTACAGCCGTGAACCACTGAGCCTGGTGTGGAGATGTAACTCTGACTCTAAGAGTAAATTCTGATGGGGAGGTAAAAGCCAGGGTGAAGGCTAAGGGGATAATGGTGAGAGGGTTGTAGAGGAAGTTTGTTCTGCACTGTGGTCTTGTGAGAGGTCTTGTATCTCAGTCTAAGCCTTTGTTTTAAACCCTACTTTTGGTTCAGCCTACACACATTTCCATTCAAAGCACAATGGAAAATGTTAATCCACCATGTGCCAAAGACAGTGAGTCTGTCTGTTTCTCATAGTAGGACCTGAGTTGAGATTTTGGGATTAATGGATGCAGAGACTTTCTGTCTCATTTTGGGGGTTCTCTGTTCTTTTTTTTTTTTGCAAGACAGAGTCTCACTCTGTTGCCCAGTGATCCACCTGCCTCGGCTTCCCAAAGTGCTGGGATTACAGGCGTGAGCCACCACGCCCGGTCAGGTTCTCTGTTCTTGTCTGATGCCTCTAAGTTTTGTTCTGGCCATGTCAACCTCTCTCCCTCCAGCCACTGACCTATCTGTGTCTCCTTCCTGCAGCTAATGTGACTGTGTCCTTGCCTGTCCGGGGCTGTGTCCAGGATGAATTCTGCACTCGGGATGGAGTAACAGGCCCAGGGTTCACGCTCAGTGGCTCCTGTTGCCAGGGGTCCCGCTGTAACTCTGACCTCCGCAACAAGACCTACTTCTCCCCTCGAATCCCACCCCTTGTCCGGCTGCCCCCTCCAGAGCCCACGACTGTGGCCTCAACCACATCTGTCACCACTTCTACCTCGGCCCCAGTGAGACCCACATCCACCACCAAACCCATGCCAGCGCCAACCAGTCAGACTCCGAGACAGGGAGTAGAACACGAGGCCTCCCGGGATGAGGAGCCCAGGTTGACTGGAGGCGCCGCTGGCCACCAGGACCGCAGCAATTCAGGGCAGTATCCTGCAAAAGGGGGGCCCCAGCAGCCCCATAATAAAGGCTGTGTGGCTCCCACAGCTGGATTGGCAGCCCTTCTGTTGGCCGTGGCTGCTGGTGTCCTACTGTGAGCTTCTCCACCTGGAAATTTCCCTCTCACCTACTTCTCTGGCCCTGGGTACCCCTCTTCTCATCACTTCCTGTTCCCACCACTGGACTGGGCTGGCCCAGCCCCTGTTTTTCCAACATTCCCCAGTATCCCCAGCTTCTGCTGCGCTGGTTTGCGGCTTTGGGAAATAAAATACCGTTGTATATATTCTGCCAGGGGTGTTCTAGCTTTTTGAGGACAGCTCCTGTATCCTTCTCATCCTTGTCTCTCCGCTTGTCCTCTTGTGATGTTAGGACAGAGTGAGAGAAGTCAGCTGTCACGGGGAAGGTGAGAGAGAGGATGCTAAGCTTCCTACTCACTTTCTCCTAGCCAGCCTGGACTTTGGAGCGTGGGGTGGGTGGGACAATGGCTCCCCACTCTAAGCACTGCCTCCCCTACTCCCCGCATCTTTGGGGAATCGGTTCCCCATATGTCTTCCTTACTAGACTGTGAGCTCCTCGAGGGCAGGGACCGTGCCTTATGTCTGTGTGTGATCAGTTTCTGGCACATAAATGCCTCAATAAAGATTTAATTACTTTGTATAGTGCTTTAAAGGAGTCACTTCCACCTTGTTTCTCGCAATAACCGCTCTAGCTGAGCTAGGGTGGGCATCATAAAGCCTTTAACGGGAGAGATATGGGACCTAGAGCCGCAGTCCTGGGGGAAGTCACGGTTGAACTTTAATCTCCTGGGTCTATCCTGCATGTGGGTGGTCCCACTGGTGAGGGGGAGACCGGGCGAAACCATTAAGCAGCATGGAGGGGCGAATGGGGCTTTTAGCAATGCCAGGGAATAGAGAGCTTTGTCTAATGAGTTTATGTACCCTCCCTAGGCTCCACCCGCCTTGTCATCCAGCCAGCCGTCTGCATTGTTTTAGAGACGGGGTCTCTGTTCACCCAAACTGGACTGCAGTGGCCCAATCATAGCTCACTGCAACCTCTAACTCCTGCCTCAGGCTCCCAAGTAGCTGGGACTACAGGCTTATCCCATCATACTTGGCTAATTTTATTTTTTGTAGAGATGAGGTCTTGCTATGATGCCCAGTCCTCCTGCCTTGGACTCCCAAAGTGTTGGGATTACAGGCAGGAGCCACTGCACCCGGCTTCATCTGGTTTACTAAGAGTCATTAAGCCTGGGTGCAGTGGCTCATGCCTGTAATGCCAGCACTTTGGGAGGCAGAGGCAGCTGGATCACCTGAGGTCTGGAGTCCGAGACCAGCCTGACCAACATGGAGAAACCCTGTCTCTACTAAAAATACAAAATTAGCTGGGCATGGTGGCACATGCCTGTAATCCCAGCTACTCGGGAGGCTGAGGCGGGAGAATCGCTTGAACCCAAGAGGTGGAGGTTGCGGTGAGCCGAGATCACGCCACTGCACTCCAGCGTGGGCAAAGAGTGAAACTCCGTCTCAAAAAAAAAAGTCATTAACTGGGCTTACCTACTGTGTCCCACTTGTCTGTAGGACCCGGGGGTGCTGCTGTTGGTCTTTGCTTGATGTTGGGGACCTGGGGCTTGAGCCCCACCTCCATCTCCTTCCAATCAGATGAAGGCCTGGCCCTAGAGGCACTGGAGGGGAAAAGCCTGGTTTGGGAATGAGAGAGTTCCTGGTAGGCTTTGCGACTGCTTGATGGGAGGAGGATCAGATGTGGGGAATAGTGAGATCATAACAGTATATTGCCAATATTGCTATTGATAGCCAATATTACTATTGATAATGGGGAGTAGTGTGAGGTAACAACAAAACAATAGCAAATAAGGAGAATAGCAACAAAATAGAACATCAATAAGAGTATGAGCTCTTATTCTGAAACACATATATTGCAATACATGTATAGAGGGAAACATCAGTGATGGTAAATGTAGTGTTGGGAGTATTAATGATTTTTCTTTTTTTTTTTTTTTGAAATGGAGTTTTGCTCTTGTTACCCAGGCTGGAGTGCAATGGCACAATCTCAGCTCGCCACAACCTCCCCTCCCAGGTTCAAGCGATTCTCCTGCCTCAGCCTCCCGAGTAGCTGGGATTACAGGCATGTGCCACCATGCTTGGCTAATTTTATATTTTTAGTAGAGATGGGGTTTCTCCATGTTGGTCAGGCTGGTCTCAAACTCCTGACCTCAGGTGATCCACCCACCTTGGCCTCCCAAAGTGCTGGGATTACAGGCGTGAGTCACCATGCCCGGCAGAGATTTTTAAATTTTAATTTAACTTTTATTTGTATTGTAGAGATTGGCGTCTCACTATGTTACCCAGGCTGGTCTCGAACTCCTGGGCTCAGATGATCCTCCTGCCTCTGTCTCTCAAGTGCTGGGATTACAGATGTGAGGCACCGTGCCCAGCTGTGTTAGTGATTAAAGACAGTCTTACTAGATGCCAAGTCTATGCTATCAGTTTACAGCCATCATCTCATTGACTTTTCCACATATTTTCAGATGGGATGATTGGGGAAACTGAGGCTCAGAATGATGAAGTAATTACCCACAGCAAATAATACATTGATTATGTGCCAGGTACTGTATTAAGTGCTGTACTTGGATTAATATATTTAATCTACAAAACCATCCTATGAAGTAAGTGTTAATCACCTGCATTTTACAAGATGGGGAAATCAGGGCTAGAGAGGTTAAGAAACTTGCCCCACGTCACTCAGCTATTAAGCAGTGGAGCTCGGATTTGAACACGGGCAGGTCAGCTTTACAGAGTGTACCAACACTGCCATAATGTTTCCCTCAGCTTGACTAAACTTTAGACAGGCTTCCTCCTGCCTCTAGGCCCTCAGAATCCAGAGGGTCTAACCACAGAGGCCCCTTACCTCCCTTTTCTTAGAGCATTTACTTGAGAAAACTTGTCATTGTAAATTATTTCTTTGTCCATTTGAGATGGATATAAACCTCTTTAAAAGTCTTGGCCGGGCGCGGTGGCTCACGCCCGTAATCCCAGTACTTTGGGAGGCCAAGGCGGGTGGATCACGAGGTCAGGAGTTCAAGACCAGCCTGACCAACATGTTGAAACCCCGTCTCTACTAAAAATACAGAAATTAGCCAGGTGTGGTGGCAAGTGCCTGTAATCCCAGCTACTCAGGAGGCTGAGGCATGAGAATCGCTTCAACCTGGGAGGCGGAGGTTGCAGCGAGCCAAGATCACGCCATTGCACTTCAGCCTGGGGGCGACAAAATGACACTCTGTCACAAAAAAAAAAAGAAAAAAAAAGTATCTTGCCAGTTGATAGCCCAGGAAATGGAGTCTCACTATGTTGCCCAGGCTGATCTTGAACTGGGGTCAAGCTATCTTCCTGCCTTGGCTTCTCAAAATGCTGGGATTACAGGGATGAGTGACCAGGACCCAGGAAACTATCTTTTTGAAATTGTAAACATAAAAGGAAATAGCACTCCTATCTCCCCCCAGGAAGGTGAGAGCCTAACTTTGGTACATGACTCAGCTCTCAGTTGTAAAATACCTCCTGTCATGAAGACAGAAGAAAGTTGCCTTCTCTTCTGGGTAAAGCCGATTAAAAATGCAAATGACCTACAATCGCCATTCACCCCAGCTCAAAATCCCTACCACTCAGCTGGGCGTGGTGGCTCATGCTTGTAATCCCAGCATTTTGGGAGGCTGAGGCAGGCGGATCCCTTGAGTCCAGGAATTTAAGACCATCCTGGGCAACCTCGTCTCTAAGAAAAATACATTAAAAATTAGCCAGGTGTGGTGGCACGTGCCTGTAGTCCCAGCTACTTGGGGATGCTGAGGTGGGAGGATCGCTTGAACCCTGGAGGCCGAGGTTGCAGTGAACCATGATGGTGCCACTGCACTCCAGCCTGGGTGACAAAGCAAGACACTGTCTCAAAAAAAAGAAATCTGGCTTCCAATGCTTTTTTTTGTTGTTGTTTGAGATGGAGTCTCACTCTGTTGCCCAGGCTGGAGTGCAGTGGCGTGATCTTGGCTCACTGCAACTTCTGCCTCCCAGGTTCAAGCAATTCTCCTGCCTCAGCCTCTCGAGTAGCTGGGACTACAGGTGCACACCACCACGCCCGGCTAATTTTTGTATTTTTAGTAGAGATGGGAATTCGCTATGTTGGCCAGGCTGGCAATATATTTACTTAGCGGATCCATCCCCCTGAAAGTAACCAATCTTTTGCAGCTGTCACTGTCCAGCCTTCCCATCTTCTTGGGAGGATGACCTCCTTATCCATCTTGGCCTCTGAAACCCATTATGGGCCCTGAGACTCCCGCTCCCCCACCGCAACCCCTCCAACCTCCTTCCAGACAGTTACTTGCTTGTGTTCAGGAGGAGAAGAGAAAAGAAGAGCTTAATGTGTTTCAAATATAATCAATTGTTTTGCTCATCTAGTTTCTACTTTTAAGCTCCTAGCTCTGCTTTCTGTTAAAAATACCAGATTCTGGCCAGGTGTGGTGGCTCATACCCATAATCGCAACATTTTGTGAGGCCGAGGCGGGTGGATCTCTTGAAGTCAGGAGTTTGAGACCAGTCTGGCCAATATGGCGAAACCCCATCTCTACTAAAAATGCAACAAAATCGGCTGGGCATGGTGGCTCACGCCTGTAATCACAGCACTTTGGGAAGTCGAGGCGGGCGGATCACCTTAGGTGAGGAGTTCGAGACCAGTCTGGCCAATATGGCGAAACCCCATCTCTACTAAAAATGCAACAAAATCGGCTGGGCATGGTGGCTCACGCCTGTAATCCCAGCACTTTGGGAGGTCGAGGCGGGCGGATCACCTTAGGTCAGGAGTTCAAGACCAGTCTGGCCAATATGGTAAAACCCTGTCTCTACTAAAAATACAAAAATTAGCTGGACGTGGTGGCGGACTCCTGTAGTCCCAGCTACTCAGGAGGCTGAGGCAGAAGAATCGTTTGAACCTGGGAGGCGGAGCTTGCAGTGAGCCAAGATTGTGCCATTGCACTCCAACTTGGGTGACAGAGTGAGACTCTGTCTCAAAAAAAAAAAAAAAAAATCAGCCAGGCTTGGTGGTGCGCGCCTACAATCCCAGCTACTTGGGAGGCTGAGGCAGGAGAATCACTTGAACCCGGAAGGCGGAGGCTGCAGTGAGCTGTGATTGTACCACTGCACTCCAGCCTGGGCGACAGAGTGAGACTCTGTCTCTCTCTCTTTCTCTCTCTCTCACACACAGACACACACACACACACACACACACACACACACACACACAGCCAGATTCTGTATAACTTATTAGACTGGACACGGCTTTAAAGTGTTTTTAATGACAGCTCACCAAAACAGAAGTGAGAGAAAGAAGAAAAAGGACGAGGAGAAAGAAAGGGAAGAGAGAGTGAGAGGGTTTAGCCGTACGAAAAGCCACAGAGGGGGAAAGTTACAAAATCTCTTTCCTGTATTTTTTCCAAGGTTTGATGTCTGAGGTCCATGTGTGAGAAATTGATTTCAGCCTCTTTTTCAGGGCTTGCTGGGGACAAGGCAGGTGTGACAAGGGGCAGGGTGGATCTGCCTGAACTGGCCTTGCTGGTTTCTCTTCTTCCTGGGTTTGTGTGTTTTTAACGAAGGGCTTGTTTAATTTTAATTACATAAGCAAGACATGACTATCTTCTTGCTGTCAAACATTAAAAAAATACAGAGACAGCAAGAGAGAGAGAGAGAGAGAGTGCTCAAAAAGCCCTTTTGAGAAATGGTTGGTCAATCAGTTGCAGGGGAGGGAAATTGGGGTGCAATTTGGAAACGTCTTTCTAAATGACAAATGCAGATCGCTTCTGACTTGGCAGGTTTTTCTCTCAGGAATTTATCTCACATGTAGACATGGACGCCTGAGGCTGATGTCAGGTCTGCTCCAGGATGTTAATTGCAGTAGTGTTTGGAATAACAAAACATTAGGAATAACCTAAATGTTTATCAGGAGGGAACTGGTTATGCTTATGATGGTGTGCTCACACAGTTTGATGCTTTATGGGCATTATAAAAATAAAATGAGCTAGGTGCAGTGGTTCACGCTTGTAATCCCAGCACTTTGGGAGGCCGAGGCGGGTGGATCACCTGAGGTCAGGAGTTCAAGACCATCCTGGCCAACATGGCGAAACCCCCTCTCTACTAAAAATACAAAAAGTAGCTGGGCGTGGTGGTGGGTGCCTGTAATCCCAGCTACTTGGGAGGCAAGGCAGGAGAATTGCTTGAACCCAGGAGGTGGAGGTTGCAGTGAGCCAAGATCACGCCACTGCACTCTAGCCTAGGTGACAGAGTGAGACTCTGTCTCAAAAATAAATTAATTAAATAAAATAAATAAAACCAGGCACATCTATTTGTATTAATGTGGAAAGATCTTGAAAATAATGTTAAGTAAAATGAAAGATAAGATACAGAACAGTGTACCACTATTGTGTAAAAAAAAAAATCTGTGTGTAAATGCTTGTATATGCCTAGAACATGTCAAGAAATACCCACAAGGCAATAAATACCATTGCCTCTGGAAAGGGAATTGGGTGGCCATGGGATGGGGGTGGGAGGAAACTTTTCCATCCTTCCCCTCTGTGTGATGTTGGATGAGTCACATGTCTCCTCTGAGCCTCAGTTTCCCCATTTGGAAAGGGAGGGTCATAAAATGAGAGACTAGAGTTCTCCTTCCAGAGCCTGGCACACTGGAGATGCTTGTTGAAGAGAGGCTCTCCTGGCCGGGCACGGTGGCTCACACCTGTAATTCTAGCACTTTGGGAGGCCGAGGTGGGAGGATAGCTTGAGCCCAGGAGTTCTAGACCAGTCTGGACAACATGGTGAAACCTCGTCTCTAAAAAAAGTACAAAAGTTAGCCAGGCGTGTGGTGGCACGCGCCTGTAATCCCAGCTACTCAGGAGGCTGGGGTGGGAGGATCGCTTGATCCCCGGGAGGTTGAGGCTGCAGTGAGCTCTGATCATGACATTGCACTCCAGCCTGGGTGACAGAGCAAGACCTTGTCTCAGAAACAAAACAAAACAAAAAACCCCACAAAAACCAAACCAAACCAAACAAACAAAAAACAAGAACAAAGAGAGGCCCTCCTCCTACATCCATTCTCCTGGTCTGGGACTTCACAGGGAACTCACCCCAACTTTCTGCTTTTCCAGTGATGAAGAATCCAGTAGCAGTGACAGCCACTAGTCTATAGCCCATAGTGCAAGGGGATTTTTCCAACTCCCTGGCAATCTGGGGCAAGAAAGAGGAAAATCTTTTCCCACATCTCTTCACTTCCACCCACACCGTCGTTCTTGGGACCAACTGTGGGTTTTCCCTTCAGTATTCTCAAGAATCACTAGCATTCTCTCTTTACTGAGACCTCTGGGGGGAGTAGGATTGGACCACCAAGGGCTCACACTCACCCAGCCCAAGGAATGACCATGTAGGAACCCATCTCTGCTCTCCTTGCAAGGAGCCCGATGGCTGGGGTTCAAATCCCTGCTCCTGCTCTAGCTCGTGACTTTGGACAAGCCCCATCATCTTTCTGTGCCTCAGTTTTCTCATCTATAAAATGGCAATGGCTGGGTGTGGTGGCTCACACCTGTAATCCCAGCACTTTGGGAGGCTGAGGCAGTTGGATCACTTGAGGTCAGGAGTTCGAGACCAGCCTGCCCAACATGGTGAAACCCGGTCTCTACTAAAATACAAAAATTAGCCAGGCGCGGTGGTGTGCACCTGTAATCCCAGCTACTTGGAAGGCTGAGGCAGGAGAATTGCTTGAACCTGGGAGGCAGAGATTGCAATGAGTCAAGATTGCACCATTGCACTCCAGCCTGGGTGACAAGAGCGAGACTCCGTCTCAAAAATAACTAAATTAAAAAATGTGGTTGCTAGAAAAAAAATTTTTTTTTGAGACATGTTCTCGTTCTGTCACCCAGGCTGGAGTACACTGGTACGATCACAGCTCACTGCAGCCTCCACCTCCTGGGCTCAAGCAATCCTCCCACCCCAGCCTCCTGAGTAGCTGGGACTACAGGCATGTTCCACCATACCTGGCTAATTTTTGTATTTTTTTTTGTAGAGATGGGGTTTTGCCATGTTACCCAGGCTGGTCTCGAGCTTCCGAGCTCAAAAGATTCTCCCACCTCGGCCTTTCAAAGTGCTGGGATTACAATCATGCACCACCGTGCCTGGCCAGAAAATTTATTTTTAAAATTTATTTATTTTTCTTTTGAGATGGGTTCTTGCTTTGTCACCCAGGCTGGAGTGCAGTGGTGCGATCACGGCTCATGGTAACCTTGAACTCCTGGGCTCAAGAGATCCTCCTGTCTCAGGCTTCTGAGTAGATGGGACTACAGGTGTGCACACCGTGCCCAGGTAATTTTTAAAAGTTTTTTTTGAAGAGATGGAATCTCACTATGTTGCTCAGGCTGGTCTTGAACTCCTGGCCTCAAGCACTTCTCCCTCCTTGGCCTCTGAAAGTTCTGGGATTCCAGACGTAAGCCACTGCACCCAGCCAACCTTTGTTGTTTTGAGTCACTGAATTCTGGAGCTGTTTGTCACTGCAGCATAACTTAGCCAATCCTGACCGATACATTCCCTCATCTCCTTCCCTTGTTTTGCAATTGGAATCATTTACAAACTGGTGAAGTCCTCCTACTGACTATAACCCTGTTGTGACTCCCCAGCACTCGCAGGGTAAGATTCCAATGCCCTACCATGGCTTACAAGCCCACACAGGAACTGGTGACTGCTGCATGCTTGCCTTTAACCCCTCCCTACCCTCTGCTTCCTTTCACATTCCAATGACACTGAACTTTTCAGTTCAGAAAAGTTCAGTTCAGAAAAGTTTGAGCATCAAACTCTTCTGCTCACTCCCAGACCTTTGCAGTTGCTGTTCCTTCTGCCTGGAATGCTTTTCCATTGTCCTTCCGTCTCTACCTGGTGACACCTACTCTTTCTTTAAGACTTAGCTTGGATGTCCTCTCCATCAGGTATCTTTCCTGACCACCAGTCTGGGTCACATGCCTCATTTGGGGCTTCCCCCATTATTGTTTTGATCACTTGGGATTGTTGCTATCTGGATGTATTGGTCTGGTCTCACATTGCTATAAAGATTCTACCTGAGGCTGGGTAATTGATAAAGAAAAGAGGTTTTTATTTTTTTAATTTATTATTTTTTTTGAGACACAGTCTTGCTCTGTTGCCCAGGCTGGAGTGCAGTGGCACAATCTCGGCTCATTGAAACCTCCGCCTCCCGGATTCAAGTGATTCTCCTGCCTCAGCCTCCTGAGTAGCTGGGATTACAGGCGTGTGCCACCATGCCCAGCTAATTTCTGTATTTTTTAGTAGAGACAGGGTTTCACCATGTTGGTCAGGCTGATCTTGAACTCCTGACCTCATGATCTGCCTGGCTCGGCCTCCCAAAATGCTGGGATTACAGACATGAGCCATCATGCCTGGCCTTTATTTATTATTATTTTTTTTAATATAAGGTCTTACTCTGTTGTCCAGGCTAGAGTGCAGTAGAGAGAAGTTGGCTCAGTGTAACCTCCACCTCCCGGGTTCAAGCAATTCTCCTGCCTCAGCCTCCCAAGTAGCTGAGGTTACAGGTGTCCGCCACCATACCTGGCTAATTTTTGCATTTTCAGGAGAGATGGGGTTTCACCATGTTGGCCAGGATGGTCTTGAACTCCTGACCTCAGATGATCTGCCTGCTTTGGCCTCCCAAAGTGCTGGGAGTACAGGTTTGAGCCACTGCGCCTGGACTGAAAAGAGGTTTAATTGACTCACAATTCTGCATGGCTGAGGAGGACTCAGGAAACTTACAATTATGGCAGAAGGTCAATGGGAAGTAAGGCATGTCTTACATGGCGGCAGCAGAGAAAGAGAGAGAGAGACAGAGAGAGAGAGAGAGAGAGCAAAGGAAATTGCCACTTTTTTTTTTTTTTTTTTTTTTTTTTGAGACAGAGTCTCGCTCTGTCGCCCAGGCTGGAGTGCAGTGGCGGGATCTCGGCTCACTGCAAGCTCCGCCTCCCGGATTCACGCCATTCTCCTGCCTCAGCCTCCCAAGTAGCTGGGACTACAGGCGCCCGCCACTACGCCCGGCTAATTTTTTGTATTTTTAGTAGAGACGGGGTTTCACCGTTTTAGCCGGGATGGTCTCGATCTCCTGACCTCGTGATCCGCCCGCCTCGGCCTCCCAAAGTGCTGGGATTACAGGCGTGAGCCACCGCGCCCGGCCGGAAATTGCCACTTTTAAACCAACAGATCTCGTGAAACCTCCCTCATCAGCACAAAAACAGCATGTGAGAAACCGTCCCCATGATCCAATCACCTCCCACCAGGTCATTCCCTCACACATGGGGATTACAATTTGAGATGAGATTTGGGTGGGGACATGGAGCCAAACCATAACACTGGAAGATGTGTCTGTCTCTGCCCCTGGACTTTGAGTCTCCTGAGGGAAGGGCTGGGGCTATGTTGTCAGTGCCACACACACATCTCAGGGCTGGGCACAGAGGAGGGTTTCAATTATAGTTTGTCGAATGAATAGTGCATGACTTCAGATGTTAGGCAGATCTGTTCATCACAGGATTTCTGAGAAGCAAGGGTGCTGTCTCTTTCTCTTCTCTGCACTTTTTTCCTGACAGGCTTTCTGGAGAACTGAGACTTGAGAGCTGGCACAGTTTGTTCCTGGAGGCCAGCTCTATGCTGCAGGGAAGCGGTTGTGGTTTCTGTGGAAAGTCCCAGAGCAATTCATTTCTTCTTGGTTCCTCCAACCAATCAATCCAATCCAAATTCCTTTGCTGACTCAACACTTTCCCAAATTTTTATTTTTACTTTTGCACAGATGTTTAAAATGAATTATTTAAAACATAGAGAAGTTAAAATAATCTTACAGTGAACACTCATATATACCCATCACCTAGATTCTATTTGTATGATTATTATTATTATTTTTGAGACAGAGTCTCACTTTGTCACCCAGGCTGGAGTGCAGTGGTGTGATCTGGGCTCACTGCAACCTTCACCTCCCAGGTTCAAGCGATTCTCCTGCCTCAGCCTCCTGAGTAGCTGGGATTACAGGTGCCCACCACCACGCCTGGCTAATTTTTGTATTTTTAGTAGAGATGGGGTTTCACCATGTTGGGCAGGCTGGTCTTGAACTCCTGGCCTCAAGTGATTCATCCGCCTTGGCCTCCCAAAATGCTGGGATTACAGGGGTGAGCCACCGTGCCCAGCTCTATTTTTATTTTATCTTTGGACACAGGGTCTCACTCCCATAGCCCAGCCTGGAGTGTAGTGGTGCAATCTTGGCTCACTTCAGCCTCGACTTCTGTGGCTCAGGTGATCCTCCCACCTCAGCCTCCTGAGTAGTTGGGACTAGGGGCATGTGCCACCACGCCTGGCTAATTTTTTTTTTGTAGAGATAGATAGGATTTCGCCCTGTTGCCCAGGCTGGTCTCGAACTCCTGTACTCAAGCCATCTGCCTGCCTTGGCCTCCCAAAGTGCTGGGATTACAGGCATGAGCCACCGTGCCTGGCCCCATCACCTAGATTCTAAATTAATTAACATCTTACTCAACTTGCTTTATCAAGTATTTACCCACCTTTCCATCCATCTATCCATCACTCCTTCTTGCCTTTTCAATGCATTTCAAAGTAAGTTGAAAAGCATATTTATTTAGTTTCTCCTCTTCAGGTAAAATTTACATATGCTGAAATGCACAAAACTTAAGCACATTGTTAGAGGAATTCTGACAAATGTGCAGGCCCGTGCCGCCAAAATCCTTATCTTGAATCAGAACATCACCATCACTCCAGAAGGTTGTCTCCCATCCCTTCCCAGTCAGTCCCTGGGTTTCAGAGAGGAATGTAGTGGGTGGGGTGGGAAGAGGAGGCAGAGGTTAGGCCTAAACCTTGAAGGGCCTCATAGGCCACAATAAGAAATACAATAACAATACAAATAGAACACTATGCTGGATGTTTTTCTTTTTTCTTTTCTTCCCTTTTTTTTTTGAGACAGGGTCTCACTCTGTTGCCCAGGCTGTAGTGCAGTGGTACAATCATAGCTCACTGCAGCCTCAAACTCCTAGGCTCAAGCCATCCTCCCTCCTCAGCCTTGGAAATAACTGGAATTACAGGTGCATGCCACCATGCCAGGCTAATTAAAAAAAAATTTTTTTTTTGTAGAGATGAGTCTCATTATGTTGTCCAGGCTGGTCTCGAACTCTTGGCCTCAAGTGATCTTCACACCTCAGCTTCCCAAAGTGCTGGAATTACAGGTGTGAGCTGCTGTGCCCGGACTATGCTGGATATTTTTTGTTTGCCTCTTCAGGTCCACTCTCCACCTCTCCCCGCCATACTCCTGGGAGTCTGACCATACCTTGGGATCAGCATGAACCACAATGAGCTTTCTGAACCTCTAGCTTTCTGCATCGGTTTGCCCAATGGGGAGACACTGGCAAGAAACTGGAGGGTGGGTATTTATTTCCCCAACTCCCTTCTTGATGTACGGTTGCCTTGGGCTGCCTGTATCTTTCTACCCACTGCCTCCACCCTTGTAAATAGACTCCTTTTTTTTTTTTTTTTTTTTTTTTTTTTTAGACAACAGTCTCTCTCTATCACCCAGGCTGGAGTGCTGTCAGTGGCGCCATCTCGGCTCACTGCAACCTCCGCCTCCTGGGTTCAAGTAATTCTCCTACTTCAGCCTCCTGAGTAGCTGGGATTACAGGCGGGCGTCACCACGCCTGGCTAATTATTGTATTGTTAGTAGAGATGGGGTTTCACAATGTCGGCCAAGCTAGTCTCAAACTCTTCACTCAGATGATCCGCCAGCTTTGGCCTCCCAAAATGCTGGGATTACAGGCGTGAGCCAGTGTGCTCAGCCCGATACTTACTTTTAATTACATGTAGATTAAGGCGCGGTTTATGCAGAAATTTCTAGGGAAGGGGTAATGACTTTTGGCTTGTGGGGTTATTGGCATGGAAAGGGGCAGTAACTCCCAGGTGTTGCCATGGCAACGGTAAACTGACGTGGCATACTGGTGGGCGTGTATTATGGGAAACTGCTTAGCTAGTCCTCAATTTGGTCCCATACCCAAGTCCCACCTCTGGAGGTGAGTCCAGCCTCCCACCTCAAAAACAGTGGCATTGGCCAGGCGCGGTGGCTCACGCCTGTAATCCCAGCACTTTGGGAGGCCAAGGCAGGCAGATCTCTTGAAGTCAGGAGTTTGAGACCAGCCTGGCCAACATGGTGAAAACCCATCTCTACTAAAAATACAAAAAAAATTAGTCAGGCCTGGTGGCGGGCCTGACTAATCCCAGCTACTCAAGAGGCTGAGGCAGGAGAATCGCTTGAACCCAGGAGGCGGAGGTTGCAGTGAGCCGAGACCATGCCGCTGCACTCCTGCCTGGGCAACAGAGTGATACTCTGTCTCGAACTCCCCCCACAACAAAAAAACAAAACAAAAAAGCCCCCCAAGCCCCAGAAAAACAAACAAAAAACAGTGGCATCTTGGTGGGGCGCGGTGGCTCATGCCTGTAATCCCAGCACTATGCGAGGCTGAGATGGGAGGATCACTTGAGCCCATGAGTCTGCCCAGCTTGGGCAATATAGCGAGACCCCATCTCTGCTAAAATACAAAAATTAGCTGAGTGGTACGCACCTGTGGTCTCAGCTACTAGGGAGTTTGAGTGCTCACCTAGCAAGCTAAAGTGCAGTAAGATAATCCAGAATGCAAGTACCACTCTAGTGACAACCATCATCACTAGTGTCATCAAGGGCACTTCATATAAAAGTGCCAGTGTGCATCAGGGATAAGAGTGAGACAACATCCACTGGTTCACGGTGAACCGATGAAACAAGAACAACAATTAGGAATTTATTAGGATCAACAGGACTATCCTAAATATCAGCAGTAAATTAGCACATCACAAGAAACTCATGAACATGGGTTAACAAAATGAACCACTGATAAGCCAACTTTTCTGTGTCAAAAGGTGGGAGGTTCACTTGAGCCCAGGATGACGAGGCTGCAGAGAGCCGAGATTGCGCCACCGCACTCCAGCCTGGGTGACAGAGCAAGACCCTGCCTCAAAACAAACAAACAAAACAAGAACAGTGGCACCTTAACTGTTAATTATACGAGAAACTGGGAGCTCCTGTAGGGTTTTCACCCTGCAAGTCAGATTGGTGTTTTCCATGCGCCCTCTGGCGGCTTGGAGCAGCAATGTCAGCTAAGCATCAGCATCCAGCCCCTGGCTGGACTCTCGGAAAGTACTACTGCTATTTGGCGAATGCACTTGCACCAACATTCACCTAAATCTGCAGCAGACACAGGGACAAAGCTCTGTCTGGGTTTCCAGGACATCTTCTCAGAGGTCGTGATGGATAAGACCAGGAGCGGGATCTTAAATAACAAGGAGCACGTGCAGAGGCCTGAGCGAACATGCCTTGTGTCCGGAACTGGGTGCAGCAACCTGGGAGAGAGCAGGGAGATGAGGCTGGGGAATTAGGTCAGGCCCATTTGGGAAAGAACCTTGGCATTGGGACTTTGTGCTGTAAACCAGTTTGGAGATTGTGAACCATCAAGCTTCAAAGACAAAATTGGAGGGTCAAGCATTAAGGATGTCAACTTTTTATTTTGTTAGTAGGGTCTTAAAAAAACAACTATTCTTATTCATTCTAAAAGCTTTTAATGAACACCTACTGTGTGTTAGGGAATGTTCTGGGCAGGATCTGAGTCTGCATTGCTCACTATTGTATACCCTCAGAGTCTAGAGTCATGGAAAGGCCCCAAAAGAAGGGATGAATGAAATGAAAGATCATTGCTAAAGCAAGGTCAGGGTGGAGATGAACTGCCAGGGGTGAGTCCAAGCTGGGTGAGATTGTGGATGAGTTTGGAGACAGAAAAGAATAAAGGTGAAAGTGCTTAGTCCGGCCAGGCGTGTTGGCTCATGACTGTAATCCCAGCACTTTGGGAGGCTGAGGCAGGCAGATCATGAGGTCAGGATTTCGAGACCAGCATGGCCAACATGGTGAAACCCCACCTCTAATAAAAATACAAAAATTAGCCAGGCGTGGTGGCAGGTGCCTGTAATCCCAGCCCCTCGGGAGGCTGAGGCAAGATAATTGCTTGAACCCGGGAGGTGGAGGTTGCAGTAAGCCAAGATTGCCCCACTGCACTCCAGCCTGGTGACAGAGCAAGACTCTGTCTCAAAAAAAAAAAAAAGAGAAAGTGTTCAGTCCTTGAACTGTCAAAAGACAAAATCACAACAAATTTGCTTATAGATTCCCTCCCACCTCAGCCTCCCAAATAGCTGGGATTACAAGTATGCACCATCATGCCTGGCTAATTTTTATGTCTTTACAAAAGATACATGTTGGCCAGGCTGGTCTCGAACTACTGACCTCAAGTGATCCACCTGCCTTGGCCTCCCAAAGTGCTGGGATTACAGGCATGAGCCACTGTGCCCAGCCTGCTTAAAGATCTTAACTGGTTATTATTTGTGATTTTAGAATTGGGCAACATCGAATTATAAGAGACAGAATGAGTATTCTGATGAGTCGAGCAAAAGAGGTTGGTTTTATAGACAGAAAGGGCAGAGACTGCAGAAACAGAGAAGAAAAAGTGTATTGGCCATTTCAAAATTACTTTCCTTGTAAAGGTTAAAGGACAGGGGTTTCCTTATCATGCAGGCTAAAACTGGCCTGCTTGGGGACTTGGCTGTTATCTTTCACTCTCCTGATTTTTTGGAAGGTCAGGTAAAACAATTGAGTTTTGGCTTGGTGATGTGGAAGTTAGCACGAGTGACTCCATTTTGGTTTGGTCTGTTGGGCTTTGCACAGAAGCTTGGTCCAAACTAGTGGCCTCTGGTAAATTTCATTGAACAATATTATTATTAGTTTTTTTCTTTCTTGAAAGAGGGCCTCACTCTGTCACCCAGGTTGGAGTGCAGTGGCGTGATCATAGCTCACTGCAGTCTTGACCTCCCAGGCTCAAGCCATCTTCCCAGTTCAGCCTGGAGAGTAGCTGGGATTACAGGTGTGTGCCACCACACCTGTCTAATTTCTTGTAGAGATGGGGTCTCACTTTGTTGCCCAGGTTGGTCTTGAACTCCTGGGCTCAAGCAATTCTCCCACCTTGGCCTTCCAAAGCATTGGGATTACAGGCATGAGTCACCATGCCTGGCCAATAATGGTTAACTTTTGAAACACTCCAGTGGCTTCTCTTCTCATTTAGCGGAAGCACTGTGCCCTTGGCATGCCCACAGGGTCTGGCCCTGACCGCTGTGCTGGCCGCAACTTCTTGCACTAACCACTGCCTGCTCCGCTGCAGCCACGCAGGTCTCCTGGATGAGCCTTAGCCACAGAGACCCATTCCCTTCTCAGAACCTTTGCACTTCCTGTTCCTTCTGCCTGCAATGCCCATCCTGCATTTACCAACAGCTATGCGACAAACACTCATGGCACCAAGCACAGTTCTGAGCTGTGAGAGGAAAATAAATATTGGGGCCCCAAAATCACCAAAGCTAAAGGGAAAAGTCAAGCTGGGAACAGCTTAGGGTGAACCTGCCTCCCATTCTATTCAAAGTCACCGCTCTGCTCACTGAGATAAATGCATATCTCATTGCCCCATTTGGAGAGGCTAATCAGAAACTGAAAAGAATGCAACTACCAGCATGGTGGCTTATGCTTGTCATCCTAGCACTTTGGGAGTTCGAGGCGGATGGTTCACCTGAGGTCAGGGGTTCGAGACCAGCCTGGTCAACATAGCGACACCCCCGTCTCTACTAAAAATGCAAAAATTAGCCAGGCGTGGTGGTGGGTGCCTGTAATCCCAGTTACTCGGGAGGCTGAGACATGAGAATAGCTTGAACCCGGGAGGCGGAGGTTGCAGTGAGCCAAGATCTCACGATTGCACTCCAGCCTGGATGACAGAGTGAGACTCCGTCTCAACAACAACAACAGCAGCAGCAACAGCAACAACAACAACAAATTAGCCGGGCATGGTGGCACATGCCTGTAATCCCAGTTACTCTGGAGGCTGAGGCAGAAGAATCACTTGAACCCAGCAGGCAGAGGCTGCAGTGAGACAAGGTTGCGCCACTACGCTCCAGCCTAGGGCAACAGAGCAAGACTCTGTCTCAAAAAAAAAAAAAACAAAAAACAAAAAACAAAAAGAATGCAACTGGCTGGGCGCAGTGGCTCATGCCTGTTATCCCAGCACTTTGGGAGGCCGAGACTGGCGGATCACCTGAGGTCAGGAGTTCAAGACCAGCCTGGCCGACATGGCGAAACCCTTGCTCTACTAAAACATACAAAAATTAGCTGGGTGTGGTCGTGGGCACCTGGAATCCCAGCTACTTGGGAGACTGAGGCAGGAGAATCACTTGAACCCAGGAGGTGGAGGTTGCAGTGAGCCGAGATAGCACCACTGTACTCCAGCCTGGGTTACAGAGTGAGACTCCATTTCAAAAAAATGAATGCAACCACTTCTCTCTTATCTACCTATGATCTGGAAGCCCCCTCCTTTCTTCCAGTTTCCTGCCTTCACCTTGAGTTGTCCCACCTTTCTGGACTGAACCAATGTACATCTTACACCTACTGATTGATGTCTCATGTCTTCCTAAAAGGTATAAAACCAAGCTGTGCCCCTACCACCTTGGGCACGTGTCATCAGGACCTCCTGAGGCTGTGTCATGTGCGTGCATTCTCAACCTTGGTCTCCTAATTAACTTTCTGAATTAACTGAGACCTGTCTCAGATTTTCGGGGTTCACAGAGCAATTTATAAATCTTAACCCTGGTGATATGGTTTGGCTCTGTGTCCCCCCAAAACCTCATCTCAAATTGTAATCCCCACATGTGGAGGGAGGGACCTGGTGGGAGGTGATTCGATCTTGGGGGTGGTTCCCCCATGCAGTTCTCATGAGATCTGATGGTTTATAAGTGGCCGTTTCCCCTGCACTGTCTCTCCTGCCACCTTGTGAAGAAGGTGCTTGCTTCCCCTTCCCCTTCCGCCATGAGTGTAAGTTTCCTGAGGCTTCCTCAGCAATGTGGAACTGCAGGTCAATTAAACCTCTTTTGTTTATAAATTACCCAGTCTCAGGTAGTATCTTTTTTTTTGAGACAGAGTTTCCCTCTTGTTGCCCAGGCTGGAGTGCAGTAGTGCGATCTCGGCTCACAACCTCTGTCTCCTGGATTCAAGTGATTCTCCTGCCTCAGCCTCCTGAGTAGCTGATTACAGGTGCCTGCCACCATGCCTGACTTTTTTTTTTTTTTTGTATTTTTAGTAGAGACGGGTTTTCATCATGTTAGCCAGGCTGGTCTTGAACTCCTGACATCGGGTGATCTACCCACCTCAGCCTCCCAAAGAGTAGGGATTACAGGCATGAGCCACCTTGTCTGGCCAGTATCTTTATAGCAGGTAGTATCTTTATAGCAGTGTGAGAATGGACTAATACACCCTTTAATCTTTTCCTCACTTCCTTCAACACTAATGATTTTTGTGAACATTTATCTACTAACATATATTTAACATTATCTTTTTAAAAATTTTTTTGTGAGAGGGGGTCTTGCTCTGTCACCCAGCCTGGGGTGCAGTGGTGTGATCGCAGCTCATGGCAGCCTTGACCTCCTAGGCTTAGGCGATCCTTCTGCCTTAGTTTTCCAAGTAGCTGGGACCACAAGTGTGCACCACCATGCCTAGCTAATTTTTAGATTTTTTTTTTTTTTTTTTGAGACAGAGTCTCGCTCTGTCACCAGGCTGGAGTGCAGTGGTGCCATCTTGGCTCACTGCAACCTCTGCCTCCCAGGTTCAAACAATTCTCTTGCCTCAGCCTCCTGAGTAGCTGGGATTACAGGTGTATGCCACCATGCCTGGCTAATTTTTATATTCGTAGTAGAGATGGGGTTTCATTATATGTTGACCAGGCTGGTCTCAAATTCCTGACCTCAGGTGATCCACCTGCCTCAGCCTCCCAAAGTCCTGGAATTACAGGCGTGAGCCACCACACTCGGCCTTTTTAAATCACGTAAATAATACACAGACTTAATCCTGCTATAGAAATTCAAATGTAGAGTCAACCGTGAAAGTTTCCCTTGTCAAGATTCCCTGGCATCTCCTCTTCCATTCTACTTAGGACCTTGGAATGGGGAGATGCTGCATTTTGGAGGTAAAAATTCCAATAGTAAAGTGAAAGCTAGCATTTACTAAGCAGTCCCCATGACCCAGGCACATATGAACTTTTGAAGGTTATCAGAATCAAAATGGAGTCACTCATGTTAAAAAAAAGAAAAAGAAAAAAAAGCTCCGACCAACAGAGTGAAGGAAAGCCATGGAGAGAGGGTTCTCATACTTGTATGACTGATCACAAAAACTATCACAAAAAAACTGCAAAAAACACAATCTCACACAAAGACCATTGCAAACTTACACAGAAAAATACTTCTGCAAGGACGTTTGCCCAGCAACTGCCTGTCCAACCCCAGACTGGCATCATCTTTGTGATTCATTTTTCTAGCCAAAGATGATTATTTCAAAACCATTATGTAATTCTCCTCATTTTTTTTCTTTAAAAACCTTTGTCTTCTTTGACCTCCTTGAATATGTATAACACTCCTATTCCCATTGCAATTCTCTGTTCTTGAATAAACTTTTTTTTTTTTTTTGAGATGTAGTTTCACTCTTTCGCCCATGCTGGAGTGCAGTGGCATGAACTTGGCTCACTGCAACCTCCACCCCCCGGGTTCAACTGATTCTCCTGCCTTGGCCTCCCTAGCAGCTGGGATTACATGCACCTGCCATGATGCCTGGCTAATTTTTGTATTTTTAGTAGAGATGAGGCTTTGCCATGTTGGTCAGGTTCGTCTCGAACTCCTGACCTCAAGTGATCCACCCGCCTCGGCCTCCCAAAGTGCTAGGATTACAGACGTGAGCCACCTCGCCCAACCAATTTTTGTTTCTTTTAGAGAGCCTCTCGCTGTTTGTTATCTAGGTTGACAACTAATTTAATCACAATAAAATCCACACTCCAAGCTAGGAGTGGCCTGTGCCTGTAGTCTCAGCTACGTGGGAGGCTAAGACAGGAGAATAGCTTGAGCCCAGGAGGTTGAGGCTGCAGTGAGCCATGATTGTGCCACTATACTCCAGCCTGGGCGATAGAGCAAGACCCTGCCTTAAAAAAAAAAATGGCTGGACACGGTGGCTCACGCCTGTAATCTCAGCACTTTGGGAGGCTGAGGTGGGTGGAGTACTTGCGTTCAGGAGTTCGAGACCAGCCTGGGCAATATGGCAAAACCCTGTCTCTACTAAAAATACAAAAAATTAGCCGGGCATGGTGGTGCATGCCTGTAATCCCAGCTACTCTGGAGGCTGAGGCAGGAGAATCACTTGAACCCAGGAGATGGAGGTTGCAGTGAGCCAAGATCGCGCCACTGCACTCCAACCTGGGTGACAGAGCAAGACTCTGTCTCTAAACAAAAACATAAACAAACAAAAAACTTCCTAAATCCATTATCCCCATACTCTGATCTGTGCCTGCCTCTTAGATGCCGCCTCCTGCCATTCTGCCACTTGCCTCTTCTTGCCAGCCTTCTTTCCATTGCTCACACACACCAATCTCATGCCCGCTTCTACACCTTGGCACCACCATTCCCTCTGCTGGGAAAACCTCCCTCATGGTCTCTTCATTCACACGTGGCTGGGATGTCATCTCCTTTTGGTGGGCGTCCCTGACTACCTTATCGAAAGCAGTATCTCCTCTCCCCATCACAGCCTCCGTCCTTTAGTCAGTTGTGCTTCTCTTCAGAGCACTTACTTCTCTCTACCTGACTTCATATCGTAGATCTGTTTGCTTTTTATGCATATGGAACTTTCTCTTGGTCACTGTTTTGGTTTTTTACAGACAGGGTATTGCTCTGTTGCCCAGGCTGGAATGTAGTGGTGTGATCATAGCTCACTTCAGCCTCAATCTCCTGGGCTTAGGTGATCCTCTCACCTTGACCTCCCAAAGTGCTGGAACTATGGGCATGAGCTACCACCCCTGGCTAATTTTTAATTTTTTTTTTCTTCTTTTTGAGATGGAGTTTCGCTCTCGCCTCCAGGCTGGAGTGCATTGGCGCGATCTCGGCTCACCGCAACCTCGGCCTCCCAGGTTCTTAATTTTTTTTTTTTTTTTTTTTTTTAGAGATGGGGTCTTGCTATGTTACCCAGGCTGGCTTTCAATTCCTGGGCTCAATCAATCCTCCCACCTTGGCCTCCCAAAGTGCTGGGGTTACAGGCGTGAGCCATCATGCCTAGTCTGTCTTGGTCATTGTTGTCTCTTTCTCACACAGAGCAAGAGGAACCCCATAAACTGTTGTTTCCTGAATGATGGAACCATCTTGTTGGGTTAGACCTGCTCTTATCCCATTTTATAGATGAGAGATCTAAGGCTCAGGGAAGTTAAGTCACTCAGCTGACAGGTAATGGAGATGGGTTTCAAATCCAAGCAGGCTAGCTTCAGGATTTGGCTGAGCAGCTGCAGGTTTCTTGTATTGGTTAGTTACAATAATGCTGTGTAACAAACCACCCCAAAGCTCAGTAGCATGTTTTTTTAGCTTCTGAGTTTGTGGGTAGGGCATTTAGCTAGGCTTGGCTGGATGGTTCTTCTGGGTCATCTGTACCTTCTCATATGTCTGGAACTCAGCTGTCAGCTATTCCAGGTTGGTCTGCAACAGGTTGGTCTGCAAAACCAATCACGGCGGTTTTGCTTCAAGATGGCGTCACTCTTGACATGCAACAGGCTGCTTTCCCATACACGGCCAAGCCCAGAGTCCTCTCATCAGCTCAAAGTTCTTGGGCTCTGCTTCCAGGTAGGAGAGTCAGAGGCCGTTTAGGGGAGGACCTCAGGGAGCTCCCTTGTATGGCTTCTTTAAAGGACGCTCCCAGGTTCAGGATGCACAGGGTTTTGGCGGCGGGGGCCGGGGTGGAGGCGGCGGGGGGGGGGGGGGCGGGGTAGGGGGTGGGGAGAACGGAAATGAAGTAGGAGAGAGTAGTCAAGCAAAGAAGCTGTTGTGTCTGCATTTGCCATTTGGGTGTGGTTGTCTAGAGGAAGTTGGCAGGAAGCTTTGAAGGCATTCACATTTGCTGGTTGATGAGAAGTGAATGATTTGATGTTATTTGCTCTTAGTCATTGCATTATTTGCTCTTAGTCACTGCATTATCAGTTTTTGTTTTTGTTTTTTTAAATATATGTATGTATCTTTTCATTATATGTCTATGTTTTCTTAATTAATCTTAATCTTTCTTAATCTTAAAATGAAGATTTGCCTTTAGCTCCGTTAAGCATTGATTTGTAAATAAAGGTGCAGATAATGAGGGTTTCATGCATCTCAAGACCTTTGGAGCTCATTTCAAAATCTTTTCTCGTGTGCGCCTCATAGACCTGGATTCCATCCTGGTTCCATGTACGTGATTTGCAGAAGCCACTTAATTGTCATGACAGCTCTATGAAGCCAGACTGTGATTATTGCCATTTTATAAGCCAGGGAAATTTAGTGGTTTGTACAAACCAGTTTCCCAGGATTTTGGCTGCTTGTGAAAAATAACCAGACCCAGATGATTCCAGATGATTTCCCTGAGTAGAATGGGCTGGCTGGGCTGTCACCGGCAGATTAGAGACAGCTGTCTTGGCATGAGGGCCTGAGCCAGGGATCCCAGCTGGGTCTCATCTCTCCAGCATCACAGTAGAGGGCTGGTCTGGTCTGCAGCTGTCATTCTTACCGTTACTGTGGGTGTGGGCGTTTCCTGGTTCCTGATCTTCTGGAGTAACCTCCCTACCCTCAGGGCTCTTGGGCTTGGAGTGCCTTATATCTGTAATAGCAACGATGCTTTTACAGTTGGTGAACCCCAATACATAGATAGACAGATGGATATATAACTCAAACTCTCCGATAAGCATCTTTCAACCTTCCCTCTGAGTCATCATTAAGGACCTTTGGGTTTTTTCCCCTGTAGAGGCAATATTTGAGAGATTTATTGTTCCTGAGGATGCATTTGGAATGTTGGTTAATCGCCCAGGCTGGAGTGCACTGGTACCATCATGGCTCACTGCAGCCTTGACCTGCTGGGCTCAAGTGATCCTCCTGCCTCAGCCTCCTAAGTAGCTGAGACTATAGGCATGCACCACCATGCCCAGCTAATTTTTAAAATTATTTTTATTTTATTTATTAAAAAAATAGAAATGGGGTCTCGCCGTGTTACCCAGACTGGTCTTGAACTCCTAGGCTCAAGCAATACTCCTGCCTTGGCCTCCCAAAGTGCTGGGATTACAGGCATGAGCCACCATGCCTGGCTAATTTTAAAATTTTTTTCTAGAGTTGGGGGTCTCACTATGCTGCCCAGGTTGGTCTTGAAATCCTGGGTTCAAGCAATCCTGCTGCTTCTGCCTCCCAAAGTGCTGGGAGTACAGGCATGGGTCACCATGCCCAGCCCTAATAAGCATTTATTGATTTATCGATTGACGTGGACCGGGGCTGCTGTAGTCATCTGGAAGCTCAATTGGAGCTGGAGGATCTGCTTCTAAGATGGCTCCTTCACATGACTGGCAGGCTGTGCCTGCTGTTGGTAGAAGGCTTCAGTTCCTCAGCCCCATTGGCCTTTCTGAAGGCTGCCTTGTAGGGGCCAGCCCTACGGGGCTTAGCGGGTGTTCTCCCCATGTGCGGAGACGAGAGATTGTAATAAATAAAGACACAAGACAAAGAGATAAAGAGAAAACAGCTGGGCCCAGGGGACCACTACCATCAAGACGTGGACACCGGCAGCGGCCCCAAAAGGCTGGGCTCGCTGATATTTATTGCGTAGAAGACAAGGGGGCAGGGTAAGGAGGGTGAATCTTCTAAGTGATTGACAAGGTGAAGCAAGTCACGTGATCATAGGACGGGGGCCCTTCCCTCTTGGGTAGCCTAAGCAGAGAGAGGGAAGGCAACGTACGTCAGCGTTTTCTTCTCTGCACTTATAAGAAAGATCAAAGACTTTAAGACTTTCACTATTTCTTCTACCCTTATCTACTACGAACTTCAAAGAGGAGCCAGGAGTGCAGGAGGAGCATGAAAGTGGACAAGGAGCATGACCATTGAAGCACAGCACTACAGGGAGGGGTTTAGGCCTTCGGATGACTGCGCGCAGGCCTGGATAATATCCAGCCTTCCATAAGAAGCTGGTGGAGCAGAGTGTTCCCTGACTCCTCCAAGGAAAGGAGACTCCCTTTCGCTGTCTGCTAAGTAATGGGTGCCTTCCCAGACACTGGCGTTACCGCTTGACCAAGGAGTCCTCAAGCGGCCCTTATGCGGGCGTGACAGAGGGCTCACCTCTTGCCTTCTAGGTCACTTCTGACAATGTCCCTTCAGCACCTGACCGTATACCCGCCGGTTATTCCTAGGTTATATTAGTAATGCAACGAAGAGTAATATTAAAAGCTAATGATAAATGTTTATAATAATGATTGATAATTGTCCATGACCATCTCTATCTCTAATTTGTATTACGACTATTCTTATTCTAACTATTTTTTTTTATTATACTGAAACAGTTTGTGCCTTCAGTCTCTTGCCTCGGCACCTAGGTAATCCTCCGCCCACACCCGTTTAGTTGACTCGAGACAGTACAGATCCACCAAAGTGGCTGAAACCTACATACACCAAAAGCATGGCCTTGATGAGGACGAATTTTTCCAAATTTCCTGGAGGGACTTAGAGAATCTTAAGAAGTTTCCAGAAAGCTAAGATGTGTTTCCAGGGCTCTGTGAAGGAAGAAGTTGGTCCCCTTTCAGGGTGTTGTGTGTCCCCATTGGGGTCAAAACCCTGGGAATCCCTGACCTGTGCCATGTCTTTTAAAATTTTCAGGCTAACATCCTTCTGGGGGAACCCAAACCCTGCCTGGGGAATAACTTGAAGCATCTCAGTTCTCAAATTGCCCCCTGCTTACCCCTAAAAGGAGACCACACAGAGCTCCACCAACCTCGAGGCAGGTATGTATGTGGAGGGAGAAGAGCAGGAAGAGATTCAGAGCAGTGTTTCTTTCTTCTCTTTTCTTCTTCTTCGTTTTTAGATTTATTTATTTGTTTGTTTGTTTATTTGTTTGTTTGACAGAGTCTCACTCTGTCACCCAGGCGGGAGAGCAGTGGCAGGATCTTGGCTCACTGCAACCTCCTTGTCCTGGGTTCAAGCGATTCTCATGCCTCAGCCTTCGAGTAGCTGGGATTGTAAGTACACGCCACCACACCTGGCTAATTTTTGCATTTTTAGGACAGACCGGGATTCACCATGTTGGCTTGGCTGATCTTGAACTCCTGACCTCAAGTGATCCACCCAACTTGGTCTCCCGAAGTGCTGGGATTACAGGTGTGAGCCATGGCACCCAGCCATTTCTTTCTCTTTTTCTCTCTTTCTCTCTTTTCCTTCCTTCCTTCCTTCCTTCTTTTTCTTTATCTGTCTCTCTTTCTCTCTTTCTCCCTTCCCTTCCCTTTTTCTTTTTCTTTTCTTTCTTTCATCTTGTTCTGTTGCCCAGGCTGGAGTAGTGCAATCATAGCTCATGGCAGCCTTGAACTCCTGAGCTCAAGTGATCCTCCCTAACCACCCAGCTTTTCTTATTTCATCTATCTTTCCAATTAATTTGAGATCAACCCCAAACATATCATTTCACTGCTACATAATGAGGAGACAAAAACTTTAGTATCTTATAAGAACTCTTAAAAGAAAATGACCATAATATATTATCATATCTAAAAGTTATTAATAACTTGTTAATATAATTAACTATCTGGTCAGTGCCTTAAATTTGACTGGGGTCTCATAAATACTCCTTCTTTTTTTTTTTTTTTTTTTTTTTGAGACAGTGCCTCACTCTGTTATCCAGGCTGGAGTGCAGTGGTGTGATCATGGTTCACTGCAGCCTATTGACCTCCTGGGCTCAAGCAATCCTCTTGCTTCAGCCTTCCAAGTAGCTGGGACTGCAGGTACACCACCATGTCTGGGTTACTTATTTTTTTCTTTTTTTAGAGATGGTCTTCATGTGCTGCCCAGGCTTGTCTCCAACTCCCAGGCTCAAGAGGTGCTCCCTCCTTGGCCTCCCAAAGTGCTGGGATTACAGGTGTGAGCCACCACACCCCGCCATAAAACATTTCTTGCACAGTTGGTTTATTCAACTCATGAGAGAAACAAAGATCTACACATTGCATTTCATGGATCAGTATCTTAATTCTGTCTTAATTTTTGGATTCTCCCTCTTCCTCACTCCCTTCTCTTACAGTACGTTTGCTGAATAAATAGGGTCCTTTTTCTCATAGGGTTTGCAACATCTGGGATTTTGCTGGCTGCATCCCAGTTGAATCATTTATCATCCTTCTCCACTACGTGTTTCTCAAAAGGGAGACCATGATAATTTTTAAAAAATTAGCTTTATTGGCTGGGTGTGGTGGCTCATGCTTGTAATCCCAGCACTTTGGGAGGCCGAGGCGGGTGAATCACCTGAGCTCAGGAGTTCAAGACCAGCCTGGCCAACATGGCGAAACCCCATTTCTACTAAAAATACAAAAATTAGCCGGGTGTGGTGGCAGGCACCTATAATCCCAGCTACTCGGGAGGCTGAGGCAGGAGAGTCAAGTGAACCCAGGAGGCAGAGGTTGCAGTGAGCCAAGATCATGACACTGCACTCCAGCCTGGGTGACGAGAGTGAAACTCTGTCTCAAAAAAAAAAAATAGCTTTATTGAGGTGTAATTGATATGCAAAAGCTGCACATATTTGAGGTATACAGCGATGAGCTTTGATGTATGTATTCACCTGTGAAACCATCACCACAACCAGGGTAATGGTGAGAAATCAGCTCTCTCCTTCATTGTGGTGGGAGTGTAAATTGGTACAACTTTAATGGAGACAAATTTGACATCTCTTCATGTAACCAGCACAAACCCTCTTTGGTTCACCAATCCCACTATCCCACTATTCCACTTCTCACACTTGTGGCAAATGATACGTTTATAAGGGTGTATGTTGCAGCATTGTCTGAAATATAAAATGATTAGAAAAATCTCAGTGTCCAATACCAGGGTATAGTAAAACAGTCATGTAACACTCATGGAATACATGGCCACTGTTCTCAGTGCTCTACAAATAATCATTCATTTAATTTTCACAATAACTGGATGAGGTAGGTGCTATAATTAGGCTTTTTTTTTTTTTTTTTTTTTTTTTTTTGAGATAGAGTCTTGCTCTGTCACCCAGGCTGGAGTGCAATGATGTGATCTCGGCTCACTGCAACCTCCACATCCCAGGTTCAAGTGATTCTCCTGCCTCAGCCTCCTGAGTAGCTGGGATTACGGGTGCGCATCACCATGCCTGGCTAATTTTTGTATTTTTAGTAGAGATGAGGTTTCACCATGTTGGTCATGCTGGTCTCGAACTCCCGACCTCATGATCTGCCCACCTTGGTCTCCCAAAGTGCTGGGATTACAGGCATCAGCCTCTGTGCCCAGCTGGCTCATTTTAAAGATGGGGAAGCTGGGGCACAGAGAGGTTAAGTAGCTTGTCTAAGACCACACAGCCAGCCAAGGCTGCACTCACACCCAGGCAGTCTGTCTAGGGAGCCTGCGGTCTTTTCTGCTGTGTTGCAGTAGTCCAATTATGATTGTGCCATTGATGCAGCAATAATTAGTGGCTGGCTAATTATTTTATTTTTTGTAGAGACGAGGTCTCACTTTGTTGCACAGGCTGGTTTTGAACTCCTGGGTTCAAGCAATTCTCCCACCTTGGCCTCCCAAAGTGCTGGGATTATAGGCGTTGAGTCACTGTGCCTGCCTTTATGAGAATTATCCATGTTGTTGCATGGCATTCATTCTCATTGATGTATATAGCATTCCACTGTGATTTATTTATTCATTCTAACTGTTGAGGGCATTTGGGTTGCTGCCGATCTCTGGCAATTACAAATAGTGCTGCTAGGAACATTCCTGTACAGGTCATTTGGAGAACATATGTATGCATTTCTGTTGGGTATGTAGGCCAGGACCTGAAGGGCAAGGTCATAAGGTATGCATATGTTTATGCTAAATACTGACAGTTTTCCGCAATGGTTGTATATTTGAATCATGAGATTGTATTTCTCTTTCTATTTTTTTGTAGAGACGGGGTCTCACTATGTTGCCCAGACTGGTCTTGAACTCCTGGACTCAAGTGAGTCTCCCACCTCGACCTCCCAAAGTGCTGGGATTACAGGGGTGAGCCACCTGGCCCAGCCAGCAGTGACATTTCTGAATAGGCGAGGTCATGTGCGGCTGGGTTTTCCAGAGGATTTGGCTGTAGAGAGCTGAGGTGGGGAGAGCCCCCTTGTGGCTGGAGAGGGAATGTGAGCACCTGGGGCCCTGTTCTCCCCACCCCAGTGTATTCTCCACCAGGCTGGTCCTGCATTCTGATCCTTTGCGTATCTTGAAAGTACTGATACACTAGTTGTTGATTCTATTCTGTTTTATTTCAAACTTTAAAAATTTAACGTTTAAAATGGAGATAACTTACAGCATAAAACTGAAGTATAAAGCTCAATGAATTTATGTACATATCTTTGTAACCACCACCTAGGTCAGGATATAGAGCATTCCCGTCATATTAGAAGGTTCCTTTGTGCATTCTCCCACCCAATAGCGTGCAGAGGTGACCATTTTCTCATTTCTGTCACCACAAGTTAGGTTTGCCTGTTCCTAATGCTTATATAAAATGCATATACAATTATGTCTAGCTTCTTTCTTTTCTTTTGGTGTCCAGCTTTCTTTCTTTCTTTCTTTCTTTCTTTCTTTCTTTCTTTCTTTCTTTCTTTCTTTCTTTCTTTCTTTCTTTCTTTTTCTTTCTTTCTTTCTTTCTGTCTCTCTCTCTCTTTCTTTCTCTTTCTCTTTCCTTTCTTTTTTTTTTTTTTTTGATGGAGCCTTACTCTGTCGCCCAGGCTGGAATGCAGTGGTGCGATCTTGGCTCACTGCAACCTCCACCTCCTGGGTTCAAGCAATTCTCCTGCCTCAGCCTTCCAAGTAGCTGGGACTACAGGTGCACACCACCATGCCCAGCAATTTTTTTTGTATTTTTAGTAGAAAGGGGGTTTCACCATATTGGTCAGGCTAGTCTAGAACTTCTGACCTCAGGTGATCCATCTGCCTTGGCCTCCCAAAATGCTGGGATTACAGACGTGAGCCACCACACCCGGCTTAGCTTCTTTGCTTTTCTTTTCATTTCTTTTTATTTTTTATTTTTTTGAGACGGAGTTTCACTCTGTCACCCAGGTTGGAGTGCAGTGGCGCGATCTCAGCTCAATGCAACCTCCGCCTCCTGGGTTCAAGTGATTCTCCTGCCTCAGCCTCCCAAGTAACTGGGACTACAGGCATGCACTACCACGCCCGGCAATTTTTTTTTTTACAGAATCTCACTCTGCCGCCAGGCTGGAGTGCAGTAGCGCGATCTCAGCTCACTGCAACCTCTGCCTCCCGGGTTCATGAGATTCTCCTGCCTCACCCTCCCGAGTAGCTGGGACTACAGGCACGCGCTGCCACGCCCAGCTAATTTTTGTATTTTTAGTAGAGGCGGGGCTTCACCATGTTGGCCAGGGTGGTCTTGATCTCCTGACCTCGTTATCCGCCTGCCTCGGCCTCCCAAAGTGCTGGGACTGCAGGTGTGAGCCACTGCGCCCAGCCCTGTCTGGCTAATTTTTGCATTTTTAGTAGAGACGGGTTTCACCATGTTGGCCAGGGTGGTTTTGAACTCCTGACCTCAAGTAATCCACCCACCTTGGCCTCCCAAAGTGCTGAGATTACAGGCGTGAGCCATTGCATCTGGCGGTGTCTAGCTTCTTCTTCTTTTTTTTTTCTTTTGAGACGGAGTTTTGCTCTTGTTGCCCAGGCTGGAGTGCAATGGCGCGACCTTGGCTTACCGCAAACTCCGCCTCCCAGGTTCAAGTGATTCTCCTGCCTCAGCCTCCCAAGTAACTGGGATTACAGGCATGCGCCACCACACCTGGCTAATTTTGTATTTTTAGTAGAGATGGGTTTCTCCATGTTGATCAGGCTGGTCTCGAACTCCCAACCTCACGTGATCCATCCGCCTTGGCCTCCTGAAGTGCTGGGATTATAGGCGTGAGCCACTGCGTCTGGCAGTGTCTAGCTTCTTTCACTCAATATTATGTCATGATATTTGACCATGCTGTTGCATGTTGGTCCATGTGCTGTTATTTTTTAAAATTGCTGTGTGGCATTCCATTTTATGACTATACCACGTTTATTTATTCAAATGTATTGTTGATGGACATTTGGGCTCTTTCTGATTTTCGGCTACTATGAATAGAGTTGCTAGAAGCAGTCGTGTACGTAGACATGCAATCATTTTTCTTGGGTATATTCCCAGATGTGGATTGCTGGGCCATAGGAGATACATATGTTTAGCCTTAGGAGGTACCAGGAAACATTTTTTCCATTTTCATTCCATGGTGTAGTTTTTGTTTTTTTGTTTTGTTTTTTGAGACAGGGTCTCATTCTGTCACCCAGGCTGGAGTGCACTGGTGTGATCTCAACTCACTGCAACTTCTGCCTCCCGAGCTCAAGCAATTCTCATGCGTCAGCCTCCTGAGTATCTGTGATTATGGGTGCCTGCCACCACGCCCAGCTAATTTTTGTATTTTTAGTAGAGATGGGATTTTGCCATGTTGCCTAGACTGGTCTCGAACTCCTGAGCTCAGGTGATCCACCCGCCTTGGCCTCCCAAAGTCCTGAGATTACAGGCGTGAGTCATCATGCCCAGCCAATTCTGGTCTTCTAAAGAAAGTCATTTGCCTATAAGCCCATCTACACAGGAGGCTGAGGCAGGAGAATCACTTGGAGGCAGAGGTTGCAGTGAGCCGAGATCGTGCCTCTGCACTCCAGGCTGGGTGACAGAGTGAGACTGTCTGAAAGAAAAAAAAAAAGAGAAAGAAAGTCTTTTGTCTTGAGACATGCCCAGAAAGTGAAACACTGCATTCAAAGTTTGTTTTGAACAAAGTTTCTATTTCCTTCTTTTGTTTATAAAGTTGACAGGCAACTTATTGTTGTCTTAGTTTGCATTTCCTGGATTTCTAGGGATGGAAATTGAATGTCTTTTCCTTCTAGCACACTAGATCATTTACAGGTAATGCCTTTGTCTAAAGGTCATTGTCCACCGGGGGGCACTGCCCCACAGGAACCCTTCACAGAATTCTGCTGTAGGGTGCATCTTTCACAGAGACCATGCTGGCTTTGAGGGTGTCTGGGGCTGTGCACTTCTGTATCAGGGCCCCATCTCTCTTCCCTTAGGATAATTTTTATTTTTATTTAATTAATTTTTATTTCTTTTTTTTGAGACAGAGTCTCGCTCTGTCACCCAGGCTGGAGTGCAGTGGCGCGATCTCGGCTCACTGCAACCTCTGCCTCCTGGGTTCAAGCGATTCTCCTGCCTCAGTTGCCCAAGTAGCTGGGATTACAGGCGCCTGCCACAATGCCTGGCTAATTTTTTGTATTTTTAGTAGAGACAGGGTTTCTCCATGTTGGCCAGGCTGGTCTCAAACTCTTGACCTCAAGTCATCCTCATGCCTCAGCCTCCCAAACTGCTGGGATTACAGGAGTGAGCCTCCGCTCCTGGCCATGGGCTTTGGTTTTTACTCCGAGTGAGGTGGAGAGTCATTGTAGGGTTTTGATAGAGAGCGAGTTTATTTTTTATTTCTTCATTTCTTTATTATTTTGTTTTTGAGACAGGGTCTTGCTGTGTTGCCCAGGCTGGAGTGCAGTGGCGCAATCATAGCTCAGTGCAGTCTTGAACTCCTGGTCTCAGGCGATTCTTCCGCCTCAGCCACCTGAGTAGCTGGGACTACAAGTGTGCACCACCATGCCTGGCTAAGAGACAGGGTTTAGGCTTACTTTAAAAAAGGATCACTGTGGCTGCTAAGTCGAGAAGAGAATGGGATTGTGGGAAGGGAAAGGTCAAAGCATAGAGACTCTTGGCTGTTGCAATAATCAAGGTGAGAAATGGTGGCAGCTTGGACTGGAGAAGAAGCAGCGGAGGTTATGAGACATGGTCAGATTCTAGAGGTATTTTAAAGGCAGAATCAACAGGATATGCTAAAGGATTGGATATGGGATAGGAGAGGGAGATCAAGAATAACTCCAATGTTGTGGTCTGAGTAGCACACATAAAACTCATTTATTATGGACTGTTTCAGAAATATATCTAAGTAGATAAAAAGCTTTTTTTTTTTTGAGAAGGAGTTTCACTCTCATTGCCCAGGCTGGATTGCAGTGGCGTGATCTTGACTCACTGCAACCTCTGCCTCCCGAGCCCAAGCGATTCTCCTGCCTCAGCCTCTGGAGTAGCTGGGATTACAGGCGCCTGCCACCAGGCCTGGCTAATTTTTTTGTAATTTTTTAAATTAGAAACTGGGTTTCACCATGTAGGTCAGACTTGTCTCAAACTCCTGACCTCAGGCAATCCACCCACCTCGGCCTCCTAAAGTGCTGGGATTACAGGCGTGAGCCACGACGTCTGGCCAGACAAAAGTCTTATAGTGAACCCCATGTAGCTGTCAACCAGCTTCAATAATGATTGCCTCGAAATGATGACCAGTTTCACTTCATCTATGCCTCTCCCTACTCTCTATTCCATATTGTATTGAAGTAAATCTCAGACATTATTTCATTTTATTTGTAAATCCTTCTCTGTGTGTGTGTGTGTGTCTGTGTGTGTATTGTGTGTGTGTGTAGAGATTTTATATATATATATATATATGTATATTCTTTTTTTTTTTGAGATGGAATCTCACTCTGTTGCCCAAACTGGAGTGCAATGGTGCCATCTTGGCTCACTGCAACCTCCACCTCTCAAGTTCAAGCGATTCTCCTGCCTCAGCCTTCTGAGTAGCTGGGATTATAGGCACCCATCACCACACCTGGCTAAGTTTTGTATTTTTAGTAGAGACGGGGTTTCACCATGTTTGTCAGGCTGGTCTTGAATTCCTGACCTCAAGTGATTCGCCTGCCTTGGCCTCCGAAAATGCTGGGAACACAGATGTGAGCCACCATGCCCAGCCATTCTGTATATATAGTTTTAAAAAGATAAGCCTCCCCCAACCTTTTTTTTTTTTTTTTGAGATGCAGTCTTGCTCTGTTCCCCAGGCTGGAGTGCAATGGTGCAATCTCAGCTCACTATAACCTCTGCCTCCCGGGTTCAAGCAATTCTACTGCCTCAGCTTCCTGAGTAGCTGGGATTTCAGGCATGCGTCACCACGCCTGGCTAATTTTTGTATTTTTAGTGGAGATGGGGTTTCGCCATGTTGGCCAGGCTGGTCTTGAACTCCTGACCTCAAGTGATCCACCGGCCTCGGCCTCCCAAAGTGCTGGGATTACAGGCATGAGCCACTGGATCCGCTGAGCCTCTCCCTTTTAAAAAATAAATATGCCACATTCTGTGACGATAAAGTTACAAGAAAATAAAAAAATTAAAATAAACATGTCATGAAATCAGCGTATCTATTAATGGTTGACTTTCTTGCAAAGACTACCAGAGAAACCCATTGATCACGCAAAGTAAGAGTTTATAAGGCCAATTGCAGCAAGGGAGAACAAAGTTCGGTGGTGTCTCAACAGTGTCACAAAGGGGAAAATGATGTAAGGGTATTTGAGGTAATTCTTTAAAGCAAGGAACTGACTAAAATTGGGCAAAGGGCTGGGTGCGGTGGCTCACGCCTGTAATCCCAGCACTTTGGGAGGCTGAGGCAGGCGGGTCACCTGAGGTCAGGAAAGAACCTAGGAGGCGGAGGTTGCAGTGAGCCGAGATCATGCCACTGCACTCCAGCCTGGGCGACAGAGCGAGACACTATCTCAAAATAAAATAAAATAAAATAAAATAAAATAAAATAAAATAAAATAAAGTAAAATAAAATAAAATAAAATAAAATTGGATAAAAAGTATGAGACGATAGTTTAGAATTGGTGAACACAACAGAATGGAGGTCTTGAGAGAAGTCTTGAGAAGCAAACTATTGTCTGATAAGTGAGCTTTTTGCCCAGTTGAGCCATGTGTTGAGAGGAGAGCTATATGCCCAGGTGAGCAAATTGTTTGCCTAGATAAATTTTTTTTTTTTTTTATTTTCCTGAAGCAAACAATGAGTTCTTTATTGTTTTACAGTCTTATCCTTCCAGGCAAGGCTTTTTTGAAAGTCAAACAAACAGGTAAGTCATGTTGAAATACATGATCTCAGTTCTCATATCTAATAGAATTTAAGATACCTACCTCATTAAATAATCAATGAATGCATTTTCTTAGCTGTATCAGAAAAGTATTATTTTATATCTGATTATTCAAGCCAGGATCCAAGCAAGGTCCACAAATTGCATTTGATTTTGTGTGTTTAAGTTCCTCTTAAACTATAGCTTCCCTTACTTTTTTTTCTTCTTCTCTCAAATTTATGTTTTGACAAAGTTAGGTCATTGTCTTGCAGCTTCCATAATCTGGATTTTGCTAGTTCCATCCCCACAGGCATTTAACATGCTCTTTTCTCCTCTAAGTTCCTTTCAATTTGGTAGTTAGAACTGATGCACGCTGAGTGCAGTGGCTCACACCTGTAATCCCAGAAATTTGGGAGGCCCAGGTGGGAGGATCGCTTAAGCCCAGAAGTTTGAGCACAGCCTGAGTAACATGGTGAGACTCTGTTTCTACGAAATTAAAAAAAAAATTAGCCAGCTCTGGTGGTGCGTGCCTGGAGGCCCAGCTACCCAGGAGCCTGAGATGGGAGGATCACTTGAGCCCAGAAAGTAGAGGCTACAGTGAGCTGCGTTTGTGCCGCTGCACTCCAGCCTGGGTGACAGAGCAAGACCCTGTCTCAAAACAAAACAAAACAAAAACAAACAACAACAGCAACAAAAACAAAACAAAAAAACTGATGCAGGATGGACAGGCCCCCAACATGATGCTTAGGCTGGGAGGGTTCTTGGCTTTGACCGGGAAAGAATTCAAGGGCGAGCCCCGGGTATTAGGCAGTAATCTTTTATTGAATGGTACTGCTCCTTGCTGAGCAGGGATAACTCATTGGCAGTGTGCCCAGAGTTGGCAACCTGTGAACCCTTGGCAACTACATTTATATTCTCTTATAGCCACTTCAATTACATGCAAATTAAGGTGTGGATTAATGCAAATTAAGGAGTGAGTTATTTAACAAGTTTCCAGGAAAAGGGCAGCAACTTCCAGATCATTGCCATAGAAATGGGTGGTAACTTCTGGGTCGTTGCTATGGCGTTTATAAACTGTCATGGTGCTGGGGGCAGTGTCTTGAGCTAATGAGCAATGAGGGCAGCTAGGGTCACTTTTGCTGTCATCTGCTGGTTTTGTCCAGTTTCTTCACTTTATCCTGTCTGGACTAAATCCTGTTTTAGTCAGCAGCGTTGTGACCAGAAAACAAGTCTTGTCGATCTCCTAAACTACTGATCTAAGCTATTCAGCTTTTAAAAACGTGGCAAACAGCAATTTAGTGGGTCTCCCACTGCCAATTTTGTCTTCCTCCAGACTATTCTCAACATAGCAGCTAGAGGGCTCCTTAGACAAGAGAAGTCAAAACATCGTATCACACCCTGACATAAACTAACTTTTTCTTCTTTCTTTTCTTTTCCTTTTCTCTTCTCTTCTCTTTCTTTTCCCCTCCCTCCCTCTGCACTGCCCCCTCCCTCTCTCCCTTCCTTCTTTCCTTCCTTCCTTCCTCCCTTCCTCCCTTCCTTTCTCTCTCTCTCCCCTCCCTCAATCTCTCTGTCTTTCTTTATTTTTTAAACAGAGTCTCACTCTGTCACCCAGGCAGAGTGCAGTGGTGGGATCAAAGCTTACTTCAGCCTCAACCTCCCAGGCTCAAGCAGTCCTCCTGCCTCAGCCTCCTCAGCAGCTGGGACCAAAGGTGCATGCCATCATGCCCAGCTAATTTTTAAAAATTTTTTGTAGAAATGAGGATCTTGCTATGTTGCCTAGGCTGGTCTCAAACTCCTGGACACAAGCTATCCTCCCACTCTGGCCTCCCAGAGTGCTAGGATTGATTACAGGCATGAGCCACCACACCTAGCCTGATCTAAACTCTCTAACAACTTCCAAATTCACCTGGCATAAAAGCCAGAGTCAGTGCAGTTGCCTATGAGCTCCCTGAGATCTGTATTCCCGTTACCTCTGACCACATCTCCTAAGATGCTCTTCCTCATTTCCTCTGCTCCAGTCACCCTGGCCTAGTTGCTGTTTCTTGGGATCTCATGCAGGTGCCCACCCATAATATATGCATTCCAGTTTTTCTATATCCCTGCCAACACCTGTATACTGGAAACAGCACAACAATGCTGAAGGAAATTTCACACTGTGAAATAATACTGTGTCTTCTTCCCCATTCATAGCATATATCTTTTCATTTATTTCAGCACTGTTGTGAAATAAATGAAAAGATATATGGTATGAATGGGGAAGAAGACACAGTATTATTAATGTCGCTGGAAAAAGGGGTCTTGATCCAGACTCCAAGAGAGGATTTTTGGATCTTATGCAAGAAAGAATTCAAGGTGAGTCACAGAGTGCGGTGGCAACAGAGTTGCTCATTAGTTACACAGTAGGGTTGCCTCAGAAAGCAAGAGAAAGAATGCGCTGTCTTTTTAAAAATTATTATTATTATTTTTTGAGACAGAGTTTCACTCTTGTTGCCCAGGCTGGAGTGCAATGGCGCGATCTCGGCTTACCACAAACTCTGCCTCCCAGATTCAAGCGATTCTCCTGCCTCAGCCTCTCGAGTAGCTGGGATTATAGGCATGCGCCACCACGCCCGGCTGATTTTGTATTTTTAGTAGAGACCGGGTTTCTCCATGTTGGTCAGGCTGGTCTTGAACTTCTGACCTCACGTGGTCTGCCCGCCTCAGTCTCCTAAAGTGCTGGGATTACAGGCGTGAGCCACCGCACCCGGCCGCATTGTCCTTTTTTAAAAACTCTTCTTATACAGGGGTCTTATCTATATAAAAGCTAAGCTAAGTTATGTCTATGTGTGAGTGGGCTGACAGCATGACAAAATTTATTATTTTGCTGATTTAAGGAAAGTTATCTGCCAGGTGCAGTGGACCATGCTTGTAATCCCAGCACTTTGGGAGGCCAAGGTGGGAGGATCGCTTGAGCCCAGGAGTTTGAGACCAGCCTGGGCAACACGGTGCGGTCCTGTCTCTACAAAAAAAATACAAAAATTAGTGAGGTGTGGTGGCTCTCGCCTGTAGTCCCAGCTACTGGAGGGTGGGGGTGGGAGGTGGGAGGATTGCTTGAGCCGGGGAGGCAGAAGTTGCAGTGAACTGAGATCATGTCACTGCGCTCCAGCCTGGGTGACAGAGCGAGACCCCATCTCCAAAAATAATAAATAAATAAATAAATAAATAAATAAATAAAAGTTATTCTTGGCATTTTAGTGCATAAGTACACCAAAGCATGACTCTGTCTTGAAAGTATATATTGTTATGTGATATTGGGACATCTGGACATTCTTCTGTCACAGGAGTTTGTCCTTGCAGGCATTAATAAACTGCTTCTTTAGCTGTAAACATCTTATGACCGTGGGTTGTGATTGGCAAAGAGCGTACCTTGCTAGTTTTACGACAGGGTTGATTTTAAAATGGTGTCACCCTGGCTCTCCTATGCTCCTGTTTCCTTAACGTTAAGATGTCAATTCTCCTCAAACAATCCCAATCAAAATCCTTGCAGGATTTTTGTAGTAATTGACAAGATGATTCTAAAATTCATTTGGAAATGCAAACGACTTAGAATAGCAGTGACAACAACAACAACAAACAAACAAGCAATAACAAACTTGGCTAATGTATAATATATAATACTAAAAGCATATTTCATAAAGTTGATAAATTGGACTTCATTAAATTAAAAACCCATGCTCTGCTGGGTGCGGTGGCTCATGCCTATAATCCCAGCACTTTGGGAGGCCAAGGCAGGTGGATTGCCTGAGCTCAGGAGTTCGAGACCAGCCTGGACAACACAGTGAAACCCCATCTCTACTAAAATACAAAAAATTAGCCTGGTATGGCAGTGTAAGCCTGTAGTCCCAGCTACTCAGGAGGCAGAGGGAGGAGAACTGCTTGAACCCGGGAGGTGAGGGTTGCAGTGAGCCGAGATCGCGCCACTGCACTCCAGCCTGGGCGACAGAGCTAGACTCCGTCTCAAAAACAAACAAACAAACAAAAAAAACCGTGCTCTGTGAAAGACACTAAGAGAAGAAAAGGACAAGGCAGAGTAGAAGAAAATATTTTAAAATGATATACCTGTTAAGGAATTTGCATTTGTAATATGCAAATATGAAACATACTCAAAACTCAATAATAAAATAAACATCACGATAAAAAAGAGCCATCCATTTGAAGAGGCATTTTATGTTATTTAGATCTGTGCTGTACAATACAGTAGCCACTATATCATATAGTAGCCACATGTGGATACTGAATGCTTGAAATGTAACAAGTCCAAATTAAGATGTATCATGATTGTGAAATACACACCACATTTTGAAGACTTAGTATAAAAAAGAATGTAAGATAGCTCATTAAAATTTGTATTGATTACATGTTTAATGGTAATATTTTGGATATACCATTCAGTTAAATAAAATACATCTCTATTGCTATGATTTTGCCATTTCAAGAATATTATATACATGGATTCATATAGTACATATATGACCTTTGAGATGGACTTTTTTCCACTCAGCATAATGCCATTGAGATCCAGCCAAGTTTCTGTGTGTATAAATAGTTTGTTTCTTTCTATTGTGGAGTTTAACATTCACCTACTGTAAGACATTTTGGTTGTTTTCATTTTGGGCTATTACAAATAAAGCTGCTAAGAACAAGCACATACATGATTTTGTGTTGACTTAAGTTTCCATTTCTTGTGGATGAACGCTCAGCAGTATGACTGCTGGGTAGATGGTAAGTGTGTGTTTAGTTTTTAAATAAATGGCCAAACTATTTTCCAGAGTGGGTGCACCATTTCACATTCTTACAGCAATATATGAGAGATCTAGTTTCTCAATTCCTCTCCAGAATTTGGCATTGTCACTCCTTCCTTTTCTTTCTCTTTCTTTCCTCTCTTTTCTTTTCTTTCTTTCTTTCTCTTTCTTTCTTTCCTTCCTTCCTTCCTTCCTTCCTTTCTTTCTCTCTTTCTTTTTCTTCCTTTCTTCCTTTTTCTTTCTCTCTGTCTCTGAGACAGGGTCATGCTCTATCATCTAGGGAGGAGGAGTGCAGTGGCGTGACCTCAGCAAACTGTCCACCTCCCTGGGTCAAGCCATCCTCTTGTCTCAGCCTCCCAAATAGCTGTGACTATGTACAGGCACACACTACCATGCCCAGTTAATTTTTGTATTTTTTGTAGAGACGGGGTTTCACTATGTTGCCCAGGCTGGTCTCAAACTCCTGAGCTCAAGTAATCCACTCGCCTTGGCCTCCCAAAGTGCTGGCACTATAGGTGTGGGCCACTGCACCTGGCCCTCAGTTAAAATTTGATTTTCGTGTGCTTCTTCTTCCTCTTTAGGGAGATTTAGCAAACTGACACAATGGGGACTGGCTACCTAAGGACAAAGATAAGGAATTAGCTAGAGTAGCGCTTAAACTGCAGGAGAGTGGTATAAATAAAAAAAAAATGATTGAGGTGAGTCTTAATTATTTTAGTTTCTTTTGCTAAGGTTTAGGACATGCCCAGGAAAAAGAAACACAAAACCACAGGAACATCTGTGATCTGTGCTTTTTCCAAAGAGGATTTGGGAACTTCAATTTTTTTTTTTTTTTTTTTTTTTTGAGAGAAAGTTTCACTTTTGTTGCCAGGCTGGAGTGCAGTGGCATGATCTCGGCTCACTGCAACCTCTGCCTCCCAGGTTCAAGCAGTTCTCCTGCCTCAGCCTCCCGAGTAGCTGGGATTACAGGCATCCGCCACCATGCCTAGCTAATTTTTTATATTTTTAGTAGAGACGGGGTTTCACCATGTTGGCCAGGCTGGTCTTGAACTCCGACCTCAGGTGATCCACCTGCCTCGACCTCCCAAAGTGCTGGGATTACAAGCATGAGCCACCACACCCGGCCTGGGGACTTCAATATTTAAAGTGGGGAAAGGAGTGGGCAATAGGAGAAAGAGGAAAGAAAAAAAGGAGGAGAGTAAATAAAAAGGGAAAGTGGTTGCATTCTTTTGAGGCTTTGATCAGCTTTCAGTGAATCTACATTTTACATGTGAAAGGAGAGGGTAGAGGAATAGTCAACTATGCAATCATCTTGCCCTCAGTGAATTTGCATTTTTTTTTTTGAGACGGAGTTTTGCTCTTGTCACCCAGGCTGGAGTGCGATGGCCGGATCTCAGCTCACTGCAATCTCTGCCTTCTGGGTTCAAGTGATTCTCCACCTCAGCCTCCTGAATAGCTGGGATTACAGGCATCTGCCACCACACCTGGTAAATTTTTGTATTTTTAGTAGAGATGGGGTTTTACCATGTTGGCCAGGCTGGTCTCAAACTCCTGAGCTCGTGATCTGCCCGCCTTGGCCTCCCAAAGTGTTGGGATTACAGGGGTGAGCCACCGTGTCTGGCCAGATTTGCATTTTTACATAAAATAAACTAAACATCTAGTAGAGGAAAGAGTGAAATAGGCATTTGTCTCAGGTGAGCAGAGGGATGACTTCTGGTCCTGTCTTGTCCAGTACCTGTGAAGATAAACTGTTAATTACATTGCCAGGGTGAAACTCAAGCAGAACTGTTTTAGGGTAAAGATCTTGGGGCCCACAAGGAATTTCCTTGTGGCCAAATTGTGAGCAAGGCCTGCTGGGGAGGTGTGTAGACTTCTAAATCTTTGCAGCTACATATTTAGGAACAAAATAAGGGGCAGTTTGGTGTGACTCCATTCCCAAGCCTGACTTTTCCCTTTAGCATAGTGAGTTTGGTATCCCAAGATTTTTTTTTTCCCTTTCTCAGTGGGTAGAACCAGAGAACTTTCTAGAAAGAACTTGGTTGGAATATATATACTATGGCCAAACTCCCCAGTCTTTTGAGAGGGGAACAAGTGTTTGTAATAAAAGTCTCTCCTTCCACCTCTGGTGCCGTTTACTGTGTGTCAGATAAGTCTTAGTAAAGCTGTTTTTTTTTTTTTTTTTAGAAGAAAATATCTGTCTCCCTTTTACCCTCCCCACCTTTTACTTTGCTCTATACACCTCTGATATCATTTGAGTCTTTTACAATAAGATAGAGCTTATGTATTTTTGAGTAATAATAAGCATGAGAATTTTCCAAAAATCTTTGCCGCCCAAGTAGTCACAGGTCCCCATTCACCATACTGTAATGAATCCTTCCTCCCTCCCTCCCAAGTCCACTGAAGAGTCATTAAGTCAGCCCCAGGGAAGGGAAGGAATGATGTAGAGCAGGCAAGGGATAGACAGGACACAGAGAAATGGGGCCCACTGTAATGAGAGAATTTGCCTTTTGTTTTGATAGAGGATCTCACTCTGTCATCCAGTCTGAAGTACAGAGGCATGATCATGGCTCACTGCAGCCTCAACCTCCTGAGCTCAAGTGCAGACAAAAAATAAAATTATAAGCCACTCCCCGCCCCCAACCATCTGAAGGGTCCCCTCCTCTCAGCCAGGGCTTTCCAAAGTTAACCTGAAAAACTGGTTCAGGCCATGCTGTGGGAAGGGAGAGTCGGCCATGCCTCAATATACCCGCCTCCCTTTTGGATTTTGGGAAAAGCTGACCAGCATGAACATCAACACAGACCTTAAGTCTGATAAACATTTACAATGTATTCTCTCTGAAGCCTGCGACATGGTGGCTTCATTTGTGTAATAAAACTTTGGTTTCCACAATCCCTTATCATCGTAACCCAGACATTCCTTTCTACTGATTCCAGGTCTTTAGATAATAACTCTTTTAACCAATGGCCAATCAGAAAATTTTTGAATCTACCTATAACCTGGAAGTTTCCTCCACTTGGAGTTGTCCTGCCTTTCTGGACTGAAACAATGTACATCTTACATGTATTTGATTGCCTCATGTCTTCCTAAACGGTATAAAACTAGGCTGTGCCCCGACCACCTTAGGCACGTTTTCAGGGTCTCCTGAGGGCTGTGTCACACACCACGGTCACTCACATTTGGTTCAGAATAAATCTTTTCAAATATTTTACAGAGTTTGACTCTTTTTGTGGACATAAGTGATCATCCCACTTCAGCCTCCCAAGTAGCTGGGACTACAGGCGAGCGCCACCATGCCAGGCTAATTTTTGGATTATTTTTTTTTGTAGAGATGTAGTCTCATTAGGTTGCCCAGGCTGGTCTCAAACTCCTTGGCTCATGCAATCCTCCCACCTCTGCCTCTCAAAGTGCTGGGATTACAGGTATAAGCCACTACAGCAGGCCCATAACTGGAGAATTTGGAGTCTGATTTTTCTCATTTGGCCATACTTCCTAGGGAAATTTTAGAACCCCAAAACAGCAGCCTTAAGATTGGGCTGGGAGTGTTCTGGAGGAGGCTAATGCTAGTTACTTCTGCTAGCAAGGAGAGCTAGCATATTAGAGTGAAAGGAAAATCAGACTTTACGTCAAAATATGTAAGTTCTTGCCTTGGCTCTGGCCATAGCTAAATGTAAGAAACTCACTGAAATTTTCCAGATCTCAGATTCTCTTTCTGGAGAATGTGTGGTTTGGAGAAGATGAATTTTAAAGGCTCTTTCAGCACTAAAATTCCACTTCTAGTGTTGAAACATACACAAATCACAGCAGAAATGTTTATTAGTAACGCCTACTGCATACAAAAATTATAGCAGAAATTGTATTAAAAATGTCAAATACGTTCATAGTATCTCTGTATTCTCCCTCAAATTCCCATCTACTCCTCAGCTTGTTGAACCTCAACAGTAAGAAGGCTCCCAGTCAAAAAAGATGTCCTCAGACCCAGGCCCAGAAGTGCCTTCTTAGGAAAAGTGAATAAATGATGGCAGCAGCAATGGCAGCAGTAGCTGTAACCCCCAAACAGGAATGGGAAGACAGGTGGCCCCATTTTCAGTCTTTCGAGGTTGAGTGAGCAGCTGATGTGGGCACGCTTCCCTCACAAACATGGGTCCTACTGCTAAGATTCCAGACATCAGCCTGCAGCCAATCATGGCTGTACAGCCTTTGACCTCCACAGACGACTCAATGCCACCTATAGAACAAGGAAGGATCGGGAGAGACAGAGATGTTTTAGGACATCAGAGGAGAATCCAGTCCCCCCTCATCCCTGGAGAGCTCAGTGTCAGAATCTCTGGGGAGCCACTCAAATGGTTTTCCAGCCTCTGAAACTATCAGATGTTCATTTCAGTTTACCTCCAGTGATCTCAAGTTTTCCTTGATAGCATCGAGTTGTACCATTGGGACAGGGAAGAGAAGGAGCACTGAAACAGGTCCCCAAAGCCACACAGGTTGGACAATGGAGGGTTGTTGACACAGTGGAAGCTGGAGGGAAATGAGAGAGACAGTTAAGGGCAGGTCCTGCCTCCAGAGATGTTGCTCCTTGCTGCCTTCTCTTCCCCAAGATTTTCCTGCAGATGCCACTCTAATCAAGGCCCATTACTTCAGCCTCCCCATCCTTCCCCAGCTGGTGTTCTCTGCTGTGAAATCTCCATCGATCTGACTTCCAAACTCTGCTGAGGTGTGAAGATACAGAGATGAAAAGGACATAGTTCCTGTCACCTGGCATCTCTGCCTAGGAGAAAGACATGTAAGTAATCAATTCAGTAGCTGCTGTGTTCAAGGTATAATGACAAAGGAATGGAGGAATACCCAACTACCTAAAAGAATTTGGCAAATATTTTCAAAGAGCTGATACCTGAATTGACATGGAGGATGAACAGGGGTTAGCTATGTGAAAATGGGGTGGGGAGGGTAGTAAAGGAAACAGCAAGGACAAAGGTCAGGTGGTGTGAGCCAGCTTGGTGGATTCAGGGAATTGTGAGAAGTTGCACGACTCATATTCAGCTTGTAGGCCCAGCTGTTTCTTTGATCTGTTTTTTTTGTTTTTGTTTTTGTTTTTTATGGCCAGAATCCATTTTGATTGGCCAGTGCCATCTACATTGTTAAGCATTTTGAGTATTAGCCCCAGTTAGCACACAGTAAATGAGAGAGGGAAGAGAGGGAAATGAAGCTGAAAAGACAGGAAGGGCCAAGTTACTACAGGCCTTGTAAATTGGGGAACTGGGCCGTTCTCGTGCAGCAGTGGGAAACCAATACTTGTTAGACTGATAATACCACCCTGTTCGGAAACCTACACTGATGTCTTATTGCTTTTTTTTTTTTTTTTTTTGATGGAGTCTTGCTCTCTGTCCCAGGCTGAAGTGCAGTGGTGTGATATTGGCTCACTGCAACCTCTGCCTCCTGGGTTCAAGCAATTCTCCTGCCTCAGCTTCCCGAGTATCTGGGATTACAGGTGTGCGCCACCAGGCTAAGCTAATTTTTGTATTTTTAGTAGAGACAGGTTTTCACCATGTTGGCCAAGCTGGTCCCAAACCCCTGACCTCAGGCGATCCACCTCACCCAGCCTGTCTTATTGCTTAATAAACACAAAACCCAGTTTACACTCCAGGCTTCACTGGTATCTCGCTGCTCTGAGCAGTGTTTAGATCCCAATGAACAATTCAGAAACATAAAATTACTTGAACTGTGAGGTACTTTGGGGTATGGACCACTTAGGCTAAGCCAAGTCAGAATGCAAAGGGAGGCCATACACAAGCTCTTTATGGAGTTTCTCTTAGTACCTATCTCCCCCACTTCCAGGGTACCTGTGGTCTCACTGAACTCCCAAAACTGAGACAGGCTGTCTTTGTCATTACAGAAGGAATCCTCACAGTAGTTACTGTAGGAGGTCACGATCAGGCCGGGAGGTGAAGAGTGCTGGACAATTGTTATGGCCTCCTCCCCTTCCGGGATGCAGCCCTTCGTGGCCAAAATGGCTGTCTCAGTCCCTGTTATGAGACAGGAAGGAGGGGAAATGGATGGTGGCCGTCACAATTGGCCTGGACGAAGGGAACAAGCATTGGCATGGAGATAATCAACCTCCCTCCTACCCAGCCCAAATGCCCCATCTCATTTCACCTGCTTTAATTATTAGTATGGTTTCCTGGCAAAGTGCCCCTTTGTCACAAGTCTCCACTTCCTCTGTGGTCCAGTTAAACATATTGGCTGGATCTGCTTCCACAGTCATGGACAGACCCTTTTGACAATACAGCTCTAGGCCCGCTGAGGAGAAAACAAGAAAAGGATAAGCACTTCTCCATGGGCCAAGGCGGCTCCCTTTTCATCATCAGTCCACCTTCTGTGACACACGGCTCTCCCCTATGTCCCCCATACGCACAGGTCAGGAGGGAGGCTCCTAGGACCAGGAGGATCAGCAAATGCTGGATACGAGGGGTTCCCATGGCTTCTTCTGGAGAGGTCTGGGAGGAGCTGGTCTGGATCTGTGAATTTGATGGAGAGAAGGCAATTAACTTTTCAGCCAGAGTGCATGAGATCAAATCTAGGTCCTGGCAAGTACTGACTTCAGGGTGGGGTGTTTTAATCTGCATTTTTTTTTTTTTTGAGACGGAGTCTTGCACTGTCGCCCAGGCTGGAGTGCAGTGGCGCAATCTCGGCTCACTGCCTCTGCCTATCAGGTTCAAGCAATTCTCCTGCCTCAGCCTCCCGAGTAGCCGGGATTACAGGTGCCCGCCACCACACCCAGTGAATTTTTTGTATTTTTAGTAGAGATGACGTTTCACCATGTTGGTCAGGCTGGTCTCGAACTCCTGATCTCAGGTGATCTGCCCGCCTCGTCCCCCCATAGTGCTGGGATTCCAGGAGTGAGCCCTGATGCCCGGCCTCACAGTGGGGTTTATGGTGTATATGACCACGACTTCTAAAGTCGTTCTGTCCCTAACCGGCTTGTGAGCTGGAGCGAGTTCACAGGTTTATCACGCCCCAGTTTTTCATGGTTTTAATTCTCAGGCCCGGCCACCCAGTGCCCTCCAACTTCAGGATCAGGAGTGTGGCCCTGAAGGCCGCTTCTCCCTCAGTCTCAGGGGTCCCTTACATTCTCTCAGGGACCCAGAATCTCGGCCCCCAGCCCCAGCCCCAGCCTCATCAGAACCCGGGATTCTGAGAGCCCAGCCCCGTCCTATGTAGGGATCGAGGAGTCTGGGTTCCAACCACCTTTTCCTGCGGGACACACCATTCTGGTCCCCTCCCTCTCAGGCCCGGGAGCCCAGGCCCCCAACCCTCGTTCCCCTCAGAGCCAGGATCTGGGTCCCCAGCCTTCTCTTTCCTCAGAATCCAGGAATCTGAGTCCCTAGCCTTCTTTTTCTCTTTAAAGAAGCAAAATTGCTGCCGGCTTCCAGGCAGACGCCTCACAAGAATCTCACGACGCCAAAGTTGAGGCCCGGAACGCCTTCTCCCCGGGCTTGGCATTCTCTTACGACGCAAGGCCGGGCCAGCCTGGCCACACAGCACTCGAAACCCCATTGGTGGATGCAAAAGCATCGGATAAGTTCATTGGATGAGCCTGGAGGAACGCGGCACCTCATTGGCCACAGAGAAGTCAATTCCTGGCAATCTCGGAGGGTGCGCATGCTCGGAAGGTGAGTGGCGGGCAAACCGGCCGGAAGATCCTGCCTGTTTTTGCAGCCAGAGGCACGCAATGGAGGGTGGGCAGTGCGTTGCCAGATGGCCTCGCCTGGCCCATTTCTCTTTTTGCACTCTGTTGTCTCTGCTTCTCCAGCCACACTAGGAGGTCAGACCCTTGGCCCTCACTCACGGAACTTATCTCCCTACCCAAATGGCCTCTCATGTTCCCAGCCTGGCCCCTGCCTCGGCACCCACCTTAGTGGCCCTAGCCTCTGGGAGTCAGCTTGGCCTCTTGAGTCTTCACTTGCAGTGGCCCCTGTGCAGCCCAGGCGTCTTCATCTGATTGCGCTATCGCACCAGCCTCCTCATGGTCTCCTGGAGGGTTGAATCTAGGAATGCCCCCCTCAGCATCACTTTGGGCACCCCGAATGCATGCATGAGCAGTAGCTATGATGGCACAGGCTGCTGTCAGATCGAACCCACGCGTCCGTGTCAGGACCATGAAGAAGACATGTCACTCGGATTTGTTGCTCATGGCTGGCAGTTCACTTTCACATCTATGTAACCTTCCCTTCCCTCCCCTCCCCTCCCTTCCCCTCCCCTTCCCTTCCCTTTTTGACAGACTTTTGCTCTTTTTGCCCAGGCTGGAGTGCAATGGCACAATCTTGGCTCCCTGCAACCTCCTCCTCCTGGGTTCAAGTGATTCTCCTACCACAGCCTCCCAGGTAGCTGGGATTACAGGCATAAGCTACCATGCCTGGCTAATTTTTTGTATTTTTTTTTTGGAGACAGAGCCTCTCTCTATCCCCCAGGCTGGAGTGCAGTGACGTGATCTCAGCTCACTGCAACCTCCCTCTCCCAGGTTCAAGCGATTCTCATGCCTCAGTCTCCCCTGAGCAGCTAGGATTACAGGCACCTGCCACCACACCTGGCTAATTTTTGTATTTTTAGTAGAGACGGGGTTTCGCCGTGTTGACCAGGCTGGTCTTGAACTCCTAACCTCAGGTGATCTGCCCACCTCGGCCTCCCAGAGTACTGGGATTACAGACGTGAGCCACCACCCCTGGCCTATGTAAGCTTTCCAGGTGTGACATGAAGTTGTAGCAGGATGAGCTGCAGACAAAACTCCTCAGATACTGGATTAAAGAAGGAAGAGGTTTATTTGGCCGGGAGCCTCAGCAGACTTGCGTCTTAAGAGCCGAGCTCCCTGAAAAATAAATTCTTGGCCTTTTTTTTTTTTTTTGGAGTCTCCCTCTGTTGCCCAGGCTGGAGTGCAGTGGTGCAATCTCGGCTCACTGCAAGCTCTGCCTCCCGACTTCATGCCATTCTCCTGCCTCCGCCTCCCGAGTAGCTGGGACTACAGTCACCCACCACCACACCCGGCTAATTTTTTTGTATTTTTAGTAGAGATGGGGTTTCACTGTGTTAGCCAGGATGGTCTCGATCTCCTGACCTCGTGATCCGCCCGCCCCCCAAAGTGCTGGGATTACAGGCATGAGCCACCACGCCTGGCCAATTCTTGGCCTTTTTAAAGGCTTACAACTTCGAGGGGTCCACATGAAAGGGTCGTGATAAATCGAGCAAGCGTGGGAAACGTGACTGGGGGCTACATGCATCAGGTAACAGAACAGAAAGTTTTGCAATGCTTTTTCATATAATGTCTGGAACTTACAGATAACACAAGTAGTTTAGGTCAGGGGTTGCTGTTATTATTATTACTTTTTTTAACTCCTAGGGCTGGGTGGTGGTGCCAAGGTTGACTGGCTATTTATCTTACTTCTGTTTCTTTCCAACTTTTTGCTTTCTCTCTTTCCTCCTGTCTTGTGAACTAGGCAAGGTCGGGGGAGGAGGGCAGCAGGAGTAGTAGTGGTCTCCTTCCTTAAAGTAAGGCAACGCTTTGTATACTTTCAGAATTGGTACTGATTCTGTAAGTTATAGTATAAATGAGTATTTATTTTTAATAGAGAAAATGCCACAATAAGAAAGGGATTGGTAAAGCTTCAATCCCTTTGTTATCTTTGAACTGTTATCTTTGAATGATCACATGTCAAAGGATCCAGGAAGAATGTGTGCCAGTTTTCAGCCCCCGTCTGTCCCCCGAGGGCTCGTGCTTGGGAAAGCAGTCACCTTGTTGAGTCACTCTCCAGGTGACTTGGTCGCAGAATCCCTCCATCTCACACCTAGAAGAGACCTTGGAAGCCTAAGCACCCTCCACCTCTATTCTTCACCCCATTTCTGCTTCAACAGCTCCAGGGACCTCCTCTTGCTCCGTGACATAGTTTGGATATTTGTCCCCCGCCCAAATCTCATGTTGAAATGTAATTCCCAGTGTTGGAGATGCGACCTGGTGGAAGGTGTTTGGGTTATGGGGGCAGATCCTTCATGACTTGGTGCTGTCCTTGCAATGATGAGTGAGTCCTTGCCAGATCTGGTTGTTTAAGTGTGTGGCACCTCCCCTTCTTACTCTCTCTCGCTCCCCTTCTCTGGCCTGCATCCTTTTGCCATAAGTAAAAGCTCTCTGAGGCCTCCCCAGAAGGAGATGCTGGCACCACGCTTCCTGTACAGCTGCAGAACCTTGAGCCAATCAAACCTCTTTTCTTATAAATTACTTCTAGTCTCAGGTATTTCTTTATAGCAGTGCAAGAACACCCCAATACACAGCCCCTTGAGAAAGGTGGCTTTGCCTTTTTGGTGCAAGAGAGATTGACAGATCTTCCTTAGCCTGAGCCAATTTCTGTTCCTCTCCAAGCTTCAGTGTCCTCATCTAGAAAATGAAGAGGTTAGGCTGGGTGCAGTGGCTCAAGCCCATAATCCCAGCACTTTGGGAGGCCAAGGTGGGTGGTTCACCTGAGGTCAGGAGTTTGAGACCAGCCTGACCTTCACCAACACGGTGAAACCCTGTCTCTGCTAAAAATACAAAAATTAGCCAGGCCTGGTGGCACGCGCCTGTAATCCCAGCTACTTGGGAGGCTGAGGCAGGAGAATCACTTGAACCTGGGAGGCGGAGGTTGCAGTGAGCTGAGACTGCACCATTGCACTCCAGCCTGGGCAACAAGAGCAAAACTTGGTCTTGGTCTCAAAAAAAAAGAAAAAAAAGAAAAAAAAGAAAATGAGGAGGTTAGTCTAGAGCAATGGTTGGCAAATAGTTTATGAATCCATGGAACGTTTGTAAAAAAGAAAAAAGCTCAATGGCTAATATACAGTGAAGGCATCTTTTTATATAAGCACTTGTGACACCACCATTGGTCACTGGATTATTGCAGTACGCCCTGCCCTTGCCCATGTGGCTATTTCCCACCTGGCACCAGAGCGATCTCTTAATTGCAAGCCACACCACATTACTCCTGTTTAAAACTTTCTAATGGGCCAGGCACGGTGGCTCAGGCCTGTAATCCCAGCACTTTGGGAGGCCGAGGTGGTGGATCACCTGAGATCAGGAGTTCGAGACCAGCCTGGCCAACATGGTGAAACCCTGTCTCCACTAAAAATGAAAAAATTAGCTGGGCGTGGTGGTGCGCCCCTGTAATCCCAGCTACTCTGGATGCTGCAGCGAGAGAATCATTTGAACCTGGGAGGTGGAGGCTGCAGTGAGTCAAGATTGTGCTACTGCACTGCAGCCTGGGTGACAGAGCAAGACTCTGTTTCAAAAAAACCAAAACCTTCCAGTGGATTCTCATTTTACCTCAAGTAAGATTCTAGGCTGGGTGCCATGGCTCATGCCTGTAATCCCAACACTTTGGGAGGCTGAGGTGGGAGGATCGCTGGAGCCCAGGAGGTGGAGGTTGCAGTTGCAGTGAGCCGAGATAACGCCACTGTACTCCAGCTTTTGCTCTGGTGACAGAGCAAGACCCTGTCTCAAAAAAAAATTTTTTTTTTGTACTTTATAGTATAATTGGCTATGTGTGTTCATGTGTGACTGTGAGTGCATGCATGTTTGTGTGTGCACATGTCTGTATATATGTATGTCTGTGTGTATCTGTGTGCTGTGTGTGAATGTGTGTCTGATGTGTGTGTCTCGGTGTACATGTCAGTGTGCATGTGTGCATGGGCATGTGTGTATCTGGTTCCTTCCAGCTGTGTCTGATCCATCTCTGTGTACTCAGCATATGATTACAGTGTAGGTAAGTAAACATTTGCTGGATTAAAGAATGTCTCTTAGATCCAGAAATGAGAAACACACAACAGTGAGCCACCACATACCTCAGGCCCTCCGTATTCCATCCTCAGAATTTTTTCCATGCTTCCTGTATTCCTGGGGGAAAATTCCAACCTCCCACACTGGTCTTGGAGACCAGCCCCCATGCCTCACCCTTATCATTCCCTGTCTAATATCTATTCCCAGGACATCCCTAGTCTCTTCCAGCCTCTTTGGCTTTGCTCACACTGGTCCCTCTGCATGGGAGACCTCTCCCTAATCCGCTTCCCCCATGCATTTGTTTACCCCACAAACTCCTAATTGTCCTTCAAAGCCCATTCCTCCAATGCCCACAGCCCTCAGTGAAGCCGGCATAAGCATCGTGCAGCTCCCTTTTTGAGTGCTCCAGTTCTCCTACCAACAGGCCTATGCACACACCCAGTTCCCTCTCAAACCAACAGGCTTTTCCTTCCTACTTGTAAAGGATTGAGATCTTCTGCAAACCTTACAAAACAATGAGTTGTAAGCCTTGAGGTTAAACCACCAGTTTTACTTATTTTTTTTTTGAGACAGGATCTCTCTCAATCTTGTCCAGGCTGGAGTACAGTGGTGCAATCACAGCTCACTGCAGCCTCAAACTCCTGGGCTCAAACAATCCTCCCACTTCAGCCTCTTGGGTGGGAGTACAGGAACATGTCACCATGCCAGCTAATTATTTTACTATTAAACCCCAAGCCACAGAATGTCTTTTTGAAGACTGCTAATTACTAATCATAGAGGAAACACTCGCCTTGCTTACACTCACATTTGTTTCTCCTTTTCTTTTTTTTCCACAGAGATGGAGTCTTGCTCTGTCACCCAGAGCTGGAGTGCAATGGTGCAATCTTGGCTCACTGCAACCTTCGCCTCCCAGGTTCAAGCAATTCTCCTGCTTCAGTCTCTTTTACCTTCTGTTTTGAATTCTATTTTCTTTCTTTCTTTTTTTTTTTTTACTAGTACTTCAACTTTCTTGTGCTTACTGTTTGCATGGTATATCTTTTTCAATACTCACACTTTCAATAATGCTTTTCCCTATATGTAAAATATTTCCCTTGTAGACAGTATATATGGGTATTGCTTTTTTATGCAATTTGACCAATCTGTACCCCTTAATTGAAATGTTTGGCCTGTTAACATTGTTAGGTCTAAAGCTGCCTCCCTACTACTTTAAGTTTGGTCTAATGGTTTCTCCATACATAGTGAACTGTAACCTAACTTGATGTGTAAACAGTCTGTAACCTGCTATAGTAAAAATAGCTGAGTCTCAGCCAATCACAGGTACCCAACTAACTGTTCAAACCTGGTTCAAATAAGGCAAGCACCCAACTGTTAGCAGTCCAGCTATTTCAGTGCCTTCCTTAGTTTCTTCTACATCACTTTCTTCTGCGGTAGATGTTATCCAACCATTTATGGACGGAACACCCTGAAGTTTCTCTGAACCTACTCTGGGTCTGGGGGCTACCTGATTAATGCATCATTCATTACTCAATTAAACTGTGTTAAATTTAACGTGTCTGAAGTTTTTCCTTTAGTCAGCCAATTAATCTAATTATTGATTTGACTGCATGTAAATCTACGCTTCAACTTGTGAGTTGGAAGTAGAATGAGGTCACAGTTTCAGGTAGCACCAGGCCTCCACGGGTTCATGAGAATTTCCAGGTGTCCAGGGGTGGGATCAGGCCACAGTATCAGATGGCAGCATCGGTGCTTGAGAAGTTTCCCATGTGACCTTAGGGATCCCAGGATGATGCCCCATAGTCCAGGGATCTTGGGGATGGGAAGAGTCTGGTCTGACTCACTGTGAGGCCTCGCTGAAGCTGTCTTTCTCTGATAGTGCAGCCCTCCCTGAATCCAGGGCTGGAGTGACCTCGATCTGCACAGATCTCTCCAAAAAGAACAAAGACCAAGGTCTCTGGTGCAGGCCCTTCTGGGAGAGGGCACTTCTCACGGTGGGCGTCACGGGTGGTTGTGGCCCTGGTTCTAGAGGGTGGTGTGGCTCCAGAACGCACGCACAGCACTAAAACATCCCTGTCCACCCCCAACTCGCCATTTATTTATTTATTTATTTTTAAGAGGAGGAGGCGTGCAAGGGCGGTGACCGGCCGGACCCTCTTCTCCTCCCCGCCTACCGGCCCACGGCTCAGATGGCCACAGGCGAGGCCGCCGCCACCGCTACCTCCTGGCCCACAGCCACCCCTCGAATAGGGGCCACCGGGCCACCCTCCGACGTGCCTTGTTCGCTCCCCGAACCCCGATCTAGCCCCTGGTCGAGCCCGGGCAGAACGAGGAGAAGACCTGGCTCCCAAACAGGACGCTGCGGGGGCGGCCCTCACCGCCTCTCCACCCCCGGAAGCGCATGTTCCTTGCAGCCCTCGGAAAGCCCAGAGGGCGGGGCGGGCGCCTCCTGAGGGCATTGCGGGCTCGGGCAGGCTCACGGGAGAGACGTCACTGGTTCCCATACCAGAGGCCGGGGTGGGGGTATGGGGACGCGGGAGACCCCCGGGATTGAGGAAGGAAGGATTGATGGCTCTGCACACACGCTGCGAAGCGGACACACGCCTGTGTGGAGGGCTAACTTTCAACAGATCCCATCCAGGGAGCCACTCTGCTGCAGAGAAAACTCGGACCCAGAAGCAGCTCCTCTAGGGATGGTTTAGCGCCAGGTTCCCCACGAATGGGCCTTGCGTGAAGGGCGAGGGGCCGGCCACCCTTCCCACTGCCGGTTTCCCAAGACAATGAGCTCTCCGCATGGGGCCTCAACCCTGCTGCACTGCGTCCTGTTGGCGACGACCGGCTATCCCAGGCCAGCCGAGGCTTCATGGCGCTGCCCTATAGTTCTGCCTGGGCATATTCTGACTTGGAGGCCTTTAGTCAGCATCCCACGGATGGCAGCTTAGCCCAGTGGTCCCTCATCCAAGCACAGGCACCAAACGTCTGAACCTGGGGACCTGTGGTACTGGGCAAGAGCACCATGGCAACCACGCATGCTCACTAGCGTGAAATCAACCTGTCTCACATGGTCTAATCCCAGCTCCGGCTTTCTTTTCTTTCCTTTTCTTCTTTCTTCCTTTTTTTTTTTTTTGACGAAGTTTCGCTCTTGTTGCCCAGGCTGGAGTGCAGTGACACCGTCTCAGCTCACTGCAACCTCTGCCTCCCTGGTTCAAGTGATTCTCCTGCCTCAGCCTCCCGAGTAGCTGGGATTACAGGCATGCGCCACCACGCCCGGCTAATTTTTGTATTTTCAGTAGAGATGGGGGTTTCACCATGTTGGCCAGGCTGGCCTCGAACTTCCAACCTCAGGTGATTCGCCCGCCTTGGCCTACCAAAGTGCTGGGATTATAGGCGTGAGCCACAGCCCCAGCCCCAGCTCAGGTTTTCTGAGTGGGTGAACATCCCAACCTTGGTGAATTCTGTCTTCCAATGATAGGAAGAGCCCACATCCAAGGATCAAAAGGATTAAAAAGCCACAGGACATGGTGGCTCAGGCCTGCGGTCCCATTTATTTTGGAGGCTGAGGCGAGAGTATCACTTAAGCGCCGATCACATAGCTCACATAGCGCAGTGAGCAATGGTGGCACCACTGCACTCCAGCCTGTGCCACAGAATGAGACCCTGTCAAAAAAAAAAAAAAAAACAAAAAACAAAGACAAAAAACAAAAAGAAGCCTCATTCCTATGAATGCTTTCCTGCTGCAAATCAGTTATCCCTGTGACGACTTTTCTGACACCCCTTGTTTAAAACTCAAAAGGTCAGAAGGATCCTGAGGCCCTGCTTTCACCGTCTGAACTCCTGTTGCAAATCCAAGACCCAGGAGCTTTTGCCCTCCTGCCCAACGGGAGGCTTCTGTCTTCCTGCGCTCCCTTCGGACATCTGCGTTCAGACGTGTGTCCCAGTCTCCCCATCTAGCGCTGCCCCTGGTGAGCTTGGCTAAGGCTTGGCGCCAGAAGCCAGAGTCTCTCTCGAAACTCGCGCCCGACTCCCCCACCAGGTTAGTGAAAAAACAATTAATAATGGAATTTCACCCACAGCCCGCAAGGCCCATGTACCTGCCTCGCCCCCATGCGGGAACTGAAGATGGAGGCGGGACCGCCCACCGATCCCCCTCTCCTGTCTCTTCACCGCCTTTCAATCAGGCTCAGAGGGTTCTTCTCTCCCGCAGGTTCCGCCAAGCCTGTCCCTTGGCTGTGGTGTCGCTGGATGCTATGTAGGGACGGTGGGAATAGCGTCTATCCATTCGCGCGCGTCACTAATTACATGGGGCATTGGCTCTTTTAAGAGGGTCACGGTTGCTCCTGCCCTTGATCCGGGCTTCATTGAATTCCTTCACTTTGACATTCAGTGCCCTGCACAGAAATCACAAGTCGTCAATACCCACAGCAGCCTAAGCTGTGTTTTGTTTTAATTCAACAGTCCCAAGGTGCCTCCCAAAGTGCTAGGATTACAGGCGTGAGCCAGGCATCTGGCTTTTTTTTTTTTTTTTTTTTGTAGAGACAGGGTCTCCTTATGTTGTCCGGGCTGGTCTCAAACTCCTGGCCTCAAGTGATCCTCCTGCCTCTTATATGCTGGCTTTCTTATTACATGAAATATCTTTTCCCATCCTTTTATAGTCAACAATTGTGTATCCTTCCATTTTATTTTATCGTATTTTTTTGAGATGGAGTCTTGCTGGGTCCCCCAGGCTGGATTGCACTGGCACGATCTCAGCTCACTGCAACCTCCGCCTCCTGGGTTCAAGCAGTTCTCCTGCCTCAGTCTCCCGAATAGCTGGGATTACAGCACATGCCACCACGCCCAGCTAATTTTTCTAGAGACGGGGTTTCACCATGTTGGTCAGGCTGGTCTCAAACTCCTGACTTCCAGTGATCCACCTGCCTTGGCCTCCCAAAATGCTGGGATTACAGGCGTGAGTCACCGCACCCAACCTCCTTCCATTTTAGATGTGTTTTTAAATAAATAATTTATTATTGGATCTTGTCTTTGTCTTTGCCTCTTTTTTTTTTTTTTTTTTTTTTTTTTGAGACAGAGTTTTGTTCTTGTCATGGTCTTGGCTCACTGCAACTTCTGCCTCCCAGGTTCAAGCCTGCCTCAGGCTCCCAAGTACCTGGGATTACAGAGATGTGCCACCTCGCCAGGCTAATTTTTGTATTTTTAGTAGAGATGGGGTTTCATTATATTCACTATGTTGGCCAGGCTGGTAGACAACTCCTGACCTCAGGTGATCCACCCACCTCGGCCCCCCAAAGTGCTGGGATTACAGGTGTGAGCCACCACACCAGGCCAGATCTTGCCTTCCTAATCCACTCTGATAATCTTTGTTTGGGAAATAGGCTAGAAATTCCAGCACGCATAATTCATTTATCAAAGTCTAAAGTCAATTTAAACCTTTGCCTTTTTCCTGAATAATAAAATGACCTTAGATTTACTTAGCTTCACCAATTTGCCTACTCACCCTGAATTACATACTAACTAACCTTGCAGGGAATTTTTAGTGTATCTTTGTATAATCCCACTAGATATCATTAGCACTATTTATACCAAGTACATTTACATTTTAACGTGTATTTGCCACTTTCTTTTCTCTTCATTACTTTTTGCGTCCCATACCTTCTATCTGTGATCAGTTCTCTCCTTTCTGAAATATATGTCTCAGTGGGAATCAGCTGTTGATGAAGTGTCTCTATTTTTATTTTGCTGAAAATACCTTTGTTTCAGGCTTATTTATTTCTTATATATTTTAAAATTTTAAATTATGACATAAAAAACAGAGTAAAGTGCACACAACTTAAGTATATATATATTTATATATTCACCTAACATATATATAATTTATTATTATGTATATTTTTCATTCTTTCTTTCTGTGTATACACAGGCAAATAATTAGGATACACGCACACACATACATACACATGTATCTAGATTGATAGAAAAAAATTAAAAAATCAATCAAGCAAATGTGGCAAAATGTTAACAATTGGTGAATCTTGGTGAAATATATAAGGGGTTCATTGTACAATTCTTCCACCTTTTCTATGGGCTTGAAAACTTTCAAAATAAAAGGTTGGAAGATAACAAACAAATTGTAGTATATTATATATTAAAATGCTATCCCTTTCCAAAGAGGGGTGAAATGCTAATACATAAACATATGTAATATAATATAGATATCACATTTCAGTGGCTTATTGAGCATTCAAAATCTAGAAGAAGCTGAAGCATCTCCTGAAGGCTTCCAGTCCTTCTTGGGTATAATCCTAGAATTATTGCCCATTCCTCTGAAGTAATTCCCAGAATACAGTCCTTCCTAAACCCAAGAAATTGCCTTTTTCAGAGTTTACTTCTCACGTGCACTGCTGAAGATGAGTATCCCTAATCCTTCATAAAGAATCAGCCAGAGTTGTCGTGATAAAGCCAGCACACACAAAAAGGCTTCTTACACATACCTGTCTTAAATCATGTGTAGAGCTTTTTTTTTTTCCAAAAAAAAAAAAAAAAACCCACACACTTTTGACCATCTTTTTTTTTTTGAGCCAGAGTCTCACTCTGTTGCCCAGGCTGGAGTGCAGTGGCGTGATCTTGGCTCACTGCACGCTCCACCTCCTGGCTTCATGCCATTCTCCTGCCTCAGCCTCCCGAGTAGCTGGGACTACAGGTGCCCGCCACCATGCCCGGCTAATTTTTTGCATTTTTAGTAGAGACAGGGTTTCATTGTGTTAGCCAGGATGGTTTTGACCATCTTAAATCAAGAAAATTGGATATTTCCATTCTGGTCTTTGTGGGCCAGATTTTTATATTGGTTTTCAGTAAATGTCTATCTATAATATTTCATAGAGTCCAGTAGCTTAATACTGACATTGACTTGATACAGCATGAAGTTTCTTTTTCTTTTTCCTTTTTTTTTTTAAAATCAATTAGAACATTTAGTTTATTCTGAATTAGGGTTAAAGGCTAATAATATTGGTATTTCCTTTTTTAAATTATTATTATACTTTAAGTTCTAGGGTACATGTGCACAACGTGCAGGTTTGATACATAGGTATACATGTGCCATGCTGGTTTGCTGCACCCATGAGCTTGTCATTTACATTAGGTATTTCTCCTAATGCTATCCCTCCCCCAGCCCCCAACTCCAAGACAGGCCCCGGTGTCCAAGTGTTCTCATTGTTCAATTCCCACCTATGAGTGAGAACATGTGGTGTTTGGTTTTCTGTCCTTGTGATAATTCACTGATACAGCATGAAGTTTCTAGTGCCGCACACAGTATTTAGAAAACCTTTAAGCCTGAATGACTCAGGTGGGATATATGTAAACATAATGTTTATCTTATCTCACAAATGCATGTGAAATGTATAATTACATCTTAGGAATCCAATACGGTCCACAGAGAGTGAGTGGAGGCACCAGATCAATGTTGATTCTTTACACTGGTGAGATCCTACCTGAGGGATATTAAAGACATTCTGCTTTCTGAGAACTCTTTATCGCCAGATGGCAGTTGGGATATGGGAGGAACTAACGCATGCTGTTTTGCATCTGTCCAGATCATTATTTCTATCTTTTGTTTTTTCTTTCTGGTTCAGCATACTTTTTTAAGGGGTTAAGAATTGAAGATTTTCTCAAAAGCTTTCATGAATTTAGAGCATTCCACCCAATATAATAAAAACTGTTAAGAATGTCAGATTTAGGCTGGACGCGGTGGCTCATACCTGTAATCCCAGCACTTTGGGAGGCCAAGGCAGGCGGATCACGAGGTCAGGAGATCGAGACCATCCTGGCTAACACGGTGAAACCCCGTCTCTACTAAAAAATACAAAAAAATTAGCCGGCTGTGGTGGCGGGCGCCTGTAGTCCCAGCTACTCAGGAGGCTGAGGCAGGAGAATGGCGTGAACCCAGGAGGCGGAGCTTGCAGTGAACCGAGATTGTGCCACTGTAGTCCAGCCTGGGCGACAGAGTGAGACTCCATCTCAAAAAAAAAAAAAAGTCAGATTTAGTTCAAACATCTGTTTGTTCTATCTCCAGTCATTAAACCAGTGCTGCTGCATGACACTGTAATTCCCGACTTTTTACATCCAGCCATAAAGTTGACTTTCAGCACAAAAGATACTTATAAACAAATACAAAATTTTATTTTTCTCTTTTATTGATGTAAGGTTTGGCACTCTTTTGACTGGTGCCATTAGACATCTTGATTATTGTGACAACTCTAGACCTGCCTGCTTAATCTAATGTAATCATGTTCAACATCTACAGGTTAATAATCAATCACACAGAGAACTGAGGAACTGATGCTGTTCGTTTGCTTCTATGATACAGAGATGTCTAAAAACTTCAAATGAACATGTTTTGTAGTTTAGTGACTTCTGTATACATAAAGGGACATATTCATACTGGTTCAGTTGTAAATTATTATTCATATAGACCACTGTAGTAGCTTAAACACTATGGGACACCCGCTTATGTGTTGCCTCACACTGCGTGTGATTTTTTCTTTTGTTAAGCAGCACTTATGTAGACTGCATTTCCAAACGTGTTGAGCACTCAGAGTTTAGTCTACAGTAAGTTCTTTTAATGAATACCAGTTTTAATTCATAGACTGCCGTGGCCTTAAAAATATTCTGTACAATATACTGCACTGTGTTGCACAGACACTACTTGCTTTTCTCCATTCGTATTTTTATGAGTAGAATCTGGGCTTTTAAGTTTTCTCTTTTTTTTTTTTGAGACAGAGTTTTGCTGTTGTTGCCCAGGCTGGAGTGCAATGGCACAATCTCCAGCTTACCGCCTCCCGGGTTCAAGCTATTCTCCTGCCTCAGCCTCCTGAGTAGCTGGGATTACAGGCATTTGCTACCACACCCGGCTGATTTTGTATTTTTAGTAGAGACAGAGTTTCTCCATGTTGGTCAGGTTGGTCTCGAACTCCCAACCTCAGATCTGCCTGCCTTGGCCTCCCAAAATTCTGGGATTATAGGCGCAAGCCACCACTCCCGGCCCTCAGCCACGCACCTGGCCCAAAGTTCTCTTCTTATTCTTTGAAGCATGTTGCATATTTCCCTGATGGGATGGATGGTTCTGTAAATGAAAGGGTATTTAAACTTGCTGCTGTTGTTCAATACCATTAATGGTCAAAGTGAACCATTACAAAGAATGTGACAACTTGCTTGTGCCTAAAAGGAGGAATTGGAACTAGAGTGTGTGACTCTGTGAGGACTGTATAGGTTTGTTAATTGACCTATACCTAAACCTTAATGTGTTTGTGTGTCTATACATTGCTTTCAGCGTTTCAAGACACCTAGATGCTATTACCAGCATTTTCCTGTGCATTAACCTCTGTGTGTGAAAACTTTTAACAGTTACTGAATTATGTAAATATGTGAATTTTTTTATTTAGGTGGATGCATTTTTTTGTCTGTTTACTGCTCTTCTCAGCTTTATTCAATAAACTTGCATTTTGAGGCTTGGATTGGCAATTTTAACTTAAAATGTGCATCATGATGGAAGGTGCAGACTTTTTTGGAAGGGGATAGAAAGTAAGTTTCCAAGAGGAGGGCCTATAGAACATGTGTCAGAAATCAGCTCAGCCCTCAAAGAATTGGGTCTGTGGGCTAGTTAAAAGACAAATAAACTTTTAAAATATTTAAAAAAACATATTTGCCTATGCTTTTTGAAAGAAGCAGTGGAAGAATAAACAACAAAACCAAACTGATTCACCTATAGGAGGAGGGAGGGAAAAAAAGGGGCCTGAGATGGAACATAAACCATTAAGCCTTTTGCTTAATAGTTTGATTGTGTAACCAGGTAAATATTTTACCTTATTAAAAACAAAATAAAATTTAAAACACAAGAGCTAAGCCATCTCTAAAAGTGAAAACTAAACTGGTGGAAATGAATCTGGGTGGAAAGCTGGTGGCATAGTAACACAGAGGAAAATTATTTCCAGCTACTTTACCTGTGTACAATGACTGGACAACTCTAGTGAGATAGATCTTGCTGATTGAAATAAATGAAAGAAATCTAAACTGCATTCAGTACTGTTATTCTTAGTGCAAACAGCTGCATGACTATTTTGAAACAAATAGCAAATAAGTAATTATGCATCAGGGCCAGAGAAAAGAGATACAAATATGAAACCAATGCATTTAAACGAAAACCCAAGAATCTTTCATTTGCATGGGAAATACTAGTGTGAACTCAGGAAAAGCATTTCTTTTTCTAAAAAGTATGTCTTTTTCTAGCTGTATCTGCTAACAGTAGCAAACAGCACCCTTAGTATTTAAATTGTAGTCTCTAAAAATACCACTCCCCACAAAAATGAATCTTCTCCAAGACTCCTTGGAGACATGCCTGATTTCAGATATGAAGTAAGAATTATGTAAGATGAGCCTGGGATATTTTCCATGCCAAAGCAGGAAATTATCATATACTACAAGGGTCATGTCAAGAGGACATAGGAGGCCGGGCTTGGTGGCTCACGCCTGTAATCCCAGCACTTTGGGAGGCTGAGGCGGGTAGATCACCTGAGGTCAGGAGTTCGAGACCAGCCTGGCCAACATGGTGAAACCCTGTCTTTACTAAAAATGCAAAAATTTGCTGGGTATGGTGGCTTGTACCTGTAATCCCAGCTACTCAGGAGGCTGAGGCAGGAGAATTGCTTGAACCTGGGAGGTGGAGGTTGTGTGACCTGAGATCATACCATTGCACTCCAGCACTCCAGCCTGGCTGACAAGAGTGAAACTTCGTCTTTAAAAAAAAAAAAAAAAAAAAATAGGACATAGGAGCCAACTTGGAGGGGCTGTTTCAAACAAAGGTGGGACATTTCGAGCATCAAAAGAAAGTGTGGATGCAATGGATTGAAACACTTAAAATATACAAAAATCTATATTTCATAATAATACTTTTAAAATGTCATCAGTTTACTTTGGAGGTTGCTAGGGAACTAGCTCACAAAGCTAGTATATGAAGGAAAATAATCAAGTATCACAGTAACTTCCTAAACAGACAACACTTCAAGGTAACCAAATCACGAGTGAGGAAGTTTTCTTCATTAGAGAAAAATAAGTCTAGCTTTTAAAAATGCAGGAGGAATTTAAAAATTAGATAATTGCCATTTTGGAATGCTTAATGAAATGACTGATCTAGGCAATGATCATCATCATTGCCTAGATCATTCTAAAACCATCAAGCAAAAAGTTGATGGGCAACTTGACAACACACGAATCAGGCTGACAACACCTGAACCCATGGATCAATCTTTAAGTCACTGAAATATCACACAGGAATAATAGCTATATAACTATTGCAACTTGATATAATCCAATATAATGTAGATAGCATCACTCATGAAGTATTCTTGCCTAAAAAAAATGCAACCAGAATTTACTCAAGCTTTGGGATTCACTTTGAGATTTATAGAGAATAGAGGGCTTAGAGTGAAGTCAGTGAAATGACACCATAAGGAAACAAATTCAGAATGTGGGCATTCTATAAGACAACATGTCTGCTCTCCTCACAGTCTATGTCATGTCAAAGAACAAAATTTCAGCAAATAGAGTAAAATATCGAATTGGCTTTTATTAGCAATTCATGAACTAGGCGGCATTCAATCTATAAAACAGAATGGAGCGCTATTGAGCTAAAGGGATTTGGTGAGTTTTATGGGCAGAAAAAAGCCAAAGAAAGCAGGAACAAGGAAAAAATAGCCAATCTGTCATCTCAAAGTTACTTCCCTTTATAGGGATTTTAGCAAAATCTTGTTGGCTTAATGGGATTTGGCTATAATCTCTCTCATGATTTCTGGAAGGACGTATCTTACTAGTAAACAACGCAGGTTTCAGTTTGATGATGTGCAACTTTAGCATAAGTTGACTCCACTTTGGGCCTTCTGTCTTTTCTTTAGCAGTCATGAAAAAAATGGGTAGTGGAGGGGGACTGTTGTAGAATGAAAGATACTTAATAACCAAATACAAAGCATTAGTCTTGATTGTATCCCCGTTTAAAAATATACATGGGGCTGGGCATGATGGCTCACGCCTATAATCCCAGCATTTAGGTAGATCATGAGGTCGAGAGATCGAGACCATCCTGGCCAACATGGTGAAACCCTGTCTCTACTAAAAATACAAAAATTAGCTGGGCGTGGTGGTGCATGCCTGTAGTCTCAGCTACTCAGGATGCTGAGGTAGGAGAATCACTTGAATCCAGGAGGTGGAGGTTGCAGTGAGCGAAGATGGCGCCACTGCACTCCAGCCTGGCAACAGAGCGAGACTCTGTCTCAAAAAAAAGTATATATAAATATATATTTTTATATATATTATATATATTATATATTTTATATATTATATGTTATACATATTTATATATTATATATTTATATATAATATATATTTTTATATATTATATATTTATATATAATATATATTTTTATATATTATATATTTATATATAATATATATTTTTATATATTATATATTTATATATAATATATATTTTTATATATTATATATTTATATATAATATATATTTTTATATATTATATATTTATATATAATATATATTTTTATATATTATATATTTATATATAATATATATTTTTATATATTATATATTTATATATAATATATATTTTTATATATTATATATTTATATATAATATATATTTTTATATATTATATATTTATATATAATATATATTTTTATATATTATATATTTATATATATTATATATTTATATAAAATATATATTTTTATATATTTATATTTATATAATATAAATATATAAAAATATATATACATGGAAAAGATATTTTGCAGAACAATGGTGAAGATTGAAAATGGACTATGTATTAGATACTGTTAGGGAGTTATTGTTGATTTTCTCAGGCGTGATCACGGTATTGTGGGCTAGTCATTCTGGGGAGAGGCATGCTAAAGTACTCAAGGACACAGTGTCTTGATGTCTGCAATTTACCCTGACATGGTTCAGAAAAAAACCAGAGGAAATATGGCAAAATGTTAAACTTGAATATAAGGAGAGGATGTGGGTATTCTTGGTATTATGTTTTCAATTTTTCTGGATGTTTGAAATCTTTCATATTAAAAAGTTGAAAACAAAGGATGATGTGTAAGAAAGTAACTTGGTGGCATCAGAGGTCATGGATGGTGGCATTGGTGCAAAGACATCAAGGATGGGATGGGTCCAGTTATACAAAGAGTAGATGAAAGACACCCCAGGCACAGGACAGCAAGTGCAAAGGCCCTGAGGTAGGAACTAGCCAGCACCACATTGTCAGCCATGTGAGTGACCTTTCTAGAAAGCAGACCCTTCAGGCCCAGTAAAGCTGCAGATGACTGCACCTGGCTAGCGTCTTCACTCCAACCTCATGAGACTCACCAAGTCACAATCACCCAGCTTCATAATAAAAAGCTGAAAACAGGCTGGGTGCGGTGGCTCATGCCTGTAATCCCAGCACTTTGGGAGGCTGAGATGGGTGGATCACGAGGTCAGGAGACTGAGACCATCCTGGCTAACATGGTGAAACCCCGTCTCTACTAAAAATACAAACAATTAGCCGGGTGTGGTGGCGGGTGCCTGTAGTCCCAGCTACTCAGGAGGCTGAGGCAGGAGAATGCCCTGAACCCGGAAGGCGGAACGTGCAGTGAGTGGAGATCATGCCACTGCACTCCAGCCTGGGCGACAGAGCGAGACTCCGTCTCAAAAAAAAAAAAAAAAAAAAAAAAAAAATGCTGAAAACACTCTTCAATTCCTGCCCCACAGAATTTGAGAGGTAACAAATATCTGTTGCTGTTTTAAGCCCCGAAGCCGTGCGGTAATTTGCTAGACAACAATGGATAACTAATGCAGCTTCTGTCACATCTTCTAGGAAACTCCTTAACCTGCTCTCTCAGCACAAAACTCCCTTCCTCCATTTGGTTCCATGTAAACCTCTGTTCCTCCTTCAGGATGCACCTAAAGGAGTGGTTCCCAAAATAGGGTTCAGGTGTCAGTGGTGGAAGGCATGTGAGATGATTCTAAGGGGTTACACATGACAGTTGTTAAAAAGCGTTACAGGCTATGCTTGTGATTAAGCGCCTATTAGAGTAAAAGAATTGGAAATATCATATTAATCCCATGATTAGATAAACATTATTGTTTTAAGATGAGGCTACAGAAAAACAGTGAGTTGTTTTAAGGAAAATTTTTGAGTAAATAATAGTGCAAGGGCTATTCAGATCGTAAAAGTGGAACACGACTAAAATTTGGAAGCGCAATGAGGAATAGCAGGAATTCCTCTAGGAAACCTTCCCTGCCGCCCCAGGCAGGCCAGTTTGCCCCTCACTCAGACCCCTAAATACCTAAATATCTCTCCACTTGGTGCTGGTGGAATCTGTCAGGATCCCATTTCTGGCTGATGGAAGCCTGTGAGGCTGTGGGCTCTGCATCTGACCTGAGCTCCAAGTCTGCAGGGCAGGCCCTGGGGAAGGGGAGATGGATGGAAAGTGGGGAGTAAGGGCAGGCCGGGAGTTTACACAAGGTGGAAGGTTTCGGGACCCACAGAACCTACCTCTGTTCTTGCTGCCTCATCTTGGTGGTGCAGGGGACCTGCAGGAGTGAACTTTGTCACAGAGCTCAATGCACACCTGGCTCAGGAGGTGGAGAAGCTGAAGGAGGATTGGCGTAAAGGTGGAGCAGTTTCAGGTCCTGCTGCTGCTCCAGGCTGACCAGCTGAGCTAGCAGATGAGCAACACCTGGACCTGAGCCACGGAGGCTCCTGCCTGGATTTCCCCAGCATGAAATGCACAACGGCAGCTGCTTTGGGCAGGTGTGTCCTGCTCCCAACCTAACAGGAACCTACAGGGAAGGGAGTTCTGAGAGGCGTCGTTCAGCCTACCTGAGTTCAGAGTCACCACACCCTCTTATGGGTCTGAGCACCCTGTCCTGTCTGTGCCGTTCCTGGGAATGGGAGGTCCTTGAGAGCATGGATGGGTCTCATTCATTTTGGGGTCTCAGTATCATTCAGCATAGGGCTTGGCACAGAGCAGGGGCTCAGGGAGTGCCCAATGAATTGATAAATGGTTGTTAGTGACACTCTAAATTTAAATAAGAAATCCATGCAGCCACATCACAGGTTTTTCTTACCTCCACCTGGGTGGGGAAAGATGGACTCATCAGTGGCCTGAAAGGGATCAAGTTAAGTCACCCCAAAATTCGCCACATTTGTATAAGGATTATTTTGAGCTTAAGGCCTTTGAGAATCAACAGATACGGGAAGAGGTCTGCCCTCCCCTTATCTACCTAAAAGCAGAGAGCATAAATTTCCTTTTCTGAAGGTGTTTTCTACCCAGATGATAAAGAAAGGCAGCTCATCCTGGAGACTGAGATGAGTGTGCATAGACAGACCTCACTAAAAGACCCTGCATCTCCATCAGTTTCCCAGGCATTTCTAGGTCACTTCCCCATGATGGACCTTCCCTTGAAGAACAAACCCCTTTCCTTTGTTAAAATGGTATACAAGCCCCACAAGTCTAACCATTTCTTTGAGTTTCACTTCTTTTCTGTGAACTCCCATGCATGTAAATATTAATGAAAATTGTGTGCCTTTTTAAAATTGATCTTTTGTTAGTAAAATTCACAAGACCCCAGATACTGAACCTAAGTGGGTAGAGGAAAAGCTTTTCCTCCCTGAAAAGCCATTTTCCAGATAAACAAACAAACATCACAAGTATTTGCATAAATTCTAGACAACAGAGTTGTCCATTTACACATTATGTCCTGGGCATTGAATTAATAAATGTAAGTAAGGCCGGGTGCAGTGGCTCACGCCTGTAATCCCAGCACTTTGGGAGGTCGAGGCAGGCGGATCACGAGGTCAAGAGATCCAGACCATCCTGGCTAACACGGTGAAACCCCGTCTCTACTAAAAATACAAAAAATTGGCTGGGTGTGGTGGCACGTGCTTGTAGTCCCAGCTACTCCAGAGGCCGAGGCAGGAGAATCGCTTGAACCTGGGAGGCAGAGGTTGCAGTGAGCCAAGATTACGCCATTGTACTCCAGCCTGGGCGACAGAGTGAGACTCTGTTGCAAAAAAAAAAAAAAAAGTAAGTCAGGCAATTCATCTGAATTTCAGATATTTGAAGGCTAAGAGGGTACCTTCACAGGACCAAGTGATGGTCTCTGGAGTCTGGGTGTTTTACAGAGCTCCACTGACAGAAATAATCTTTGCAAGAACATTGTAGGATGCTGAATAGGATCTGCTTACATCTCAAGTTGTCTGGGAAGCGGGGACATTTGCTCCTTCTTATCTTGCTGGGATTTCTGTCACCAGCAGTTGGAAGGGACTCCAGTTTTAAGACAAAGGTTTACAATTTCTTTAGCACCAAGAAAAAAAGAAGCATAAAACTGGAGAGAAAAGGGTATAATATTATGTTCAGCAAGGAATATGGAAAATATAATCTTTTGAATCTTCTGAGTTAATTAATCTGTACTCTGAGATGGGCAGAAATGAGAACCACGTCCCCATCTCTGCAATAAATTCCCTAGGTTTGGATTTTAGCCAAGAAGTTTCTGCTTTCCTGGAGAATGTCTCTGAATTTAAACACCACACCTCAAAGCCAGAAAAGGGAAAGTTTACTTTGGGCTTTAATCCAAGTTTTCAGTGGCTGGAAACACGGTTACACTCCTGGAGACAAGGTGGCCTTGGACACCCAGGAAGAGCCCTGCTCCTGGGCACACCTGGCCCTGGAGCCAGACCACCTGGGTTTGAACCCCTGCTCCGCACCTTACCAGCAGAGCTTCCTCTCTGGAAAGTGGAGATGATCGTGATATCACTGACCTCAGACTGTGGTTGTCTCAATTAAATTAACAATCCATGTTATGAGTGTACAAGTATCGGGCACAGAGCATCAACTCAATTAATGCTGATCTGTAATGAATGGGGATTCATGCCAAGTGCTGATGATGTGCATGATATTAGTGCTGACTGCTGTAAGTACTGGAAGCCATCATGATAATGAACAGTGACTCTCATCACAGTTCATGGGGTCCTTTATGAAACATGAGGGTGCATTAAGCAGAAACAGCCAGCCCAGCCCTCTCCACCACCCTTGAGGTGGTGTATCTATGCCTGGTTTACAGTGTGGAAACTGAGGTTCAGAGACAGGGACTGGATTGTGCATGGACACCCAGTCACGAAGGCCAGGAAACGATGGATGGGATGCAGGCTGTGCGCTCAGCCCCCTCCCCGTGGAGCAGCTCAGGGGCACTGGGCATTGGGTCGCCCTGAAGATGCTGCTCTTGTCTGTCTGCCTCTCTCTCTTTCCATCACACTGGGTCTCTGTTTCTGGCTCTGTCTCCTCCTCACTGTGTGTCTGTGGCTCACTTTGTGTCTTTTCATCTCTGTGTCTCCCTGTCTGTCTCTGTCTTTGTCTCTCTACCAATGGGTACCTTCTGTCTTTCCTTCTTTCTTTCCTTCCTTCCTTCCTTCCTTCCTTCCTTCCCTTCTTTCTTTCTTTTCTTTCCAGAGTCTCACTCTGTCACCCAGGCTGGAGTGCAGTGGCACAATCTTGGCTCACTGCAACCTCTGCCTCCTGGGTTCAAGTGACTCTCCTGCCTCAGCCTCCTGAGTAACTGGGATTACAGGTGTGTGCCACCACATCCGGCTAATTTTTGTATTTTTAGTAGAGACAGGGTTTCACCATGTTGGCCAGGCTGGTCTCAAACTCCTAATCTCAAATGATCCACCCGTCTCAGCCTCCCAAAATGCTGGGATTACAGGTGTGAGCCACCACTCCAGCCTCTTCTTTCTGTTTCTGTGTATTTATGAGTGTCCTTCCTCCTGCACACTGTCTGTCTCTCACTCTGTATCTCTCCAGCTCTGTCCATCTCTTTTTCTGGGTCTCTTTCCCTCTGTGTCTCTCTGTGCCTCCCTCTTTGTCTCTGTTCTGATTTTGTGTGGCCCCATCAGCTTGACTATCGTGGTGTCTCCATGTCCCTCCTCCTCCTCTTGGGTGCTCTTTTGGTTCTATGTGTTTTCCTTGTGTCTCTGTGTCCCTGTGGGGGTCTCAGGACAAGGATGAGGGTGAGGTAAGTGAGGTGTCTCTGCTGCAAAATCTAAGGAGACACCCAAATCCGGGGTTGCGCAAGTGACCCCTTAATTTTTAGTCCTAGGCCCTTTCTCTCTCCCCTCACTCTCTCTTTTCTGGATTATAACACCATTGATTTTTAATCAAGAATCCACAAGCCTGGGTCCTCTCTTGTCTCACCCTAGTCCTGCCCTGAATCTCTCTATGGCTCACCTTCTACTTCTCTGGCTCTGGCTCTTTGAGTTCTCCCTCTCTCCATGCCTCTCCTCTCCCTCCTTCTCTCTGTGTTAATGTCTCTGTCCCCTTTGCTCTCTGTCTCTCTCTGTATCTCCCCTCTCCACCCCTGTATTTCTCTGACTCTGTCTCTCTCTGGGTCTTTATCATTTTCTCTCTCTCTCCATCCCTGCCCCAACTCTCTCTGTGTGTTTCTCAGTCTCTCTGTTTTCCCCTAAGCCAGGGGCTTCATGTTGTCCATCTGTATTGAGGTCTTGGGTGGCCAGCAGGGTTCTGTGCTTAGTGGGGCTTCCCCTCAGTGCTTTCCATATGCTGTCCAGACTGGGGGTGCTGCAGCTAGAAAGGGAAGAAGGTTTCCATATTTCCTGAGACTGCAGTCACATCCTCTCACCAATGCACTCACCTGCTGACTAACCAGTGTACTTCTGGGAATTGCAAATGCATGAAATGGCACCCATTCTAGACTAGTCACGGCAGTGTTGGCGATGGCCACAGACCGGGAACGACCCTGATGTTTATCCATAGAGAACTGGGTCATGAGCCATGATCCACATCATGGATACTGGGCAGCTGTGGCAAAGAATGAGGTATCCTTCTGTCTGTGCACCCGGGAAGGTTTCCAAGATACACCGTATAGTGAGAAAAACAAGAAGCAGAACAATGCACCATGTGCTACCTCTTACATTACAAAGGAGGAAATGTAAAATTAATTTACAAATGGCCAATAAGCACATGAAAAGATGCTCAACATCACTAATCATTAGGAAAATAAAAATCACAACTACAGTGAGATACCACCTTACATCCATTACGATGGTTGTTCTCAAAAAAAAAAAAAAAAAAAAAAAAGAAAAACAGAAAAGAACAAGTGTTGGCAAGGAGGAATTGGAACGCTTGTGTAGCATTTGTGGGTATGTAATATGGCACAACCACTGTGGTCGTTTCTCAAAAAATTAATCATAGACTCACCAAAAGATGCAGCAATTCGGCTTCTGGTATATTCCGAAAAGAACGGAAAGCAGGGGCCCCAGCAGATATTTGCATGTCTTTGTTCATAGCAGCATTATTCACAATAGCTAGAAGTTGGAAACAAGCCCAGTGTCCATCCATCCGTGAATGAATAAGCAAAACGTGGTCTATATGTACAAATGAATGGGATTCAGCCATAACAAGAAGGGTGGTTCTGATGGTGCTTCAACATGAATGAGCCTTGAGCTCTTTCTGCTAAGTGAAATAATCAGACTCAAAAAGACAAATTTGCATGATTCCACTTAACAGAGGTGCCTAACGTCGTGAAATGCATAGACAGAAAATGAAAAGGTGGTTGTCAGTGGCTGGAGGGAGGCGGAAAGAGGAGTTGTGTTTAATTGGTAAAGAATTCCAGTTGGGGAATATGAAAAAGTTCTGGGTGGGGATGGACAGTGGTGGTCGTTGAACAACAACCTAAATGTACTCCTGCCACTGGATGTACACTTAAAAGTGGTTAAAATGGGCCGGGCGAGGTGGCTTACGTCTAATCCCAGCACTTTGGGAGGTCGAGGCAGGCAGATCACGAGGTCAGGAGATCGAGACAATCCTGGCTAACATGATGAAATCCCCTCTCTGCTAAAACTACAAAAAATTAGCCGGGCGTGGTGGCATGCACCTGTAGTCTCAGCTACTCAGGAGGCTGAGGCAGGAGAATCGGTTGAACCCGGGAGGTGAAGGTTGCAGTGAGCCGAGATCACGCCATTGCATTCCAGCATGGGTGAGAGAGTGAGAACTCTTCTCAAAAAAAAAAAAAAAAAAAAAAAAAGAAAAAAAAAGAAAAGAAAAGAGAAGAAAAGAAAAAAGTCATTAAAATGGTGAATTCTATGTTATATATATTTTACCATAATTTACAATAATTCCTATTGTTTTGCATAAAACAGCTGTAGAAAGCTTTGCAGGTCATGAACAGCACAGCTGGCTACTGGGTCTGGCGTGGGGCTAGGACCTGGGTGCATAGGGAACAGGGATGAGACACAGGCTCTTCATGCCTGCACACATACACAGATACACACGGATGCAAATTTCTGAGCCATCTAAATACAACACCTATTCAAAAAATTAAACAGAAAAAGGAAATGTAATGGAGCTGAAGGATGAGGGTAGGTGGGGTGGTTGCTCAGGAGGACAGTGGAGGCCACATCACCCAACCTTCGAGGCCTCTCTTAGCAGCTGGAGCACATCCCAGGGACTTGGGAGCTCTGGAAACAGAAGCAGGAGAGGGCCATGGCCGGAGGAGGCCTGAAAAAGATCATCTCTGCCACAGAGAAGAAGCTGGCTCGGATGCTGCTGGCCCCAGTGGAGACAGGGAGACCCGGGGAGACAACTGTATTCATTCAAGGAGGAATGGGTGGTGGTGCAAACTTAGGTGGAGGCCACAGGGTGCAGAAGACAGGACACAGCAGAGAGAGATGTAGGACATGGAAGGGACATAAAGGAGTGACCACTGGACATAAAGGGGCAAGGAAGTGGAAGCATGAGAACATCTGCTAGGCATCCGGCTGAGGGGTCGGGTGCCCAGGGTGCCCTTCCCTAAGGGAGAACCCAGCACAGGAACAGATTCAGAGAAAACCGCCCAGCTCACTCCAGCAAGAAGCAGAAAAGGGACTGGTTAAAGGACAGGGTAGGAAGGTCACCAAGCTCCAAGGGCCCTCATGAAGCCAGCTTGGAGGCCACAGGGCCCAGGGCAAGGACCAAACCACAGGCACAGGACAGCTCCGGTCAAGATCTTCTGGCTACTGCAGGAGGCAGAAACCACACCCTGCACCCTGCACTGCTGAGGCTGGCCCTGGAGTCCAGAAGCTTCTGTCCCCGATCCCCACTCAAAAAATTAAAACAAAAACAAAAAGCAAATCGGTGCCATGCACCCTCTGCTTCCTGGTGCTGTTCGGGATCCTGAGTCTTTCACGGGAGCACCTGATGGGGAAAGCCTGGACCCGTGTCTGTGTCCCTCCTGCAAAGAGTGCTGGGAAAATGAACTTTCCGGCTTCCTCCTTGGGAAGACAGAACATTCCCCATGTGTACTGGTGGCATTTAAAAACTGCACTGCAGCCAGAGAATATGTACCGTGTTCCACCTGGAGAGTTCCCGGCGGGAAGTCCTGGTGCAGATGCCCGTCCCAAGGTGGGTATTTGAGCTGAGGAACTGAGAAGCCGGTTTCTGCCTAGAGTTAGAGATCCGAGAGGCATCAGCACATGGAAGGGAGGGAAGCTACGATGCCTCGAGGGTGGGAGATCAGATGAACCAGGAGAGGCAGGGCCCGGGAGGAACCCCGGGGAGCAGCCGCCTTTAAAGCCTGGGGGAAGTAGCTTCAGAGAAGGTGGGGTAGGTTGGGTGGGGGTTGCTGGAAAAATATGATTAAGAAACAAATTTCTGCTCAGCCCAGAAACCCCCCTCACATCCATAGAAGTAAAAGAAACTTGTCTTATGACTGAGTAAGCATTAAGCCAAAATGTGATACAATCTGCTAAGAGATGACAAAGACAGAAAGAAATCCCACCTTTGTATCCAGCCAAGCAGGTGCAACCCGTTACACACATGGTCTCCAGATACACGGTGACTCGTTCCCAGTTGAGAGGACTCAACGGCACCATTTGTCACACATAGTTCATCCTAAATTCACCCAGTAACTGTGTTGATTCTCTGTGTGGTTAATTGGCTTTATCCACAGGAAAAACAAACCTCTCTTATCTATGACAGGAGGTAGTTTTGCAACTGGGAGTGAGATGCCCCCAGAACTGAGGTTCCTTCCTTCTCACAGAAACTGGGAGACAGGGGCGCTTTCTGCCCGGATGCCTGCCTTTCAAAGAGAGGGCTCCTATGGCCTTGAGGAGGACAGTTCTGGGTTGTGAGGCAGGCAAGATGCTTATGTATGCTTTAGAAAGCTTTACATACATCTTCAAGGGACAGAGAAAGAATTTTCAATTACACCTCTTCTAAAAAATAAATGCTCTCAAAGTCCAGCCTAGGCAACATAGCAAGATCCTATCTCCACACACACAATAACAATAATCAATTTGCTGGGCATAGTGGGGTATATGCGTGTAGTCCCAGCTACTCAGGAGGCTAAGGAGGGAGGATCACCTGAGCCCAGGAGGTTAAGGCTGCAGTAAGCTTGGATGGCACCACTGCACTCCAGCCTGGGTGACAGAGGGAGACTCTATCAATGAATGAATGAATGAATGAATGAATGAATGAAGAGAAAATGATCTGAGTGAAAAGAGGAGAGTCTCTATCTTTTTGCAACAGGCTAAACAAAATTTTTAAAAATGTATATTTGCCTCACAGAGATTATTCCAGGAAAAGAAGTGGCCCTCAGCGTCAAAGGATGCAAAACTAACCTGTGAGTTCCTGGCAGGTTTAGCAATAAAGCAGGATGTTGCTGATCTCAGTACAAGCAATGTTAGAGAAAGGGGAAGATGGAAGTGGACATGGATGAGTGAGTGGAAGGCGACAAATGGAAGCAAAGAAACGTATCCAGACCATTGAAGATGCTTGAGCGAGAAGAAAGAGGCGGTGGAGGGAATGGAATCCGGAGGAAGTCATTTGTTGCAATAAGAGGCCTCAGAGCACGTGTAGGGTGCGGGGCAGAGCCCATGCAGAGGGGCTGTGGAAGGCTGGTAGGGTGCAGGTGGCCCCACTCTCCATCACCCTGAGGAGTATGTGGTCAGAGTTAAAGCTCAGTCTGTTTCTGGGATCAGGTAAGAGGTCAGTGTCCAGAGAAGAGAGGTGGATCTTCAGATCCTGCAGACCTCCACCGCGCCCTCTGTCCCTCTTGACTGCTTTTTCTCCATCTCCATTGTCTGGCTCACATTCCTGTCACGTCTTCCTTTCTCCCTACCCCTCTTTTCTCTTTTCTCCTCTCTTTTTCTTAACCCTTGTACCTTTGGAAGTCCCACTAATAGAATTTAAACAGCTTTTCAAGTTGGTTTTTTGTTCCCAGAAATTGACTTTAGACTCTCCATGAATAATGTGGAAATCAAACGAGTATAAGCTGGTTCATGTCTCTGCAATTAAACAAATAAAATCTACATTCCAATGTTTCTTCTTCCAGAGTAGCCCACATTTGTTTTTTTTTTTTTTTAATTACTGTCACTTGCGATAGATTTTTAAATCTTGTAACCTGGTTACACAAATACCATGGGGCCAAAGACTGACTTCCTGTGAGAGGAAACCAGGCTTGACTAGCCTCATGCTGGCTTTGAAGAAGTAAAATCAGGGGTTGATGAATTTACATAGGGTAAATATCAAAGGTCGAAAGTCAACAATAGGTGGTAGAGGGAATACCCCAAATTACAAAAGAACAAACTGTTTAAGCCACAACAGAATTATCGTAGAAATAAACCACGGTCCTTCCTGCTAAAATATTCCACTTAGAATTGTAAAATATTCTTCTCAATAACTCCTGGAAGAGCCTATTAAGAAATTAAAGAGGCCGGGCGTGGTGGCTCACACCTCTAATTCCAGCACTTTGGAAGGCCGAGACAGGCAGATCACTTGAGTTTAGGAGTTTGAGACCAGCCTGGCCAATATGGTGAAACCCCGTCTCTACTAAAAAATACAAAAATTGCCCAGGCGTGGTGGCAGTCGCCTGTAATCCCAGCTACTCGGGAGGCTGAGGCAGGAGAATCACTTGAACCTGGGAGGCAGAAGTTGCAGTGAGCCGAGATTGTGCCATTGCACTCCAGCATGGGGGACAAGAGCGAGACTTCATCTCAAAAAAAAAAAAAAAAGAAAAAAGAGTCAACCTTGAGCCAGGCATCGTGGCTCACGCCTGTAATCTCAGCACTTTGGGAAACCGATGAAGTCAAGAGTTCGAGACCAGCCTGGGCAACATGCTAATACCCTGTCTCTACCAAAAATTTAAAAATTAGCTGGGTATGGTGGCTCATGCCTGTAATCCCAGCTATTTGGGAGGCTGAGGCACAAGGATGGCGTGAACCTGGAAGATGGAGCTTGCAGTGAGCCAAGATTGTGCCATTGCACTCCAGTCTGGAGTGCAAAAAAAAAAAAATCCGTCTCAAAAAAAGCACAAAAAGAATAAATATGGGGCCTCATGACTGTATATTACTGGGCTTCTGACCTAGACTGAAAGATCAGGGAAGACTTTCCTGAAGAGAAAGTGAGCTATGATGGGCCCACTGTACTCCAGCCTGGGCAACATAATGAGGCTCTGTCTCAAGAAAAACATGCAGAATAAAACCATAATAAGATACCACTACAGAACTATTAGAATGGCTAAGATTAAAAAGAGTGACCACGCCAAGTGTTGGCAAGGATGTGGAGGCACTGGAATGCTCACGCTGCTGGTGGGAATGTAAGATGGTACAACCACTATGGAAAGCAGTCTGGCAGCTTCTAAAAATTTCAGCATACACCCACCATGCCACTCGGCAATTCCATTCCATTCCCACATGATTTTTATTTAAAGGAAAATCAAGTGGAATGATCTTTAAAGCATTTTTGCCTGACAAATAGATGAAATGTGGGTAGCAGCCCAACACTCCCTGGTCAGTCTTCACAGGGCATATGTGGCCTTATGGCCCCCAGGAAATATGGCTCTTTCCACAAGTGCTATGTCCACTCTCTTCACCAATCCTAAGATGTTAGTTCCACAGCACTGCCAGCATTGGGCTTTGTCTATTTCTTTCTTTCTTTGTCTTTTTTGAGAGGGGGTCTTGCTCTGTCATCCAGGCTGAAGTGCAGTGATGCAATTTTGGCTCACTGCAAATTCCACTTCCCAGGCTCAAGAGATCATTCCACCTCAGCCTCCCAAGTACCTGGGACTACAGGTGCACACCACCATGCCTGGCTACTTTTTTGTATTTTTGGTAGGGACAGGGTTTCTCTATGTTGCCCAGGCTGGCCTGGAACTCCTGAGCTCGAGCGATCCACCCGCCTCGGCCTCCCAGAGTGTTGGGATGGCAGGCGTGAGCCACTGCTCCTGGAGTGGACTTTATTTATTTCTATTTCTATTTCCTTTTCCTGTGTGGTGAAGTGATTGAAAACCATGCCTTATTTTGCAGGAAGAGATGGAAGGCTAGAAAGAGGAAGTAAATTGTTCAGGTAATAGTGAAATGATAGCAGGTCTAGAATATCACTCTCTTTACTCAAAGCCCAGAATTTCCAAATATCACAACTTCCTTTCTCTTTATACACTTTAGGGATTTTATTTATTTATTTATTATTATTTTTTGCCAAAGTGGAACTCCAGGTCAAAGGACTTTGTTGGTCTAGTGTCAAATTAGCTTTCAAGGTGTTGATCTAATCCATGGGGCCACCAGCACTCAAGGATATAGGTGCACAGCAATGCCAGCCTCATGTTGTAATCCTTTTATTCATTTTTGCTCCTCTGGTCAGTACACGAAGGCCTGTAAAGATCCTTTCTTTTATTTTTGAGATGGAGTCTCACTCTGTCGCCCAGGCTGGAGTGCAATGGCACAATCTCAGCTCACTGCAACCTCCGCCCCCCGGGTTCAAGCCATTCTCCTGCCCCAGCCGAGTAGCTGGGATTACAGGCACATGCCATCATGCCCGGCTAAGTTTTGTATTTTTAGTAGAGACAGGGTTTCACCATGTTGGCCAGGCTGGTCTCAAACTCCTGACCTCAGGTGATCCACCCGCCTCTGCCTCCCAAAGTGCTGGGATTACAGGCATGAGACACCACACCCAGCCAGGCCTATGAAAATCTTTAAGTGTAACTTTTCATTAAGTGCCATAGATCCCTCCTCTTTATAACATAAAGTCCTGTAAACTGCATGCAGGTCAGTTTGCCATAGGAATAATTTGTCTTTGCTGGAACATGCTGGGTGCTTGGCAGATGAGGAGATTGGAAGTGAACCACTGAGATGACTGATGAGCGTCCTCAGCAGGCTGTGTTGCAGGGGGAAGAGTGCAGGTTGTTTATAAGGCCTGGGTCGTGCCCCTGGCCACCATTTCCTGGCTTTGTGACTCCAGCTTTACTTCTCCTTCCCAGGGCTCAGTTTTCCTCTCCTTGAAGGGGATGAGTGGAACCAGCTCTGGACGCTGAGCTGCCTGGGTGTAAAGGCTTCCTGTAATGGGCAGAAGAGTGGATAGGAGGGCAGCAGGGGAGCTGGACCAAAAACATTATGTGATTTGCCGTGATCACAGAGGATTTTCTGGAAGTAGCTTGGGCACAATGTGTGCAAGGAGACAGAAGGATCTCGTGGTGGGGAATAGGACATTCACACGGCCTCCTCCATGGCTTACCTCACACAGCAGTTGTTAATTAGCCAAGAATTTGACAAACAGGCATTAAAGGCCTTCTGAATGTGACACACCACACCCAGCTAGAAGAATATTGCCAAAAATCATTAAAACTACTCTAATCATAGTCTGAGTCAGGCACATCCAGGTGGTGGAAGACTTTACAAAAAAAAAAAAAAAGTGAACCATTGCTTTCAATGACATTAAAGAAAATGAAAGGCAGTTGGGGAGCACTCCTAGATTAAAGGGGAGTCCAGAGATGAGATGTAAACCAAAAGGTATCTGAGACAGGTCTCCATCAACTTAGAAGCTTATTTTGCCAAGGTTAAGGACATAGAAAAAAACCATGCAATCATAGAAACAGTCTGTGGTCTGTGCCTTTTTCCAAAGATAATTTTGAGGGCTTCAATATTTAGGGTGGAAAAGCTGGCTGGCGGTGAAAGAAGGAGGGTGTGGTCGCATTACTGAATCCACATGGTGTAAGAGAAAGCAGGAGGTAGGGGAATAATCAATCACGTATTCATCTCACGCTGGGTAAATTGGCACCTTGAGAAAGATAAGGTGAATATGGCCGGGCGTGGTGGCTCACACCTGTAATCCCAGCACTTTGAAAGGCTGAGGTGGGAGGATCTCATCAGCCCAGGAATTTGAGACCAGCATGGACAACATGGCAAAACCCATCTCTACAAAAACACAAAAATTAGCTGGGTGTGGTGGTGGGTGCCTGTAGTCCCAGCTACTCGGGAGGCTGAGGTGACAGAATGACTTGAGCCCGGGAGACAGAGGTCGCAGTGAGCGAAGATTGTGCCACTGCACCCCAGCCTGGGAGACAAAGTATGACACTGTCTCAAAAAAAATAATAATTAAAAAATTTTTTTAAAAAAGATAAGGTGAACATGGAGTAGCTACCTAAGGAAATACTTAGCCGTTTCTCTGTAGCTGTCTGCTTAGGAACAAAAGGAAAGGCAGTTTCTTGCATGACTCAGCTTCCAGTTTTTTTTTTTCCTTCTGTCACAGTGAATTGGGGTCCTGAGTTTTTGTTTCTCTTTCATAAAGACAACACAGTGCAGTTCATGCTTGACCCCGGATGTTCTCCTGATCAGAAAGCAAAAACGCAATGAGAGATGTCATTGGGACAACAGAGGAAAACTGGAAATGGGCTTCCTATTAGACAGCAGTGCATCTGTGTAAACTACACGGGTCTGATCCTGGTCTGTGGTTACGTAGGACAAAGTCCTTAAGAATAATCTATATAGGCTGGGCGTGGTGGCTCACATCTGTAATCCTAGCACTTTGGGAGGCCGAGGCAGGTGGATCACCTGAGGTCAAGAGCTCAGGACCAGCCTGGTCAACATGGTGAAACCCTGTCTCTACTATAAATACAAAAATTAGCCGGACGTGGTGGCAGGCGCCTGTAATCCCAGCTACTCAGGAGGCTGGGACAGGAGAATTGCTTGAACCCAGGGGGCGGAGGTTGCAGTGAGCAGAGATCACGACACTTCACTCCAGCTTGGGTGAGAGAGCAAAACTGCACCTAAAAAAAAGAGGGAAAGAGAAAAAAAGAATAATCTATACTTTTAGAAAAATTTTATTTATTTATTTTTTGTGATGGAGCCTGGCTCTGTCACCCAGGTTGGAGTGCAGTGGTGTGATCTAGGCTCACTGCTGCAACCTCCACCACCAGCTTCAAGTGATTCTCCTGCCTCAGCCTCCCAAGTAGCTGGGATTACAGTTGTGTGTCATCATGTCCAGATAATTTTTATATTTTAGTAGAGACGGGGTTTCACCATGTTGGTCAGGCTGGTCTTGAATTCCTGACTTAAAGTGATCCTTCCAAAGTGCTGGGATTACAGGTGTGAGTCACTGTGCCCAGCCCCCTTAAGAATAATCTTAAGAAGGTTTTTGCCGAAGCACTTAGTGGTGAGAGTTACAATGTCTACTCCTTGTTTTTAAAATTTAAGAATATTTTAAAAGCATGTGTCGTGTGCGTATAAACAAATACAGTAAAATGTGAAGAGTGGGTGAATCCAGTGAAGGGGATACTTGTGTTTACTGTACTATCCTTGCAGCTTTTCTGCAGGTTTGAAATTTTTCTTTCTTTTTTTTTGAGACGGAGTCTTACTCTGTCATCCAGGCTGGAGTGCAATGGCGCAATCTCGGCTCACTGCAACCTCTGCCTCTTGGGTTCAAGCGATTCTCCTGTCTCAGCCTCCGGAGTAGCTGGGACTACAGGTGGCTGCCACTACACCGGGCTAATTTTTGTATTTTTTTTTTTTAAGTAGAGATGGGGTTTCACCATGTTGTCCAGGTTGGTTTCAAACTCCTGACTTCAATAGATCCACCCGCCTTGACCTCCCAAAGTGCTAGGATTACTGGCGTGAGTCACCGTGCCCAGCCTGAAAGTTTTCAAAATGAAAACACCGCAGGTCAGGAGTTTGAGACCAGCCTGAACAACATGATGAAACCCTGTCTCTATTGAAAATACAAAAATTAGCTGGGCATGGTGGCGCATGCCTGTAATCCCAGCTACTCAGGAGGGTGAGGCAGGGGAATCTCTTGAACCCAGCAGGCAGAGGTTGCAGTGAGCTGAGATCATGCCACTGCACTCCAGCCTGGGTGACAGAACAAGACTCTGTCTTAAAAAAAAATTTAGGGAATAAAAAGAAATAGCTGGTGGAATGCTTTGAAGTTAGGTAGGATAGGAGGTCCTTGACCCTCCCTGACCCTCCTGTGTGGACCAGACCCTGTGTGAGGTCCTGTTCAGGAATTTGAGATTGAGAGACAGACGGAGACAGTCACAGCCCAGGTGATTAGTAGGACAGAGACAGAGGTAAGGATCAGAGCTGGGGAAACCCCCAGGGGAAATACTCATTTCGGATATCATGAAGAGAAGTCTCAGTGGGGAGAGTGTGTTTTCAAGAGTATCTTCATGGAGGAAATATTTGTACTCAACAGGGGAGTCTTTATCTCCATGGAAAAAGCCCCACCCAGGTGCTCCAGAATCTGGCTTTGTCCTTGGTAGGTAAACATTGGAAGCAAATTCTGGCACTCTCTGGGCTTCTCAAACTTAGGGAACACGTTGGCTGCTCAAGAAGGAGAAACAAAAGGAACAAAAAGAAACAGAGAGCCCTTGGACTGCTTTGAGGACACATGGGATCAGAGGTTCTTGTCCCTCCCAACCCCTCTCTCCCCGCAAGCAGGGGGCTGAGGGGCCCAGACTTGATTCTAGCTTGACCACAGCTTGACTCAGAGATCTTGGTCAAGCTCATTCCCCTCTCTCAGCTCCTGCATCCTCTTCTACAAGACCAAGATGAGGAAGGAATTTCTGCGATTGTTGCACCTAACAGCAAAGAAAAGAGAAGAAAAAAAAACAGAAAACCCAGTACCGGCAGTGCTGCAGGTGAATGCCTTGGAGCTGTTAACTGGGGCGCTCTGTGGCATCAGTAATAACAGTTGTGTTTATCATTGTTTTTACTCTGTTCACGTTATGAAATTAAGTGACACACATGCATCCAGGCATGGTGTAGTGGTTAGGAACTGGCCCCTGGAATCCAGTGTGTCTCCAGCTCTGGAGTGGATAAGGCATATCCTACCCACATCCCCTTGGCCAGCTGGTGTTGGCTGAAAACATCTCACAGGTGCCCCTTCTCTAGAGAATTGCCCTTGAACAATGGGAGACCCTTGCCACAGGGACAGCACCCTCTTTACCTCTTCAGCTCCCTCCCACCCTCGCTCGCTATCGTGCCCCTCGCTCGCTCCATCCCTCCCCTGACTGCTCCCTGGCAGCCGCCCCGCCCCCCTTCCTTTCCATCCCTCCCCACTCACTCCCGATCCCTCCCACCGACCTCGGCCACCCGGGAATCCCCGCACCCCTCCTCTTCTAAGAGCAAACAGGACGGATTTCTGATATGAAATTACCATTAACTGGGTTATCCTGCATTCCTTTTCTATTCTGTTGCGTTTGGTTCAAGAAGTTCTCCTGCAGGGTTTTTGCTGTTTCCTCTTCCTAAGGGAGACTGAACTGTAACTTTCCACTTTCCTTGTCTGGTGTTATAAAGAGTCTAGGGAGATATTTTGCGCTTCTTTTATTGGAACAGCTTGTGAACACAGAAGTCTCCTGTTCTTGGAGGCTTAGTAGCACTTGCAGGTGAAGGCACTGGCTCGTTCCAGGGCACCCCCTCATTCCCTTGACCAATGAGTCTGCTTCTGTGTCTCCCCTCGGAAGGCCAGACTTTGTTGAAAGGTTCAGACTTGACCATGTCTGAGTCTACATTTGGCCTCAGCAGGCCCCTCCTCCACCCTGCCCACCCCCCACCCCCACTTGCCCCCCAAGACCCCTCCCTTTTTTTTTTCTGAGAAAGCGTCTCGCTGTGTTGACCAGGCTAGAGTGCAGTGGCGCAATCTCGGCTCACTGCAACCTCCGACTCCCAGGTTCAAGCGATTCTCCTGCCTCAGCGTCCCAAGTAGCTGGAACTGGAGGAGCCCACCACCACGCCCGGCTAATTTTTGTATTTTTAGTAGAGACAGAGTTTCACTATGTTGGCCAGGCTGGTCTTGAATTCCTGACCTCGTGATCCATCTGCCTCAGCCTCCCAAAGTGCTGGGATTACAGGTGTGAGCCACCACACCCAGCCAAGACCACTTTCTGTACCCAGCCCTGGGTGCCTCTACCCAGACCTCCTGATCTCTCTGCCTTCCTCTTTCATGGGTTACACTTATTTTCCCACATCCAGATCCCATGATGGGAGCTGCAGAAGGCCCCTTTGGGAAGGCTGAGCAGGTTGACTCCTGAGGCCAGCAAAAGTGGGGTGCAGAGAAGGTATCTGATCAAATCCAGTGCCGTCTCAGTGCCCCCTCACTCTGTCTGTCACTTCCCTAGACCCAGGATCCTTGAGGTGCCCAGTCTGCTTGTCTATGGAAGGCTGTCTGGAGGGGACAACAGAAGAGATCTGCCCCAAGGGGACCACACACTGTTATGATGGCCTCCTCAGGCTCAGGGGAGGTAAGCCTGGGACATCGGGGTCCCTGCGGGGACTGAACTGGAAGGTCTGGGGACTGAGATCTTAGTCTTTGGGGAGTGAGGGTGAGCTGAGGCACGGCATGAGACCCAGAGGATGGTGGGCCTGGCTTCCTGGAGCTATGCCTGCCTCTGAGGGTTGGGTGGTCCTGGAGGCAGCATCACTGACTCTCCCTCGCTCCCCCTTTCTGCAGGAGGCATCTTCTCCAATCTGAGAGTCCAGGGATGCATGCCCCAGCCAGTTTGCAACCTGCTCAATGGGACACAGGAAATTGGGCCCGTGGGTATGACTGAGAACTGCGATATGAAAGGTGAGTCCTGCCCCTAGGCTGTGCCCTGGACTGCAGCCTCGGGGCACGATGACACATGGGGCATCCAGAGCCATCACACCAAAGCCAGCAGGAGGAAGGTCAAGGGTGCAGGGTGGGTTGCTTGGCATGTGGCTTTAGGCAACAGTGAGTGCTGGGGCCCCTGCTGGCTCTCAAGCTGCTGAGAGTGACTGGTTGCTTCAATTTCTGTGTCTCCACACCCCTGGCCTTGGGTAACCCTAGGTCTCCCACTTCCCTAGGCCACCGTAGCCTCTCTCCCACCCGTATCAGCCCCCGCCCCGCTCATGGTGCTGGAGTGCCCCAGCAGCCTTGCCTGCACAGGAGAGAACATCAGAGAGAAAATCAAGGGGACTTTGGGTGTGACAGAGAAAGCAAGAGTTAAAGGAGGACACTGAGAGGGTCCCCACTTACCCATTTAGGTGCTGCCATGGAAGAGAGTGCCAGGGAATGTCTCCATAAGAAGGGCTCCAAAGCAACAGGAAGCCATGGTGGGGAGGTGGGGGTCTTATAGGAATCCCAGCTTCCCTCCTAGAAGCAAAGTCTTCCCTGCCCCTGCCTCAGTTTCCTTGTCTGCCCACATCACGCTAACCCTTAGAGCTTAGAAGAGAGAGTTGTGTGAGCTCTGCACACATTCCTCTGTGTATTTGGCTGTTTCTCCCTAGCTAGGCTGGGAGCCTGAGGCTAGGGGCTTGGTACCACTGGCACCAGGGTTTCCAGCCTTGGGTAGCTCAGGAGACGGCTCAGGAAGGGTACCAGGAGGTGTTTGCTCAAGTGAGGACATGCAGGGCTCACTTGAGCAAAGCTCCCTCATGAGTCAGACCCTGTTTCTACCTGAAGGGCCTCCAGGACTAGGAGGGGGAGGTGCTACAGACACAGATGGTCACAGCTTGAGGTGATCAGGGCTGTGGCAAACGGGGATGTGGGGCCTGGGGCAGCTCAGAGGAGGAAAATACTGATGTTGTTGGGGTAGAGAGTCAAGGAGGGCTTTACAGAGGAGGTGGCCTGTGAACCGTGTGTTAAAGATGACCTACAGCTTATTGGTAGAAGAGGAAGAGGACATTGGTGGCAGAGGGAACAGTGTGTAGCAGCTGCATAGGCCTGGAGGTGGGAGTGAGCCTGCTGTTTTCAAGAAGAGTCCCTCACTCCACCTGAGAAGGACTCATCAAGATGAGGGGGTACAGCTGGGATTGGGGGTGATTCGAAGTTTTCCAGGTGGACAAGGTGGGTGTGGGGTCGAAGAGGGAGCTGCTCCAAGCCAAAGGCACAGCAGGTGTGAGGCTGAGGAGGAAATGAACTGGCATGCCTTCAGAATGGATACTGGTGGGGGAGGAAGAGTTAAGTGGGGAACCTGGTGGTCGCTCAAGTACCTGAAAACCCAGGCTGAGGGGTGGACCCTCTCCTGAAGGCAGGGGAGCCATGGAAGATTGTGGAGCAGGGAGGGCAGGGTCTGAGCCATTTATCTTTCCTTTTGACTGATGCTGCTGTTAAGGATCTGGCCCTGGTCTCTGGGACCAGATGACACTGATAACCCAGAAGGTATTTCAGAAACAAATCAGACGCAACACATGCCACACACACAGCCCACAATAAGCACAGCAGACACGAATGCGTCACACCATGACACATACACACCACACATCACATACCACACACACACTCCCCCATACCCCTGACATACCACCTATGGAACACAAATCACACACAGAGCACACAATATGCACAACACACACAAATGCATCACACGAGTGCACAATTACTACGTGTACATGTAGTGTGTATGCCACATACTACACGTCAGGTACCACACACACTCTCCCTCTCAACATATCAGACATGCAATACATACCACACACAACACACAATACACACAACACATCTGGCATGCCACACACACCACATGCAAGCAAAACACAGATACACAGAACACACACCACACCAAACACACAAAACAAACACATACCACATATATCACACACAGTATGTCTACACATGCACGCACCACACAAACATACCATGAACACACCACACACCCCATACAACCACACCCCCCACATGTATACTACGCACTCACACACAGCACACATACCTGCACACATCACGCATGTGCACACACTACACAAACGCACCACATAAAACACAGCGACTATGCACCAATCAGTGCTGTTCATAGAGATTCATCTTCTGCTTTCAACACTGGAGCCAGATCTTGCAGGCTGTTTTGCCTCCCTGGTGAAGTGCAGTTCAGCAGTTTAGCAGACAGTGAGCATCACAAGACCAGGCATCAGAAACTGGGGGAACAACAAGACGTTGGGGACCAAGTGCAGGAGAGAAGAGGCTTCAGGGTGATGGAACCGCTTATAAGAAGCCGCAGCAGTGGGAGGGCTGGGTGCAAGGATGCAGGTTACTAAAAGGGGCCATGGCAGCAGCCCCTTGTGAAGAACCAAGGGGCCCGGGCAGATAAGGCCCTGGCTGCCCCTAGAGGAGCTGGGCAGCGGTCCCAGTGAGAGAGCAGGGAAGAGCCCACGTCTGAATCAGGGACACGTGGGTCCCAGGCCCAGCTCTGCCGCCGAAACAGCTTTCCAGCCTCAGCTTCACACGAGGATCAAAAGTCTCCATATCTCATGGAGCCTCTTTCCCTGGATTTGGGGAAGAGGAGGGGATGGTTGCAGACATGGGACGGAAGCAGATGCAAAGACCATGATGTGGGTGAGTGCCTGCCAGAAACACCTGTGCGGAGCAGAGTGATGGAGGGAGCAGGGAGGCGGCCGCGTCTTATCAGGCCTCCCGGGCCATTGGAAGGGCTTAGAATTTTATTCTCCAGAATGGGGACCTCCTGGAGTCTTCGGAGCAGAGGAGTGACATGAACTGACTTAGGTTTACCTAGCCTCCCTCTGCCTGCTGGGTGGAGAATGGAGCGAGAGGAACAGTGACAGGCGGGTGCAGGGATTGCCCCAGGAGTCAGGTGGGAGTGAAGCGGGGGGCTTGGAGGCAGCAGAGGTGGTGACGTGGGGTTGGGTTTTGAAGATTTTCTGCAGCTCAAGCCAGTAGGATTACTTGAGGAACACAATGTGGGAGAGAAAGAGCGTGGTCAAGGACAACACCAATGTGTTCAGCTAGACTGGCAGAAACGAGCCGCCACGGGTGTAAGTAGGGGAGATGGGAGTGGGGAGAGAAGGGTGGGAGAAGGGAGCAGGAGCCATGATTTTGATTTTGTCATCTGTGAAGTATGCAAATGAGCAGCCCTCCAGGGTGGCATCGGTTCTGCAGGTCGCATGTGTTGGTGGAAGCTGGGGGCTCAGTCTAAGAGTCCCTGCATCATGGGACCGATCCCCCCTGCTCTGTGATGGCCGTGAGGGGAGGCCAGGGGCTGTGGTTTCACACTAGAGCCTTGAGGGCCTCGGGGCCAAGGTAGCCGAGGATGGTCTTCAGTACCTGTCTCCCTCCTGCTCCCAACCCCGACCCTGAGGGTCCAGAGTCCCTGGGTTCCCAGCCTACCTCTGCCACTCACAAGCTGTGTGGCATGGGCAGCTACTGAGCAATCCTGCCTCTGTTTCCCTTGTTGCAAATGAGGGTGTTGATTGTGATCACACCACCTACTGCTGGGGTGCTGTGGGGAAATGAGGCATCCCAGATAAGCTGTGTTCCCTGGAACCTTAGATGGGTGGATCTGTGGGAAGCAATGAGGTCAGCCAGGTGCAGAGGCAGTGCTCAGCGGCAGTGCTCAGCCCACCCTGGCCCTTCGCATCTTGTTTGGAACATAGGGCTTTGCAACTGAAAGGTATGAGAAAGGTCTCAGGCTGCCTTCCTTATTATTGAAATGAGGACCTTAAAGCTCAGATGGGGAAGCAGAGATGGGCAGAGGCTCAGGAAGAGCTTCCATTGCTCTCACAGCTGAAGCAAGGAATGGCTGTTCTCACAGGGCTGTGAGAGGACGTCCCTGCGGGTGTTCAAGCAGAAACAGGGAACAATGGGGGTGGGGTTTGGACTCCCAAGTCCCTTCTGAATCCGTGGTTGAGGGACTCCGTGGCCAGGTCACCTGGAGTGTGACTCAAGAGCATGATCACCTTCCCTAGCCCAGGACGTGGAGGGACAGACATGGTGGGTTCCTGGCTTACACAGACCCTGGGTTTCCTCTCCCCAGATGTTCTGACCTGTCATCGGGGGACCACCTTGAAGAAGCAGGAAAACTTGAGTAAAGAACCCACTGATTGGGCCACATCTAATACCGAGACGTGCGAGGTGGGGCAGGTGTGTCAGGAGATGCTGCTGCTCATAGATGTAGGTACGTGGACTGAGGTAGAAGACGAACACCTGTCCCAAGTCCCTGGCAGCTCCCTCCACCCCACTGGATTCTTTCCCCTGAATTTCCTGCTCAGCTCCCTTCACATCTGCAATTTTCAATCCGACTCTTCTTCTCTCTGCATCTTGGGTTCCCCTTATGAAAACTGGGGGTGAAGCAGTGGGAATGACAGTGTCTGCCTTTCTGGGGAGGGGTGACCACGTATGCGGTAATCCCTGCCCAGGGTGGAGAACCGTGCCAACACCGAGGACTCTCAGTGGCTTCATACATTCTGGAAATGTTTATCCAGCATTTGTTTTAGGTGCCGCAGATCCAATCCCATCTGTATTCCTGCAGCTTTATATGCCTTGAGAAACAGGAAACAAACAAACAAAAAGCAGCAAAGTATGGGGAATGGAGATCCCAGCTCTGGAGAGAAATCTGGCAAGGAAAAGGAGATAGGAAAAGTGAGGGGAAGGCTGCAATTTTAAGCTCAGTGCTCAGGGGAGACTCATGGAGAAGGTGACGTTTGAGCGAGAACTGGGAGGAGGCAGAGCTTCGGGCAGGACCCAGGCCCCAGCCTCCGTCTTTGCCCCACACTAAACATGACCCAGCAGTTGTGATCAGGGCATTCACCCTCTGCCTGGGGGGTATTGTGAAGGGCAGGGAGTCCAGCTCTGGAGCCCCTGCTGCCCTGGGAGCTGCCCAGTCCCCAGCCCAGCTTTCCCTCTCACCCTCAGGACTCACATCAACCCTGGTGGCGACCTAAAGCTGCAGCGCTGTTGGGGCTCAAAATTCCCAGAAGACCACCATCCACTCAGCCCCTCCTGGGGTGCTTGTGGCCTCCTATACCCACTTCTGCTCCTCGGACCTGTGCAATAGTGCCAGCAGCAGCAGCGTTCTGCTGAACTCCCTCCCTCCTCAAGGTATGGGATCCAGGGCCGTGGAGAAATGAGGCCCAGACACACAGAGACTCTGGCCCAAGGTGGGCAGCTGCTCTGAGCACAAAGTCATGTACCCCCACCTTCCCTCTGCTCCCCAGCTGCCCCTGTCCCAGGAGACCGGCAGTGTCCTACCTGTGTGCAGCCCCTTGGAACCTGTTCAAGTGGCTCCCCCCGAATGACCTGCCCCAGGGGCGCCACTCATTGTTATGATGGGTACATTCATCTCTCAGGAGGTGAGTGCTGCAAGCAGGGCCCCAAGGATGAAGGCGCTGGTGTCCTGGGCTCCTGGGACTGAGGGAGAAGGGGCTGGGGGCCTGGACTCCTGGGTCTGAGGTAGGAGGGGCTGGGGGTCTGAGCTCCTGCGTTTGAGGGAGGAGGGTCTGGGGCCTGGACTCCTGGGTTTATGAATTTGGCTGGGCTGTACTCTGTGTCCTTTCTGACTTGGTCTTCTCCCTCTAGGTGGGCTGACCACCAGAATGAGCATTCAGGGCTGTGTGGCCCAACCTTCCAGCTCCTTGTTGAACCACACCAGACAAATTGGGATCTTCTCTGTGTGTGAGAAGGGTGATGAGCCGCCTCCTGCCTCTCAGCATGAGGGAGGTGGGGCTGGGGGCCTGGAGTGTCTCACTTGGGGGGTGGGGCTGGCACTGGCCCCAGCGCTGTGGTGGGGAGCGGTTTGCCCTTCCTGCTAACTCCATTTCCCCCACGATTCTTCACCGCTGCTCACCACCACACTCAACCGTCCCTTGTGCTTGTAACCTAATGGCCTTGGACACCAGATTATTTCCCCATCCTGTCCATGAATCATCTTCCCCACACATAATCATTCATATCTACTCACCTAATAGCAACACTGGGGAGAGCCTGGAGCAGCCGGACTTGCCCTGTGGGAGAGGGGACACTGGAGGAGTGGCTGCATGTGTCTGATAATAAAGACCCTGTGCTTTCTCCCAGTGCTGGGATTTCTCCATGTAAGGGGACAGCAGGACGCCCAGGGATCTAGCATGGTGGAGGAGAGGAACCTAATGAGAAAATGGCCATCCAAAGCCTGCCCTTCATTGGTCTGGTTCATGTCTCCAAACCAGCTTGGATGGTAGCAGAGACTTCAGGGTGCTCCAGCCAAACGTATTTGGGCATCACCATGACCTGGGAGGGGAAGATGCACTGAGATGTATGAGGCTTCCAGCCTAGCAGCCAGGGCCCTAGCACAAACAGGGGGCTGGCCCCATCTGAGCGACTGCAGGAGAGGTTAGTATAGTCATGCATTGCTTTACGACAGGGACGTGTCGTTAGAAATGTGTCGTTAGGTGATTTTATCACGAAAGGAACATTGTAGAGTGCACTTACACCAACCCAGATGGTACAGCCCAATACACACCCAGGATGGATGGTAGAGTTGACTGCTCCTAGGCTACAAGCCTGCAGTGCATGTTATGGTGTGAATACTGCAGGCATCGTAACACCACGGCAAGTATTTGTGCATCTATACACATCTAAACATAGAAAAGGTACAGCATAAATACACTATTGTCATCTCAGGAGACCACCGTTCTATACGCAATTCGTCACTGACCCAAACGTTGCTATGTAGCATCTGCCTATTGTGGGATAATTGACATAAGGGCTAAAGAGAACTCCAGAAAAAAATGGGTTAGCATTTTCCCAGAGCTGTTACCATTGGGTATCTCTTACCACCATAGCCCAAAAAGGGTGAGGAGAAGAGCCACTGCTGGAATCTGCAGACAGAGAGAGAGAGAGAGAGAGAGACATAGACAGAAAGAGACAGAGAGAGCTGGAGAGAGAGCCGGAGACAGAAAGAGAGAGATATTCAGAGAGGGTTGCCTAACAAGAGCTCCCATCTCAGGCTGAAAAACGCGTCCAGCCCGCAATGATACTGGGGAGGGAAGTGGGGAACTAAAATTCCAAACTGATGTCCTCACTCTGGTCTCCAGTTGAGGTTCCCCATTGACTGAACCCCCTAGAGGCCACAGAAGCAGGAGACTCCACTGGTCCAGCCCCCATAGATCTGCCATTCACAGTAGAGAACAGAGGAGAGGAAAGGGAAGAGGAGAAGAGAGTGAATCTGGAGAAGGAAACAGAACACGTCTAGCACCGTTCACTCCCTTGCCCCTCGGCATCCACCCTTTCCCTTTGTCCAGATGAAAATCAGAGTCCAGGACAGGCTCGGTGGCTCACGCCTGTAATGCCAGCACTTTGGGAAGCTGAGGTGGGAGGATCACTCGAGCCCAGGAGTTTGAGACCAGCCTGGGCAACATAGTGAAACTGCTTCTCTACAAAAAATACAAAAAATTAGCCGGGTGTGGTGGTGCGTGCCTGTCTGTAGTCCCAGTACTTTGGGAGGCCGAGGCGGGCAGATCATGAGGTCAGGAGATTGAGACCATCCTGGCTAATACCGTGAAATCCAGTCTCCACTAAGACAACAAAAAATTAGCCGGGTGTGGTGGTGCACGCCTGTGGTCCCAGCTACTGAGAAGGCTGAGTCCAGAAGGTCAAGGCTGCAGTGAGCCAAGACTGCACCACTGCACTCCAGCCTGGGGGACAGAGCGAGACCCTGTCTCAAGGGGGAAAAAATAATCAGAGTCCTCCGTACAGACGACACACAATTCCAGTCCTTCCCTCTGTCACAGTAACAGTGTGTGATGGTGACAGTGATGTCCTCCTCCCATTGTGCTGTGCACCAGTTCTTCGCCCACAATGAGAGGAAGATGGGGAAGAGATGGCTTCCAATACAGCTGCTGAGGTCCTGGGGGCGGGGCTGCTGGTGCTCAGAGCTGCTTTCTTCCAGTACATTCCACATTGTCCTCCCACCTCCAAAACCTCCTTTGGATGTTATTTGTTACCTGCAGTGTAACCCAAATCTTGATTCTTATGGAGAGTGAGTCTTGGATGGCCTTGTCTTTAGTGGGTTTCTATAGTTTTCCATGGAACAGGGCCCTGGCCAAGGAAATGTTACCGCCATGAGTTGCCTGCCTTCGAAAATAGCCTCCTTGTCCCAGCCACCCGACCTCCCTCTGTAATCAGATGCCATTCCCCCGACTGCAGAGTGACGTCTCCTTTGCCTGCTGTTTTGGCAGCACAAGGGGCACAGGATGGCTGGAGGGCTGTCATGGCTTCCTGCAGATCAGAACTAGGAAGAGATTCCTCATCCACAGCAGCCCAGGGCCACGGGGACAAAGAGCAAGCATTCTCTCAGTGGGCTGGCAGGTGCAGTCACGGGAGGGAGCCGCGCTTATTCTTCCTGTCTTTCCTGGATCTTTGCATCTGGCCCTGGGGCGCGTGACCCGATAGCCTGGTTGCTGGTTTATAAGATGTGTGGCCCCTCCTGTGGGTGGTGGGGTACGGTCTCCCTCCCGGTGCCCTGATAAGCCACACATGAGCCATTGCGCCAATCTGAGAAGCAGCTGTGTCTGTATAGAGGGGCACCTGAGACGGTCAGTGGGTTCCATGGGTGTGAGTTAATTACCCCCCATTCTTTGCGTTAACACGTGTCCCCAGTGGAAGCAACCCTGCATGGGTTCCAGAGCCACAGGAAAGGCGCTGTTCACAGAAGCACTGAGCAGGGTCCAGGGAAGGCCAACTGGAACCCCCAGTGTGTGCGTATCCGTGTGAGGACAAAGCCCAGTCCCCTCCAGGATGGGACGTGTCCTGTGTGGCCAGCCTATCTGCAGTGGCCGGGTAGTCCTCCTGTAAAATGACGCCTTCCAGGGGCTTAGCCCCGGGCTCTGCCTACACTGGGCAGGGCTGGGTACAGTGTGCAGCCAGGCCAGTGCTGGGAGACTCAGTCCACTTGTGGTAAGGTACGTCGCCGTCCTCCCTATCCATGTGGCCATCTGCACCTGGACCCCCTGAACAAGCTCTGAGGGACAGAGTCTGCCTGACACCATCCACCAAACACCAAGAACCTCATCCCCACAGCACAGGTTCTGGGCTTAAGGGTGGGGACGGCATAGCTCACACTTTGTGCCCATCCCCAGAGGAACATCCATGTGTCCTCCCTGTCTTAAGTTTACTCTTTTATTCTCTTCAAGTCCTTGACCATGTGGCCCGCTCTGGGTTCATGCAATGGACCCAAGTCCATCCCTCCTTGCAGAACCCCTGAGGTTCTGCCCATCTGAAGGATTTCCCTTCATCACTCCTCAGGACCACCTGAAGTGGGCACTAAGGCAGCCGCCGTCCACTTCTGCTGGGCGCCAGCTCACCGTGAGGACCCATCCATAAGCCTGGTCTGCACTTTCCTCCTCTGTATGAGGTCACAGGGCTTCCCAGGAGCTCACAGATGTGGTAGAGGGAGGGGCAGGAGGACAGGTGCCATGGGAGCCTGAGTCACTTGCAGTCGGGGGAACGGCATCTCATTACAGAGGGAGGTCAGGTGGCTGGGACAAGGAGGCTATTTTCGACCTTTGGGAATTACAGCTGAACGTGAGATTTGTGTTCGGACAGAGGAAAGCCATATCATTTGGCTTGTTTACACCTTTGGCTAGTGTGAATAATGCTGCTATGAACAAAGACATGCAGATACCTGCTGGGGCCCCTGCTCTCAGTTCTTTTCAGAATACACCAGAAGTAGAATTGCTGCATCGTGTGGTAAGTCTATGATTAATTTTTTGAGAAATGACCACAGTGGTTGTGCCATATTATATACCCACAAACACTGCACAAGCATTCCAATTTCTCCTCGCCAACACTTTGTTTTTTTTTTTTTTTTTTTTTTCAGAACTGCCATCAGAACAGATGTAAGGTGGTATCTCACTGTGGTTTTGATTTCCATTTTCCTAATGATAAGTGATGTTGACCAAATTTTATTTGCTTATTGGCCATTTATAAATTCATTTTACATTTCCTCCTTTGTAATGCCAGAGGTGGCACACTGTGCACTGTTCTGCTTCTTGTTTTTCTCACTGTGCAGTGTATCTTGGAAGTCTTTCCAAGTGGGTCGACAGAAGGATACTTCAATAAAAATGGGCAACACCGCTGGACAGCCATCAGAGCCATGAAGTCCCTGGCTTAGGGGAAGGCAGAAGGAGGGTGAGAAACAGAGAGATCGAGAAAGGCAGAGAGAGAATGGGGGCAGGGATGGAGAGAGAAAGAGAAAATGATAAAGACCCAGAGAGAGACAGAGTCAGAGATATATGGGGGTGGAGAGGGGAGATACAGAGAGAGGCAGAGAGGAAAGGGTACAGAGACACTAACACAGAGAGATGGAGGGAGGGGAGAGGCATGGACAGAGGGAGAACTCAGAGAGTCAGAGCCAGAGAAGTAAAAGGTGTGCCGTAGAGAGACACAGGGCAGGACTAGGGTGAGACAAGAGAGGACCCAAGCTTGTGGATCCTTGATTAAAAATCAATGGTGTTATAATAAGAAAGAAAAAGGAAAGAAAGAAAGAAAGAAAGAAGGAAGGAAGGAAGGAAGGAAGAAAGGAAGGAAGGGACCAAGTGAGAGGGAGACAAAGACAGAGAGAGACAGGGAGACACAGAGATGAAAAGACACAAAGTGAGCCAAAGACACACAGTGAGGAGGAGACAGAGCCAGAAACAGAGACCCAGTGCGGTGGAAAGAGAGAGGCAGACAGACAAGAGCAGCATCTTCAGGGCGACCCGATGCCCAGTGCCCCTGAACTGCTCCACGGGGAGGTGGCTGAGCGCACAGCCTGCATCCCATCCATCATTTCCTGGCCTTCGTGACTGGGTGACCGTGCACAATCCAGTCCCCGTCTCTGAGCCTCAGTTTCCACACTGTAAACCAGGCATAGATACACCACCTCAAGGGTGGTGGAGAGGGCTGGGCTGGCTGTTTCTGCTTAATGCCCCCTCATGTTTCACAAAGGACCCCATGAACTGTGATGAGAGTCACTGTTCATTATCATGACGGCTTCCAGTACTTACAGCAGTCAGCACTAATGTCATGCACATCATCAGCACTTGGCATGAATCCCCATTCATTACAGATCAGTATTAATTGAGTCGATGCTCTGTGCCCGATACTTGTACACTCATAACATGGATTGTTAATTTAATTGAGACAACCACAGTCTGAGGTCAGTGATATCACGATCATCTCCACTTTCCAGAGAGGAAGCTCTGCTGGTAAGGTGCGGAGCTGGGGTTCAAACCCAGGTGGTCTGGCTCCAGGGCCAGGTGTGCCCAGGAGCAGGGCTCTTCCTGGGTGTCCAAGGCCACCTTGTCTCCAGGAGTGTAACCGTGTTTCCAGCCACTGAAAACTTGGATCAAAGCCCAAAGTAAACTTTCCCTTTTCTGGCTTTGAGGTGTGGTGTTTAAATTCAGAGACATTCTCCAGGAAAGCAGAAACTTCTTGGCTAAAATCCAAACCTAGGGAATTTATTGCAGAGATGGGGACGTGGTTCTCATTTCTGCCCATCTCAGAGTACAGATTAATTAACTCAGAAGATTCAAAAGATTATATTTTCCATATTCCTTGCTGAACATAATATTATACCCTTTTCTCTCCAGTTTTATGCTTCTTTTTTTCTTGGTGCTAAAGAAATTGTAAACCTTTGTCTTAAAACTGGAGTCCCTTCCAACTGCTAGTGACAGAAATCCCAGCAAGATAAGAAGGAGCAAATGTCCCTGCTTCCTAGACAACTTGAGATGTATACAGATCCTATTCAGCATCCTACAATGTTCTTGCTTGACGCCCACAAAAACCTTTCATCCTGTACGGGGAAATCAGACTTGACTAAACTCATACTGGCTTTGAAGAAGTAAAATCAGGATTGATAAATTCATATACGGTAAATATCAGAGAGGTAGAAAGTAAACAATAGGTGATACAGGGAATACCCACAAATTAGGAAAGCAACGGGCCATTTAAACCACAATAGAATTATAAAAGAAATGAAGCACAGGCTCACGCCAGTAATCCCAGCACTTTGGGAGGCCAAGGCAGGCAGATCACCTGAGGTCAGGAGTTTGAGACCAGCCTGGCCAACATGACAAAACCCCATCTCTACTAAAAATACAAAAAAATTGCCGGTCGTGGTGGCGGGTGCCTGTAATCCCAGCTACTCGGGAGGCTGACGCAGGAGAATCGCTTGAAGCTAGGAGGCGGAGGTTGCAGTGAGCAAAGATCACGCCACTGCACTCCAGCCTGGGTAACAGAGCGAGACTCCATCTCAAAAAAAAAAAAAAAAATAGAAAGAAAGAAATGAACCACAGCACTTCCCAGTACATTACTCCAGTTGGAATTGCAAAATATTATTCTCGATAACTCCTGGATGAGTATATTTAGAGTATATTTAGAAACGAAAAAATGTAAGAGAGTCTATGTTTCAAATCTAGTGCATTATTTTATGGAGATTTTCACAAGCTCCAAAAGATTAACAGTGCAGAGCTGGAGGTTCTAGAGAAATTCCGCGCCTCCTCCTGCAGGTAACTCTGACCATTCGGAAAGCAGCTCTTGGCTCATCCCTGGGCCAAGTGCAATCAAGTTCAGGGCCGGGTGCTCTCTGAGCTACCAAACCATAACCTGGGGCATGCACAGCAGCCTCCAGCATCCACGGGACAGCTGAGCATGGGGTCAGGCTCAAGCAGGTCTGAGGCCAGCAAGTGACTCAGGCTCCCATGGCACCTGTCCTTCTGCCCCTCCCTCTACCACATCTGTGAGCTCCTGGGAAGCCCTGTGACCTCATACAGAGGAGGAAAGTGCAGACCAGGCTTATGGATGGGTCCTCACGGTGAGCTGGCGCCCAGCAGAAGTGGACGGCGGCTGCCTTAGTGCCCACTTCAGGTGGTCCTGAGGAGTGATGAAGGGAAATCCTTCAGATGGGCAGAACCTCAGGGGTTCTGCAAGGAGGGATGGACTTGGGTCCATTGCATGAACCCAGAGCGGGCCACATGGTCAAGGACTTGAAGAGAATAAAAGAGTAAACTTAAGACAGGGAGGACACATGGATGTTCCTCTGGGGATGGGCACAAAGTGTGAGCTATGCCGTCCCCACCCTTAAGCCCAGAACCTGTGCTGTGGGGATGAGGTTCTTGGTGTTTGGTGGATGGTGTCAGGCAGACTCTGTCCCTCAGAGCTTGTTCAGGGGGTCCAGGTGCAGATGGCCACATGGATAGGGAGGACGGCGACATACCTTACCACAAGTGGACTGAGTCTCCCAGCACTGGCCTGGCTGCACACTGTATCCAGCCCTGCCCAGTGTAGGCAGAGCCCGGGGCTAAGCCCCTGGAAGGCGTCATTTTACAGGAGGACTACCCGGCCACTGCAGATAGGCTGGCCACACAGGACACGTCCCATCCTGGAGGGGACTGGGCTTTGTCCTCACACGGATACGCACACACTGGGGGTTCCAGTTGGCCTTCCCTGGACCCTGCTCAGTGCTTCTGTGAACAGCGCCTTTCCTGTGGCTCTGGAACCCATGCAGGGTTGCTTCCACTGGGGACACGTGTTAACGCAAAGAATGGGGGGTAATTAACTCACACCCATGGAACCCACTGACCGTCTCAGGTGCCCCTCTATACAGACACAGCTGCTTCTCAGATTGGCGCAATGGCTCATGTGTGGCTTATCAGGGCACCGGGAGGGAGACCGTACCCCACCACCCACAGGAGGGGCCACACATCTTATAAACCAGCAACCAGGCTATCGGGTCACGCGCCCCAGGGCCAGATGCAAAGATCCAGGAAAGACAGGAAGAATAAGCGCGGCTCCCTCCCGTGACTGCACCTGCCAGCCCACTGAGAGAATGCTTGCTCTTTGTCCCCGTGGCCCTGGGCTGCTGTGGATGAGGAATCTCTTCCTAGTTCTGATCTGCAGGAAGCCATGACAGCCCTCCAGCCATCCTGTGCCCCTTGTGCTGCCAAAACAGCAGGCAAAGGAGACGTCACTCTGCAGTCGGGGGAATGGCATCTGATTACAGAGGGAGGTCGGGTGGCTGGGACAAGGAGGCTATTTTCGAAGGCAGGCAACTCATGGCGGTAACATTTCCTTGGCCAGGGCCCTGTTCCATGGAAAACTACAGAAACCCACTAAAGACAAGGCCATCCAAGACTCACTCTCCATAAGAATCAAGATTTGGGTTACACTGCAGGTAACAAATAACATCCAAAGGAGGTTTTGGAAGTGGGAAGACAATGTGGAATGTACTGGAAGAAAGCAGCTCTAAGCACCAGCAGCCCCGCCCCCAGGACCTCAGCAGCTGTATTGGAAGCCATCTCCTCCCCATCTTTCTCTCATTGTGGGTGAAGAACTGGTGCCCAGCACAATGGGAGGAGGACATCACTGTCACCATCACACACTGTTACTGTGACAGAGGGAAGGACTGGAATTGTGTGTCATCTGTACGGAGGACTCTGATTTATTTTTCCCCCTTGAGACAGGGTCTTGCTCTGTCGCCCAGGCTGGAGTGCAGTGGTGCAGTCTTGGCTCACTGCAGCCTTGACCTCCTGGACTCAGCCTTCTGAGTAGCTGGGACCAGTAGAGGGAGGGGGCGCACACCACCACACCCGGCTTATTTTTTGTATTTTTTTGTAGAGAAGCGGTTTCACTATGTTGCCCAGGCTGGTCTCAAACTCCTGGGCTCAAGTGATCCTCCCACCTCGGCTTCCCAAAGTGCTGGCATTATAGGCGTGAGCCACCGAGCCCGTCCTGGACTTTGATTTTCATTTGGACAAAGGGAAAGGGTGGATGCCGAGGGGCAAGGGAGTGAACGGTACTAGACGTGTTCTGTTTCCTTCTCCAGATTCGCTCTCTTCTCCTCTTCCCTCTCCTCTCCTCTGTTCTGTAGTGTGAATGGCAGATCTATGGGGGCTGGACCAGTGGAGTCTCCTGCTTCTGTGGCCTCTAGGGGGTTCAGTCAATGGGGAACCTCAACTGGAGACCAGAGTGAGGACATCAGTTTGGAATTTTAGTTCCCCACTTCCCTCCCCAGTATCATTGTGGGCTGGACGCGTTTTTCAGCCTGAGATGGGAGCTCTTGTTAGGCAACCCTCTCTGAATATCTCTCTCTTTCTGTCTCCGGCTCTCTCTCCAGCTCTCTCTGTCTCTTTCTGTCTATGTCTCTCTCTCTCTCTCTCTCTCTGTCTGCAGATTCCAGCAGTGGCTCTTCTCCTCACCCTTTTTGGGCTATGGTGGTAAGAGAGACCCAATGATAACAGCTCTGGGAAAATGCTAACCCATTTTTTTCTGGAGTTCTCTCAAGCCCTCATGTCAATTATCCCACGATACGCAGATGCTACATAGCAACGTTTGGGTCAGCGACGAATTGCGTATAGAACGGTGGTCTGCTGAGATGACAATAGTGTATTTATGCTGTACCTTTTCTATGTTTAGATGTGTGTAGATGCACAAATACTTGCCGTGGTGTTAAGATTGCCTGCAGTATTCACACCATAACATGCACTGCAGGCTTGTAGCCTAGGAGCAGTCGACTCTAGCGTCCATCCTGGGTGTGTATTGGGCTGTACCATCTGGGTTGGTGTAAGTGCACGCTACAATGTTCCTATGGTCATAAAATCACCTAACGACACATTTCTAACGACACGTCCCTGTCGTTAAGCAATGCATGACTGTACTAACCTCTCCTGCAGTTGCTCAGATGGGGCGAGCCTCCTGTTTGTGCTAGGGCCCTGGCTGCTAGGCTGGAAGCCTCATACGTCTCAGTGCATCTTCCCCTCCCAGGTCATGGTGATGCCCAAATACGTTTGGCTGGAGCACCCTGAAGTCTCTGCTACCATCCAAGCTGGTTTGGAGACGTGAACCAGACCAATGAAGGGCAGGCTTTAGATGGTCATTTTCTCATTAGGCTCCTCTCCTCCCCCACGCTAGATCCCTGGGTGTCCTGCTGCCCCCTCACATGGAGAAATCCCAGCACTGGGAGAAAGGACAGGGTCTGTATTATCAGATACATGCAGCCACTCCTCCAGCGTCCCCTCTCCCATAGGGCAAGTCCGGATGCTCCAGGCTCTCCCCAGTGTTGCTGTTAGGTGAGTAGATATGAATGATTGTGTGTGGGGAAGATGATTCATGGACAGAATGGGAAAGAATCTGGTGTCCAAGGCCATTAGGTTATGAGGTCAGAGGGAGGTTGAGTGTGGGTGGTCAGCAGCGGTGAAGAATCGTGGGGGTAATAGAGTTAGCAGGAAGGGCAAACCACTCCCCACCACAGCGCTGGGGCCAGTGCCAGCCCCACCCCCCAAGTGAGAGACTCCAGGCCCTCAGCCCCACCTCCCTCATGCTGAGAGGCAGGAGGCTGCACATCACGCTTCTCACGCGCAGAGAAGATCCCGATTTGTCTGGTGTGGTTCAACAAGAAGCTGGAAGGTTGGGCCACGCAGCCCTGAATGCTCATTTTGGTGGACAGCCCACCTAGAGGGAGAAGACCAAGTCAGAAAGGACACAGAGTACAGCCCAGCCAAGTTGTAAACCCAGGAGTCCAGGCCCCAGACCCTCCTCCCTCAGACCGAGGAGCCCAGACCCCCAGCTCCAGCTCCTCAGACCCAGGGGTCCAGGCCCCCAGCCCCTCCTCCCTCAGACCCAGGAGTCCAGGCCCCCAGTCCCTCCTACCTCAGACCCAGGAGTCCAGAGCCTCAGCTCCTCAGACCCAGGAGCCCCGGCCCCCAGCCCCTCCTCCCTCAGACCAGGAGTCCAGGCACCCAGCCCCTCCTCCCTGGGACCAGGAGCCCAGGCCCCCAGCGCCTCCTCCCTCAGACCAGGAGTCCAGGCCCCCAGCCCCTCCTCCCTCGGACCAGGAGTCCAGGCCCCCAGCGCCTCCTCCCTCGGACCAGGAGTCCAGGCCCCCAGCCCCTCCTCCCTCAGACCCAGGAGTCCAGGCCACCAGTGCCTTCATCCTTGGGGCCCTGCTTGCAGCACTCACCTCCTGAGAGATGAATGTACCCATCATAACAATGAGTGGCGCCCCTGGGGCAGGTCATTCGGGGGGAGCCACTTGAACAGGTTCCAAGGGGCTGCACACAGGTAGGACACTGCCGGTCTCCTGGGACAGGGGCAGCTGGGGAGCAGAGGGAAGGTGGGGGTACATGACTTTGTGCTCAGAGCAGCTGGCCACCTTGGGCCAGAGTCTCTGTGTGTCTGGGCCTCATTTCTCCACGGCCCTGGATCCCATACCTTGAGGAGGGAGGGAGTTCAGCAGAACGCTGCTGCTGCTGGCACTATTGCACAGGTCCGAGGAGCAGAAGTGGGTATAGGAGGCCACAAGCACCCCAGGAGGGGCTGAGTGGATGGTGGTCTTCTGGGAATTTTGAGCCCCAACAGTGCTGCAGCCTTTTGTCCCCACCAGGGTTGATGTGAGTCCTGAGGGTGAGAGGGAAAGCTGGGCTGGGGACTGGGCAGCTCCCAGGGCAGCAGGGGCTCCAGAGCTGGACTCCCTGCCCTTCACAATACCCCCCAGGCAGAGGGTGAATGCCCTGATCACAACTGCTGGGTCATGTTTAGTGTGGGGCAAAGACGGAGGCTGGGGCCTGGGTCCTGCCCGAAGCTCTGCCTCCTCCCAGTTCTCGCTCAAAGGTCACCTTCTCCATGAGTCTCCCCTGAGCACTGAGCTTAAAATTGCAGCCTTCCCCTCACTTTTCCTATCTCCTTTTCCTTGCCAGATTTCTCTGCAGAGCTGGGATCTCCATTCCCCATACTTTGCTGCTTTTTGTTTGTTTGTTTCCTGTTTCTCAAGGCATATAAAGCTGCAGGAATACAGATGGGATTGGATCTGCGGCACCTAAAACAAATGCTGGATAAACATTTCCAGAATGTATGAAGCCACTGAGAGTCCTCGGTGTTGGCACGGTTCTCCACCCTGGGCAGGGATTACCGCATACGTGGTCACCCCTCCCCAGAAAGGCAGACACTGTCATTCCCACTGCTTCACCCCCAGTTTTCATAAGGGGAACCCAAGATGCAGAGAGAAGAAGAGTCGGATTGAAAATTGCAGATGTGAAGGGAGCTGAGCAGGAAATTCAGGGGAAAGAATCCAGTGGGGTGGAGGGAGCTGCCAGGGACTTGGGACAGGTGTTCGTCTTCTACCTCAGTCCACGTACCTACATCTAGGAGCAGCAGCGTCTCCTGACACACCTGCCCCACCTCGCACATCTCGGTATTCGATGTGGTCCAATCAGTGGGTTCTTGAGCCAAGTTTCCGTGTGTCATAATGGTGGTCCCCCGATGACAGGTCAGAAAATCTGGGGAGAGGAATCCCAGGGTGTGTGTAAGCCAGGAACCCACCATGTCTGTCCCTCCACGTCCTGGGCTAGGGAAGGTGATCACACTCTTGAGTCACACTCCAGGTGACCTGGCCACAGATTCCCTTAACCAAGGATTCAGAAGGGACTTGGGAGTCGAAATCCCACCCCCATTGTTCCCTGTTTCTGCTTGAACACCCGCAGGGACGTCCTCTCACAGCCCTGGGGGAACGGCCGTTCCTTGCTTTAGCTGTGAGAGCAATGGAAGCTCTTCCTTATCCTCATCCCATCTCTGCTTCCCCATCTGAGCTTTAAGGTCCTCATTTCAATAATAAGGAAGGCAGCCTGAGACCTTTCTCATACCTTTCAGTTGCAAAGCCCTATGTTCCAAACAAGATGCGAAGGGCCAGGGTGGGCTGAGCACTGCCGCTGAGCACTGCCTCTGCACCTGGCTGACCTCATTGCTTCCCACAGATCCACCCATCTAAGGTTCCAGGGAACACAGCTTATCTGGGATGCCTCATTTCCCCACAGCACCCCAGCAGTAGGTGGTGTGATCACAATCAACACCCTCATTTGCAACAAGGGAAACAGAGGCAGGATTGCTCAGTAGCTGCCCATGCCACACAGCTTGTGAGTGGCAGAGGTAGGCTGGGAACCCAGGGACTCTGGACCCTCAGGGTCGGGGTTGGGAGCAGGAGGGAGACAGGTACTGAAGACCATCCTCGGCTACCTTGGCCCCGAGGCCCTCAAGGCTCTAGTGTGAAACCACAGCCCCTGGCCTCCCCTCACGGCCATCACAGAGCAGGGGGGATCGGTCCCATGATGCAGGGACTCTTAGACTGAGCCCCCAGCTTCCACCAACACATGCGACCTGCAGAACCGATGCCACCCTGGAGGGCTGCTCATTTGCATACTTCACAGATGACAAAATCAAAATCATGGCTCCTGCTCCCTTCTCCCACCCTTCTCTCCCCACTCCCATCTCCCCTACTTACACCCGTGGCGGCTCGTTTCTGCCAGTCTAGCTGAACACATTGGTGTTGTCCTTGACCACGCTCTTTCTCTCCCACATTGTGTTCCTCAAGTAATCCTACTGGCTTGAGCTGCAGAAAATCTTCAAAACCCAACCCCACGTCACCACCTCTGCTGCCTCCAAGCCCCCCGCTTCACTCCCACCTGACTCCTGGGGCAATCCCTGCACCCGCCTGTCACTGTTCCTCTCGCTCCATTCTCCACCCAGCAGGCAGAGGGAGGCTAGGTAAACCTAAGTCAGTTCATGTCACTCCTCTGCTCCGAAGACTCCAGGAGGTCCCCATTCTGGAGAATAAAATTCTAAGCCCTTCCAATGGCCCGGGAGGCCTGATAAGACGCGGCCGCCTCCCTGCTCCCTCCATCACTCTGCTCCGCACAGGTGTTTCTGGCAGGCACTCACCCACATCATGGTCTTTGCATCTGCTTCCGTCCCATGTCTGCAACCATCCCCTCCTCTTCCCCAAATCCAGGGAAAGAGGCTCCATGAGATATGGAGACTTTTGATCCTCGTGTGAAGCTGAGGCTGGAAAGCTGTTTCGGCGGCAGAGCTGGGCCTGGGACCCACGTGTCCCTGATTCAGACGTGGGCTCTTCCCTGCTCTCTCACTGGGACCGCTGCCCAGCTCCTCTAGGGGCAGCCAGGGCCTTATCTGCCCGGGCCCCTTGGTTCTTCACAAGGGGCTGCTGCCATGGCCCCTTTTAGTAACCTGCATCCTTGCACCCAGCCCTCCCACTGCTGCGGCTTCTTATAAGCGGTTCCATCACCCTGAAGCCTCTTCTCTCCTGCACTTGGTCCCCAACGTCTTGTTGTTCCCCCAGTTTCTGATGCCTGGTCTTGTGATGCTCACTGTCTGCTAAACTGCTGAACTGCACTTCACCAGGGAGGCAAAACAGCCTGCAAGATCTGGCTCCAGTGTTGAAAGCAGATGAATCTCTATGAACAGCACTGATTGGTGCATAGTCGCTGTGTTTTATGTGGTGCGTTTGTGTAGTGTGTGCACATGCGTGATGTGTGCAGGTATGTGTGCTGTGTGTGAGTGCGTAGTATACATGTGGGGGGTGTGGTTGTATGGGGTGTGTGGTGTGTTCATGGTATGTTTGTGTGGTGCGTGCATGTGTAGACATACTGTGTGTGATATATGTGGTATGTGTTTGTTTTGTGTGTTTGGTGTGGTGTGTGTTCTGTGTATCTGTGTTTTGCTTGCATGTGGTGTGTGTGGCATGCCAGATGTGTTGTGTGTATTGTGTGTTGTGTGTGGTATGTATTGCATGTCTGATATGTTGAGAGGGAGAGTGTGTGTGGTACCTGACGTGTAGTATGTGGCATACACACTACATGTACACGTAGTAATTGTGCACTCGTGTGATGCATTTGTGTGTGTTGTGCATATTGTGTGCTCTGTGTGTGATTTGTGTTCCATAGGTGGTATGTCAGGGGTATGGGGGAGTGTGTGTGTGGTATGTGATGTGTGGTGTGTATGTGTCATGGTGTGACGCATTCGTGTCTGCTGTGCTTATTGTGGGCTGTGTGTGTGGCATGTGTTGCGTCTGATTTGTTTCTGAAATACCTTCTGGGTTATCAGTGTCATCTGGTCCCAGAGACCAGGGCCAGATCCTTAACAGCAGCATCAGTCAAAAGGAAAGATAAATGGCTCAGACCCTGCCCTCCCTGCTCCACAATCTTCCATGGCTCCCCTGCCTTCAGGAGAGGGTCCACCCCTCAGCCTGGGTTTTCAGGTACTTGAGCGACCACCAGGTTCCCCACTTAACTCTTCCTCCCCCACCAGTATCCATTCTGAAGGCATGCCAGTTCATTTCCTCCTCAGCCTCACACCTGCTGTGCCTTTGGCTTGGAGCAGCTCCCTCTTCGACCCCACACCCACCTTGTCCACCTGGAAAACTTCGAATCACCCCCAATCCCAGCTGTACCCCCTCATCTTGATGAGTCCTTCTCAGGTGGAGTGAGGGACTCTTCTTGAAAACAGCAGGCTCACTCCCACCTCCAGGCCTATGCAGCTGCTACACACTGTTCCCTCTGCCACCAATGTCCTCTTCCTCTTCTACCAATAAGCTGTAGGTCATCTTTAACACACGGTTCACAGGCCACCTCCTCTGTAAAGCCCTCCTTGACTCTCTACCCCAACAACATCAGTATTTTCCTCCTCTGAGCTGCCCCAGGCCCCACATCCCCGTTTGCCACAGCCCTGATCACCTCAAGCTGTGACCATCTGTGTCTGTAGCACCTCCCCCTCCTAGTCCTGGAGGCCCTTCAGGTAGAAACAGGGTCTGACTCATGAGGGAGCTTTGCTCAAGTGAGCCCTGCATGTCCTCACTTGAGCAAACACCTCCTGGTACCCTTCCTGAGCCGTCTCCTGAGCTACCCAAGGCTGGAAACCCTGGTGCCAGTGGTACCAAGCCCCTAGCCTCAGGCTCCCAGCCTAGCTAGGGAGAAACAGCCAAATACACAGAGGAATGTGTGCAGAGCTCACACAACTCTCTCTTCTAAGCTCTAAGGGTTAGCGTGATGTGGGCAGACAAGGAAACTGAGGCAGGGGCAGGGAAGACTTTGCTTCTAGGAGGGAAGCTGGGATTCCTATAAGACCCCCACCTCCCCACCATGGCTTCCTGTTGCTTTGGAGCCCTTCTTATGGAGACATTCCCTGGCACTCTCTTCCATGGCAGCACCTAAATGGGTAAGTGGGGACCCTCTCAGTGTCCTCCTTTAACTCTTGCTTTCTCTGTCACACCCAAAGTCCCCTTGATTTTCTCTCTGATGTTCTCTCCTGTGCAGGCAAGGCTGCTGGGGCACTCCAGCACCATGAGCGGGGCGGGGGCTGATACGGGTGGGAGAGAGGCTACGGTGGCCTAGGGAAGTGGGAGACCTAGGGTTACCCAAGGCCAGGGGTGTGGAGACACAGAAATTGAAGCAACCAGTCACTCTCAGCAGCTTGAGAGCCAGCAGGGGCCCCAGCACTCACTGTTGCCTAAAGCCACATGCCAAGCAACCCACCCTGCACCCTTGACCTTCCTCCTGCTGGCTTTGGTGTGATGGCTCTGGATGCCCCATGTGTCATCGTGCCCCGAGGCTGCAGTCCAGGGCACAGCCTAGGGGCAGGACTCACCTTTCATATCGCAGTTCTCAGTCATACCCACGGGCCCAATTTCCTGTGTCCCATTGAGCAGGTTGCAAACTGGCTGGGGCATGCATCCCTGGACTCTCAGATTGGAGAAGATGCCTCCTGCAGAAAGGGGGAGCGAGGGAGAGTCAGTGATGCTGCCTCCAGGACCACCCAACCCTCAGAGGCAGGCATAGCTCCAGGAAGCCAGGCCCACCCTCCTCTGGGTCTCATGCCGTGCCTCAGCTCACCTCACTCCCCAAAGCCTAAGATCTCAGTCCCCAGACCTTCCAGTTCAGTCCCCACAGGGACCCCGATGTCCCAGGCTTACCTCCCCTGAGCCTGAGGAGGCCATCATAACAGTGTGTGGTCCCCTTGGGGCAGATCTCTTCTGTTGTCCCCTCCAGACAGCCTTCCATAGACAAGCAGACTGGGCACCTCAAGGATCCTGGGTCTAGGAAAGTGACAGACAGAGTGAGGGGGCACTGAGAGGGCACTGGATTTGATCAGATACCTTCTCTGCACCCCACTTTTGCTGGCCTCAAGAGTCAACCTGCTCAGCCTTCCCAAAGGGGCCTTCTGCAGCTCCCATCATGGGATCTGGATGTGGGAAAATAAAGAAGTGTAATCCATAAAAGAGGAAGGGAGAATGAACAGGAGGTCTGGGTAGAGGCACCCAGGGCTGGGTACAGAAAGTGGTCTTGGCTGGGTGTGGTGACTCACACCTGTAATCCCAGCACTTTGGGAGGCTGAGGCAGGTGGATCACGAGGTCAGGAGTTCAAGACCAGCCTGGGCAACATAGTGAAACCCTGTCTCTACTAAAAATACAAAAATTAGCCGGGCGTGGTGGCAGGCTCCTCTAGTCCCTGCTACGTGGGAGGCTGACGCAGGAGAATCGCTTGAACCCGGGAGTCGGAGGTTGCAGTGAGCCGAGATTGCGCCACTGCACTCCAGCCTGGTCGACACAGCGAGACGCTTTCTCAGAAAAAAAAAAAAAAAAAAAAAAAAAGAAAAGAAAAGGGGGGGTGTCTTGGGTGGCAAGTGGGGGTGGGGGGTGGGCAGGGTGGAGGAGGGGCCTGCTGAGGCCAAATGTAGACTCAGACATGGTCAAGTCTGAACCTTTCAACAAAGTCTGGCCTTCCGAGGGGAGACACAGAAGCAGACTCATTGGTCAAGGGAATGAGGGGGTGCCCTGGAACGAGCCAGTGCCTTCACCTGCAAGCGCTACTAAACCTCCAAGAACAGGAGACTTCTGTGTTCACAAGCTGTTCCAATAAAAGAAGCGCAAAATATCTCCCTAGACTCTTTATAACACCAGACAAGGAAAGTGGAAAGTTACAGTTCAGTCTCCCTTAGGAAGAGGAAATAGCAAAAACCCTGCAGGAGAACTTCTTGAACCAAACGCAACAGAATAAAAAAAGAATGCAGGATAACCCAGTTAATGGTGATTTCATATCAGAAATCCGTCCTGTTTGCTCTTAGAAGAGGAGGGGTGCGGGGATTCCCGGGTGGCAGGTCGGTGGGAGGGATCGGGAGTGAGTGGGGAGGGATGGAAAGGGAGCGGGGCGGGGCGATGGTCAGGGAGCAGTCAGGGGAGGGATGGAGCCAGCGAGGGTCGGGATAGCGAGCGAGGGTGGGAGGGACTCCGTAACAGCCCCTCTGTGCTCAGCGGATCCCCTTCTAGCAGCCCCTCCCTCTCCTCCCGACCCTCCCGCAGGCACCTGCTGGGGGCTGTGGGGCCCAAAGCGGGAGGGAGTTAACGAGGTTGTTGCAGAAGTCCTCCTGGCGGCACACGAAGGTGTAGGAGATCAGGGAGAGGCCGGGGCCCATCCGGTGCTCAGTGACGCGGGGCTCCTGGTCCTTGGCCTCCGTGCAGCCCTTGGAGAGCACCAGGCTCACTTGGGGTCCTGGACCGAAAGAGGGAGGCAAGCGAGGATGGAGGTCAGGCCTCCAGGGTCCTGGAGGGAGACGCTGCTACACGGCGTAGGCTGAGAGGCTGGAAAGGGGATCACCGGGACCCTAGGAGTCGATCCCCCGGAGGGGTGGCTCCCGGGTCCCTGCACAGGGATCAAGGGACTGAGGGGACAGGGCGGGGTCTCTGCACGCCAGGGCCTTCTCACCGCTCTCAATGAGCATCAACGTGTCCTGGCACCCCAAGCCGCTGTCGCAGCTGGTGTTCTTAGGGGTCCATTGCCGGGGCAGGTCGGACACCTTCCACACATGCTGAACTGTCCCAAACTGGCAGAGCAGCGCCTGCACTCCTGGAGTGGCAAGAGCAAATCCATCTCAGCAGGGTTCCCTTGCCCGGCCTCCAGGGAATCTCCTCCAGGCTGGGCTCATCACTCACCTGGCAGTGGGAGGATGAACCCCAGGAGGGCCAGCAGTAATACCGCGCTCATGACCCGTCTGTGGCTGGTAATCTCTTTCTGCTTTTTCAGCAGGAAACAAGTCCTTTATACCAGCCCTTAAGCAGCCAGCCCAGAAAAGGGTGGGGAGGGGAGGGCCTTGCAAAATGGAGGCTTGGGCCCCACCCCAAGTCTCAATGGCCGCAGTGGCCTATCAGGGACCCCCTTTCTTCCTCAGACCTTCGGGTCCAGGCATCCAGCCCCTCCTCCCTCAGATGGAGGGTCCAGGACCCCCAGCCCCTCAGCCCCTCCTCCTTCAGACCCAGGAGTCCAGACCCCCAGCCCCTCCGCCCTCAGACCCAGGAGTCCAGGCCCCCAGTCCCTCCTCCCTCAGACCCAGGAGTCCAGGCCCCCAGTGCCTCCTCCCTCAGACCCAGGAGTCCAGCCCCCCAGCCCCTCCTCCCTCAGACCCAGGAGTCCAGGCCCCAGGCCTCCCTCTCTCAGACCCAGGAGTCCAGGCCCCGAGGCCCTCCTCCCTCCGACCCAGGAGTCCAGACCCCCAGGCCCTCCTCCCTCAGACCCAGGAGTCCAGGCCCCCAGGCCCTCCATAGTTAGAAACTGTGGCATCTTGACCCGAGGTTCCCCCGGTCCAGACTCCCAGCCCTCTTTCCTCCTGAGCCCAGCTATGTGGATCACCACCCCCACCCTCTTTCTCCAGTAGTTTGGGAAGGCAGTTTCCTCATTTCTCATGGGCTCCCTGGCCACCTCTGTACCCCAGATGGGGAAATGGCCCAACTACCTGTGAGGACGTTGTGCAGTGGGCATCAGCTTGTCCCCATGTCTTCCGGTCCTAGTTTCTACCCTCCACTGTCTTCCCACTTCTCTGTTCTTTCTCTTTCCTTCTTATATTGCTTTCTTTTGATTCTTCTTTTCATGCTTTTCTCTCATGCTTTCTCTTCTATTCTCTACCCTCACAGTACAACATAGGACTCAAGTCCCCAGTTTCCTACCACCAGGAAAGGCTTGGCCAGAGGTGGAGTAGAGACTGAATATCTATGAAAGAATTAGGATATATCTGAAAAATGCAACATTTATTTGCTGGAAGCCGATGGGAGAGCAGTGTTGTGCTGAAAAACCAAGTTTTCTGAAAAACAATACCCACAAATCCTGCCTCGTAGTGTTGGCCTATTTCTCTGGTGTAAATACTCATAGCATGTCTGATTTTAAGCTACCTACAGTTTGCCAACCAGGCTGATGAAATCCCTAGCTATTTAACCATGGGCTTGTCCAGGGCTGTACAAATCAGCTGTAACACACTGGGGTGGCGGGGAGGAAGACAGGAAGGAACCTGGGGTATCTGTCAGTGACTGCAGAGGGACGTTGTGGGTGTCTGTGACGGAGAGAGGAGAAGCAGAAGAGGGAAGGCGAGAGCAGGAATAGCAGAGAAAGAGAAATGAATGTGACTTGCAATTATATGTTTATTTTTGACATCTCTATAAATTTTATCTTTATTTGTCTTTGCAAGTTTATTGCAAGTTTAATATTTGCCACACAGACAGGGAAGTGTTTGTCTGATCTCCTGCTATGTCTCCACCACCTACATGGCATACAGTACATGCCCAGTAATTTTTTTTTTTTTTTAGAAACAGAGTCTTGCTCTCACCTATGCTGGAGTACAGTGGTGCAGTTGTAGCTCACTGCAGGTCACTACAGCCTCCATCTCCTGGACTCAAGCAACTCTCCCACCTCAGCCTCCCGAGTAACTGGGACTACAGGTGCACACCACCATGTCTGGTTAATTTTTGTATTTTCAATAGAGACAGGGTTTCACTATGTTGTTCAGGCTGGTCTCAAACTCCTGACCTGCGGTGTTTTCATTTTGAAAAATTTCAGGCTGGGAGCGGTGACTCATACCAGTCATCCTAGCACTTTGGGAAGCCAAGGCGGGTGGATCTATTGAAGTCAGGAGATTGAAACCAACCTGGACAACACGGTGAAACCCCATCTCTACTTAAAAAAAAAATACAAAAATTAGCCCGGTGTAGTGGCAGCCACCTGTAGTCCCAGCTACTCCGGAGACTGAGACAGGAGAATCGCTTGAACCCAAGAGGCAGAGGTTGCAGTGAGCCGAGATCGCACCACTGCACTCCAGCCTGGGCAACAGAGTAAGACTCCATCTCAAAAAAAAAGACGGAAAAATTTCAAACCGGCAGAAAAGTTGCAAGGATAGTACAGTGAACACAAGTATCCCCTTCACTGGATTCACCCACTCTTCACATTTTATTGTATCTGTTTATACACACACAACATATGCTTTTAAAATATTCTTAAATTTTAAAAACAAGGAGTAGACATTGTAACTCTCACCACTAAGTGCTTCAGCAAGAACCTTCTTAAGATTATTCTTAAGGGGGCTGGGCACAGTGACTCACACCTGTAATCCCAGCACTTTGGAAGGATCACTTTAAGTCAGGAGTTCAAGACCAGCCTGGCCAACATGGTGAAACCCCATCTCTACTAAAAATATAAAAATTAGCTGGACATGGTGACACACAACTGTAATCCCAGCTACTTGGGAGGCTGAGGCAGGAGAATCACTTGAAGCTGGTGGTGGAGGTTGCAGCAGTGAGCCGAGATCACACCACTGCACTCCAGCCTGGGTGACAGAGCCAGGCTCCATCACAAAAAATAAATAAATAAAAAAATTTTTAAAAAGCATATATCATTCTTTTTTTTCCTCTCTCTCTCTTTTTTTTTAGATGCAGTTTTGCTCTCTCACCCAAGCTGGAGTGAAGTGTCGTGATCTCTGCTCACTGCAACCTCCGCCCTCCAGGTTCAAGCAATTCTCCTGTCCCAGCCTCCCGAGTAGCTGGGATTACAGGCGCCTGCCACCACGTCCGGCTAATTTTTGTATTTATAGTAGAGACAGGGTTTCACCATGTTGACCAGGCTGGTCCTGAGCTCTTGACCTCAGGTGATCCACCTGCCTCGGCCTCCCAAAGTGCTAGGATTACAGGTGTGAGCCACCACGCCCAGCCTATATAGATTATTCTTAAGGACTTTGTCCTGCGTAACCACAGACCAGGATCAGACCCGTGTAGTTTACACAGATGCACTGTTGTCTAATAGGAAGCCCATTTCCAGTTTTCCTCTGTTGTCCCAATGACATCTCTCATTGCGTTTTTGCTTTCTGATCAGGAGAACATCCGGGGTCAAGCATGAACTGCACTGCGTTGTCTTTATGAAAGAGAAACAAAAACTCAGGACCCCAATTCACTGTGACAGAAGGAAAAAAAAAAAACTGGAAGCTGAGTCATGCAAGAAACTGCCTTTCCTTTTGTTCCTAAGCAGACAGCTACAGAGAAAAGGTTAAGTATCTCCGTAGGTAGCTACTCTATGTTCATCTTATCTTTCTTTAAAAAAATTTTTACTTATTTATTTTTTTTTGAGAGAGTATCATACTTTGTCTCCCAAGCTGGGGCGCAGTGGCACGATCTTGGCTCACTGCGACCTCTGTCTCCCGGGCTCAAGTCATTCTGTCACCTCAGCCTCCCGTGTAGCTGGGACTACAGGCACCCACCACCGCGCCCAGCTAATTTTTGTGGTTTTTTTTGTAGAGATGGGTTTTGCCATGTTGTCCATGCTGGTCTCAAGTTCCTGGGCTCATGAGATCCTCCCACCTCAGCCTTTCAAAGTGCTGGGATTACAGGTGTGAGCCACCACGCCCGGCCATATTCACCTTATCTTTCTCAAGGTGCCAATTTACTGAGCGTGAGATGAATACGTGATTGATTATTCCCCTACCTCCTGCTTTCTCTTACACCATGTGGATTCAGTAATGCGACCACACCCTCCTTCTTTCACCGCCAGCCAGCTTTTCCACCCTAAATATTGAAGTCCTCAAAATTATCTTTGGAAAAAGGCACAGACCACAGACTGTTTCTATGATTGCATGGTTTTTTCTATGTCCTTAACCTTGGCAAAATAAGCTTCTAAGTTGATGGAGACCTGTCTCAGATACCTTTTGGTTTACATCTCATCTCTGGACTCCCCTTTAATCTAGGAGTGCTCCCCACCTGCCTTTCATTTTCTTTAATGTCATTGAAAGCAATGGTTCACTTCTTTTTTTTTTGTAAAGTCTTCCACCACCTGGATGTGTCTGACTCAGACTATGATTAGAGTAGTTTTAATGATTTTTGGCAATATTCTTCTAGCTGGGTGTCGTGTGTCACATTCAGAAGGCCTTTAATGCCTGTTTGTCAAATTCTTGGCTAATTAACAACTGCTGTGTGAGGTAAGCCATGGAGGAGGCTGTGTGAATGTCCTATTCCCCACCACGAGACCCTTCTGTCTCCTTGCACACATTGTGCCCAAGCTACTTCCAGAAAATCCTCTGTGATCACGGCAAATCACATGATGCTTTTGGTCCAGCTCCCCTGCTGCCCTCCTATCCACTCTTCTGCCCATTACAGGAAGCCTTTACACCCAGGCAGCTCAGCGTCCAGAGCTGGTTCCACTCATCCCCTTCAAGGAGAGGAAAACTGAGCCCTGGGAAGGAGAAGTAAAGCTGGAGTCACAAAGCCAGGAAATGGTGGCCAGGGGCACGACCCAGGCCTTATAAACAACCTGCACTCTTCCCCCTGCAACACAGCCTGCTGAGGACGCTCATCAGTCATCTCAGTGGTTCACTTCCAATCTCTTCATCTGCCAAGCACCCAGCATGTTCCAGCAAAGACAAATTATTCCTATGGCAAACTGACCTGCATGCAGTTTACAGGACTTTATGTTATAAAGAGGAGGGATCTATGGCACTTAATGAAAAGTTACACTTAAAGATTTTCATAGGCCTGGCTGGGTGTGGTGTCTCATGCCTGTAATCCCAGCACTTTGGGAGGCAGAGGTGGGTGGATCACCTGAGGTCAGGAGTTCGAGACCAGCCTGGCCAACATGGTGAAACCCTGTCTCTACTAAAAATACAAAAATTAGCTGGGCATGATGGCATGTGCCTGTAATCCCAGCTACTTGGCTGGGGCAGGAGAATGGCTTGAACCCAGGGGGCGGAGGTTGCAGTGAGCTGAGATTGTGCCATTGCACTCCAGCCTGGGCGACAGAGTGAGACTCCATCTCAAAAATAAAAGAAAGGATCTTTACAGGCCTTCGTGTACTGACCAGAGGAGCAAAAATGAATAAAAGGATTACAACATGAGGCTGACATTGCTGTGCGCCTATATCCTTGAGTGCTGGTGGCCCCATGGATTAGATCAACACCTTGGAAGCTAATTTGACACTAGACCAACAAAGTCCTTTGACCTGGAGTTTCACTTTGGCAAAAAATAATAAATAAATAAATAAATAAAATCCCTAAAGTGTATAAAGAGAAAGGAAGTTGTGATATTTGGAAATTGTGGGCTTTGAGTAAAGAGGCTGATATTCTAGACCTGCTATCATTTCACTATTACCTGAACAATTTACTTCCTCTTTCTAGCCTTCCATCTCTTCCTGCAAAATAAGGCATGCTTTTCAATCTCTTCACCATACAGGAAAAGGAAATAGAAATAGAAATAAATAAAGCCCACTCCAGGAGCAGTGGCTCACGCCTGCTGTCCCAACACTCTGGGAGGCTGAGGCGGGCGGATCGCATGAGCTCAGGAGTTCCAGGCCAGCCTGGGCAACATAGAGAAACCCCGTCCCTACCAAAAATATAAAAAAGTAGCCAGGCATGGTGGTGTGCACCTGTAGTCCCAGGTACTTGGGAGGCTGAGGTGGAATGATCTCTTGAGCCTGGGAAGTGGAGGTTGCAGTGAGCCAAAATTGCATCATTGCACTTCAGCCTGGATGATAGAGCAAGACCCCCTGTCAAAAAAGACAAAGAAAGAAAGAAATAGACAAAGCCCAATGCTAGCAGTGCTGTGGAACTAACATCTTAGGATTGGTGAAGAGAGTGGACATAGCACTTGTGGAAAGAGCCATATTTCCTGGGGGCCATAAGGCCACATATGCCCTGTGAAGACTGACCAGGGAGTGTTGGGCTGCTACCCACATTTCATCTATTTGTCAGGCAAAAATGCTTTAAAGATCATTCCACTTGACTTTCCTTTAAATAAAAATCATGTGGGAATGGAATGGAATTGACGAGTGGCATGGTGTATGCTGAAATTTTTAGAAGCTGCCAGATTGCTTTCCATAGTGGTTGTACCATCTTACATTCCCACCAGCAGCGTGAGCGTTCCAGTGCCTCCACATCCTTGCCAACACTTGGCGTGGTCACTCTTTTTAATCTTAGCCATTCTAATAGTTCTGTAGTGGTTTTATTGTCTTATTTTCTTATTGTGGTTTTATTCTGCATGTTTTTATTGAGACAGAGCCTCATTACGTTGCCCAGGCTGGAGTACAGTGGGCCCATCATAGCTCACTTTCTTTTCAGGAAAGTCTTCCCTGATCTTTCAGTCTAGGTCAGAAGCCCAGTAATATACAGTCATAAGGCCCCATATTTATTCTTTTTGTGATTTTTTTTGAGATGGATTTTTTTTTCACTCCAGACTGGAGTGGAATGGCACAGTCTTGGCTAAATGCAAGCTCCACCTCCCGGGTTCAAGCCATCCTTGTGCCTCAGCCTCCCAAATAGCTGGGATTACAGGCATGAGCCACTATACCCATCTAATTTTTAAATTTTTGGTAGAGACAGGGTATTAGCATGTTGCCCAGGCTGGTCTCGAACTCCTGACTTCATCAGCTTCCCAAAGTGCTGAGATTAAAGGTGTGAGCCACCATGCCTGGCTCAAGTTTGACTCTTTTTTTTTTTGAGATGAAGTCTCGCTCTTGTCCCCCAGGCTGGAGTGCAATGGCACAATCTTGGCTCACTGTAACTTCTGCCTCCCAGGTTCAAGTGATTCTCCTGCCTCAGCCTCCTGAGTAGCTGGGATTACAGGCGCCTGCCACCACGCCTGGGTAATTTTTGTATTTTTAGCAGAGATGGGGTTTCACCATATTGGCCAGACTGGTCTCAAACTCCTAACTTCAAGTGATCTGCCCATCTCGGCCTTCAAAAGTGCTGGAATTAGAGGTGTGAGCCACCACGCCCAGCCTCGTTAATTTCTTAATAGGCTCTTCCAGGAGTTATTGAGGAAAATATTTTACAATTCTAAGTGGAATATTTTAGTGGGAAGGACCGTGGTTTATTTCTACGATAATTCTATTGTGGCTTAAACAGTTTGTTCTTTTATAATTTGGGGTATTCCCTCTACCACCTATTGTTGACTTTTGACCTTTGATATTTACCCTATGCAAATTCATCAACCCCTGATTTTACTTCTTCAAAGCCAGCATGAGGCTAGTCAAGCCTGGTTTCCTCTCACAGGAAGTAAGGCTTTTGCCCCATGGTATTTGTGTAACCAGGTTACAAGATTTAAAAATCTATCGCAAGTGACAGTAATTAAGAAAAAAAAAATCAAATGTGGGCTACTCTGGAAGAAGAAAGCATTGGAATGTTGATTTTATTTGTTTAATTGCAGAGACATGAACCAGCTTATACTCGTTTGATTTCCACATTATTCATGGAGAGTCTAAAGTCAATTTCTGGGAACAAAAAACCAACTTGAAAAGCTGTTTAAATTCTATTAGTGGGACTTCCAAAGGTACAAGGGTTAAGAAAAAGAGAGGAGAAAAGAGAAAAGAGGGGCAGGGAGAAAGGAAGACGTGACAGGAATGTGAGCCAGACAATGGAGATGGAGAAAAAGCAGTCAAGAGGGACAGAGGGCGCGGTGGAGGTCTGCAGGATCTGAAGATCCACCTCTCTTCTCCGGACGCTGACCTCTTACCTGATCCCAGAAACAGACTGAGCTTTAACTCTGACCACATACTCCTCAGGGTGATGGAGAGTGGGGCCACCTGCACCCTACCAGCCTTCCACAGCCCCTCTGCATGGGCTCTGCCCCGCACCCTACACGTGCTCTGAGGCCTCTTATTGCAACAAATGACTTCCTTGGGCTTCCATTCCCTCCACCGCCTCTTTTTTCTCGGTCAAGCATCTTCAGTGGTCTGGATACGTTTCTTTGCTTCCATTTGTCACCTGCCACTCACTCGTCCATGTCCACTTCCATCTTCCCCTTTCTCTAACATTGCTTGTACTGAGATCAGCAACATCCTGCTTTATTGCTAAACCTGCCAGGAACTCACAGGTTAGTTTTGCATCCTTTGACACTGAGGGCCACTTCTTTTCCTGGAATAATCTCTGTGAGGCAAATATACATTTTTAAAAATTTTGTTTAGCCTGTTGCAAAAAGATAAAGAGACTCTCCTCTTTTCACTCAGATCATTTTCTCTTCATTCATTCATTCATTCATTCATTCATTCATTGATAGAGTCTCCCTCTGTCACCCAGGCTGGAGTGCAGTGGTGCCATCCAAGCTTACTGCAGCCTTAACCTCCTGGGCTCAGGTGATCCTTCCTCCTTAGCCTCCTGAGTAGCTGGGACTACACGCACATCCCACTGTGCCCAGCAAATTGATTATTATTATTGTGTGTGTGGAGATTGGATCTTGCTATGTTGCCCAGGCTGGACTTTGAGAGCATTTATTTTTTAGAAGAGGTGTAATTGAAAATTCTTTCTCTGTCCCTTGAAGATGTATGTAAAGCTTTCTAAAGCATACATAAGCATCTTGCCTGCCTCACAACCCAGAACTGTCCTCCTCAAGGCCATAGGAGCCCTCTCTTTGAAAGGCAGGCATCCGGGCAGAAAGCGCCCCTGTCTCCCAGTTTCTGTGAGAAGGAAGGAACCTCAGTTCTGGGGGCATCTCACTCCCAGTTGCAAAACTACCTCCTGTCATAGATAAGAGAGGTTTGTTTTTCCTGTGGATAAAGCCAATTAACCACACAGAGAATCAACACAGTTACTGGGTGAATTTAGGATGAACTATGTGTGACAAATGGTGCCGTTGAGTCCTCTCAACTGGGAACTAGTCACCGTCTATCTGGAGACCACGTGTGTAACGGGTTGCACCTGCTTGGCTGGATACAAAGGTGGGATTTCTTTCTGTCTTTGTCATCTCTTAGCAGATTGCATCACATTTTGGCTTAATGCTTACTCAGTCATAAGACAGGTTTCTTTTGCTTCTACGGATATGACGGGGGTTTCTGGGCTGAGCAGAAATTTGTTTCTTAATTATCTTTTTCCAGCAACCCCCACCCAACCTACCTCACCTTCTCTGAAGCTACTTCCCCCAGGCTTTAAAGGCGGCTGCTCCCCGGGGTTCCTCCCGGGCCCTGCCTCTCCTGGTTCATCTGATCTCCCACCCTCGATGCATCGTAGCTTCCCTCCCTTCCATGTGCTGATGCCTGTCGGATCTCTAACTCTAGGCAGAAACCGGCTTCTCAGTTCCTCAGCTCAAATACCCACCTTGGGACGGGCGTCTGCACCGGGACATCCCTCCAGGAACTCTCCTGGTGGAACACGGTCCATGTTCTCTGGCTGCCGTGCAGTTTTTAAATGCCACCAGTACACATGGGGAATGTTCTGTCTTCCCAAGGAGGAAGCTGGAAAGTTCATTTTCCCAGCACTCCTTGCAGGAGGGACACAGACACGGGTCCAGGCTTTCCCCATCAGGTGCCCCCGTGAAAGACTCAGGATCCCGAACAGCACCAGGAAGCAGAGGGTGCATGGCACCGATTTGCTTTTTGTTTTTAATTTTTTGAGTGGGGATGGGGGACAGAAGCTTCTGGTGTAGAAGCTTCTGGACTCCAGGGCCAGCCTCAGCAGTGCAGGGTGCAGGGTGTGGTTTCTGCCTCCTGCAGTGGCCAGAAGATCTTGACCGGAGCTGTCCTGTGCCTGTGGTTTGGTCCTTGCCCTGGGCCCTGTGGCCTCCAAGCTGGCTTCATGAGGGCCCTTGGAGCTTGGTGACCTTCCTACCCTGTCCTTTAACCAGTCCCTTTTCTGCTTCTTGCTGGAGTGAGCTGGGTGGTTTTCTCTGAATCTGCTCCTGTCCTGGGTTCTCCCTCAGGGAAGGGCACCCTGGACACCCAACCTCTCAGCCGGATGCCCAGCAGATGTTCTCATGCTTCCACTTTCCTTGCCCCTTTACGTCCAGTGATCACTCCTTTCTGTCCCTTCCATGTCCTACATCTATCTCTGCTGTGTCCTGTCTTCTGCACCCTGTGGCCTCCACCCAAGTTTGCACCACCACCCATTCCTCCTTGAATGAATACAGTTGTCTCCCTGGGTCTCCCTGCCTCCACGGGGGACACCAGTATCCGAGCCAGCATCTTCTCTGTGGCAGAGATGATCTTTTTCAGGCCTCCTCCGGCCATGGCCCTCTCCTGTTCCTCTTTCCAGAGCTCCTAAGTCCCCCGGATGAGCTCCAGCTGCTAAGAGAGGCCTCGAATGTTGGGTGAAGTGGTCTCCAGAGTCCTCCCGAGCAGCCGCCCCACCTGCCCTCATCCTTCAGCTCCATTCATTTCCTTTTTCTGTTTGATTTTTTGAATAGGTGTTGTATTTAGATGGCTCAGAAATTTGCATCCTTGTGTATCCATATGTGTGTGCAGGCATGAAGAGCCTGTGTCTCATACCTGTTCCCTGTGCACCCAGGTCCTAGCCCCACACCAGCCCCAGTGGCCAGCTGTGCTGTTCATGACCTGCAAAGCTTTCTACAGCTGTTTTATGCAAAACAATAGGAATTATTGTAAATTATGGTAAAATATATATAACATAGAATTCACCATTTTAACCACTTTTTTTCTTTTCTTTTCTTTTCTTTTCTTTTCTTTTCTTTCTTTCTTTCTTTTTTTTTTTTTTTGAGAAGGGGTCTTGTTCTGTCACCCAGGCTGGAATGCAATGGCACGATCTTGGCTCACTGCAACCTTCACCTCCCAGGTTCAACCGATTCTTGTGCTTCAACCTCCTGAGTAGCTGGGACTACAGGTGCATGCCACCACGCCCGGCTAATTTTTTGTATTTTTAGTAGAGATAGAGAGGGTATTTTGTCATGTTAGCCAGGATGGTCTCGATCTCCTGACCTCGTGATCCGCCCGCCACAACCTCCCAAAGTACTGGGACTAGACGTGAGCCACCTTGCCCAGCCCATTTTAACCACTTTTAAGTGTATATCCAGGGGCAGGAAGTACATTTAGGTTGTTGTTCAACCACCACCACTGTCCATCCCCACCCAGAACTTTTTCATATTCCCCAACTGGAATTCTGTGCCCATTAAACACCAACTCCTCTTTCCCCCTCCCTCCAGCCACTGACAACCACCTTTTCATTTTCTGTCTATGCATTTCATGACGTTAGGCACCTCTGTTAAGTGGAATCATGCAAATTTGTCTTTTTGAGTCTGATTATTTCACTTAGCAGAAAGAACTCAAGGCTCATTCATGTTGAAGCACCATCAGAACCACCCTTCTTGTTATGGCTGAATTCCATTCATTTGTACATATAGACCACGTTTTGTTTATTCATTCACGGACGGATGGACACTGGGCTTGTTTCCAACTTTTAGCTATTGTGAATAATGCTGCTATGAACAAAGACGTGCAAATATCTGCTGGGGCCCCTGCTTTCCGTTCTTTTTGGAATACACCAGAAGCCGAATTGCTGCATCTTGTGGTAAGTCTATGATTAATTTTTTGAGAAATGACCACAGTGGTTGCGCCATATCACATACCCACAAACACTACACAAGCGTTCCAATTTCTCCTCGCCAACACTTGTTCTTTTCTGTTTTTCTTTTTTTTTGAGAACAACCATCGTAATGGATGTAAGGTGGTATCTCACTGTAGTTGTGATTTTTATTTTCCTAATGATTAGTGATGTTGAGCATGTTTTCATGTGCTTATTGGCCATTTGTAAATTAATTTTACATTTCCTCCTTTGTAATGTAAGAGGTAGCACACCGTGCACTGTTCTGCTTCTTGTTTTTCTCACTGTGCGGTGTATCTTGGAAACCTTCCCCAGTGCACAGACAGAAGGATACCTCATTCTTTGCCACAGCTGACCAGTATCCATGATGTGGATCATGGCTCATGACCCAGTTCTCTATGGATAAACGTCAGGGTCGTTCCCGGTCTGTGACCATCACCAACACTGCCGTGACTAGTCTAGAATGGGTGCCATTTCATGCATTTGCAATTCCCAGAAGTACACTGGTTAGTCAGCAGGTGAGTGCATTGGTGACAGGATGTGACTCCAGTCTCAGGAAATATGGAAACCTTCTTCCCTTTCTAGCTGCAGCACCCCCAGTCTGGACAGCATATGGAAAGCACTGAGGGGAAGCCCCCACTAAGCAGAGAACCCTGCTGGCCACCCAAGACCTCAATACAGATGGACAACATGAAGCCCCTGGCTTAGGGGAAAACAGAGAGACTGGGAAACACACAGAGAGAGTTGGGGCAGGGATGGAGAGAGAAAGAGAAAATGATAAAGACCCAGAGAGAGACAGAGTCAGAGAAATACGGGGGTGGAGAGGGGAGATACAGAGAGAGACAGAGAGTGAAGGGGACAGAGACACTAACATAGAGAGATGGAGGGAGAGGAGAGGCACGGAGAGAGGGAGAACTCAAGAGCCAGAGCCGGAGAAGTAGAAGGTGAGCCATAGAGAGATGCAGGGCAGGACTAGGGTGAGACAAGAGAGGACCCAGGCTTGTGGATTCTTGATTAAAAATCAATGGTGTTGTAATCCAGAAAAGAGAGAGAGTGAGGGGAGAGAGAAAGGGCCTAGGACTAAAAATTAAGGGGTCACTTGTGCAACCCTGGATTTGGGTGTCTCCTTAGATTTTGCAGCAGAGACACCTCACTTACTTCACCCTCGTCCTGGTCCTGAGACCCCCACAGGGACACAGAGACAGAAGGAAAACACAGAACCAAAAGAGCATCTGAGAGGAGGAGGAGGGACATGGAGACACCACCATAGTCAAGCTGATGGGGCCACACAAAATCAGAACAGAGACAAAGAGGGAGGCACAGAGAGACACAGAGGGAAAGAGACCCAGAAAAAGAGACGGACAGAGCTGGAGAGATACAGAGTGAGAGACAGACAGTGTGCAGGAGGAAGGACACTCATAAATACACAGAAACAGAAAGAAGAGGCTGGAGTGGTGGCTCACACCTGTAATCCCAGCACTTTGGGAGGCTGAGACGGGCGGATCATTTGAGATTAGGAGTTTGACACTAGCCTGGCCAACATGGTGAAACCCTGTCTCTACTAAAAATACAAAAATTAGCCGGATGTGGTGGCACACACCTGTAATCCCAGCTACTCAGGAGGCTGAGGCAGGAGAGTCACTTGAACCCAGGAGGCAGAGGTTGCAGTGAGCCAAGATCATGACACTGCACTCCAGCCTGGGTGATAGAGTGAGACTCTGGAAAGAAAAGAAAGGAAGGAAGGAAGGAAGAAAGGAAGGAAGAAAGGAAGGAAGGAAGAAAGGAAGAGAAGAGAAAAGAAAAGAAAAGAAGGAAGGAAAGACAGAAGGTACCCATTGGTAGAGAGACAAAGACAGAGACAGACAGGGAGACACAGAGATGAAAAGACACAAAGTGAACCACAGACACACAGTGAAGAGGAGACAGAGCCAGAAACAGAGACCTAGTGTGGTGGAAAGAGAGAGAGGCAGACAGACAAGAGCAGCATCTTCAGGGCGACTGGATGCCCCACGCCCCTGAGCTGCTCCACAGGGAGGGGGCTGAGCACACAGCCTGCATCCCATCCATCATTTCTTGGCCTTCATGACTGGGTGACCGTGCACAATCCAGTCCCCGTCTCTGAGCCTCAGTTTCCACACTGTAAACCAGGCATAGATACACCTCCTCAAAGGGTGGTGGAGAGGGCTGGGCTGGCTGTTTCTGCTTAATGCCCCCTCATGTTTCACAAAGGACCCCATGAACTGTGATGAAAGTCACTGTTCATTATCATGACGGCTTCCAGTACTTACAGCAGTCAGCACTAATGTCATGCACATCATCAGCACTTGGCATGAATCCCCATTCATTACAGATCAGTATTAATTGAGTCAATGCTCTGTGCCCGATACTTGTACACTCATAACATGGATTGTTAATTTAATTGAGACAACCACAGTCTGAGGTCAGTGATATCACGATCATCTCCACTTTCCAGACAGGAAGCTCTGCTGGTAAGGTGCAGAGCTGGGGTTCAAACCCAGGTGGTCTGGCTCCAGGGCCAGGTGTGCCCGGGAGCAGGGCTCTTCCTGGGTGTCCAAGGCCACCTTGTCTCCAGGAGTGTAACCGTGTTTCCAGCCACTGAAAACTTGGATTAAAGCCCAGACAAGGTAACGTTTGCCTTTTCTGGCTTTGGGGTTTAGAGTTTGAATTGAGAGACATTCTCCAGGAAAGCAGAAACTTCTTGGCTAAAATCCAAACCTTCTAGGGAATTTATTGCAGAGATGGGGAGGTGGTTCTCATTTCTGCCCTTCTCAGAGTATAGATTCATTAACTCAGGAGATGCAAAAGGTTACATTTTCCATATTCCTTTTCTCAACATGATAATATTATACCCCTTTCTGCCTAGTTTTATGCTTCTTTTGCTCTTGGTGCCAAAGAAACTGTAAACCTTTGTCTTAAAACTGGAGTCCCTTCCAACTGCTGGTGACAGAAATCCCAGCAAGATAAGAAGGAGCAAATGTCCCCGCTTCCCAGACAACTTGAGATATAAGCAGATCCTATTCATCATCCTACAATGTTCTTGCAAAGATTATTTCTATCAATGGAGCTCTGTAAAACACCCAGACTCCAGAGACCATCACTTGGTCCTGTGAAGGTAGCTCTTAGCCTTCAAAAATCTGAAATTCAGATGAATTGCCTAAGTTACATGTATTAATCCATTGCCCAGGGCATACTATGTAACTAGACAACTCCGTTTTCTGGAAGATGTACATACTTATGACATTTGTTTGTTAGTCTGGAAAACTGCCTTTCAGGGAGGGAATGCTTTTCCTCTATCCACTTAGGTTCAGTATCTGGAGGCCTGTGAATTAAACTAACAAAAGACCAATTAACAACAGAAAGGGCAGAGAATTTTTATTACATGCATGGGAGTTCACAGAAAAGAAAAAATGAAACGGCTAGACTTGTGGGGCTTATATACCATTTTAACAAAGGAAAGGGGCTTGTTCTTCAAAGGGTGATACATCATGGGACAGTGACCCGGAAATACCTGGGGCACTGATGGAGATGCAGGTTCTGTTAGTGAGGTCGGTCTATGCATACTCATCTCAGTGTGGACTCGCCATCTCCAGGATGAGTTGCTTTTCTTAATGGTCTGGGGAGGAAACACCTTCCCAAAAGGAAATATATGCCCTGCTTCTAGGTAGATAAGGAGAGGGCAGTGCTCTTCCAGCATCTGTTGATTCTCAATGGCCTTCAGCTCAAAACAATCCTTATACCAACGTGGTACATTTTGGGGTGACTTAACTTGATCCCTTTCAGGCCACTGATGAGTCCATCTTTCCCCACCCAGGTGGACACAGGAAGAACCTGTGATGGATGGATTTCTTATTCAATGGATGGATTTCTTACTTAAATGTAGGGGCTCTTTAAGAATCATTCATTAATTCACTGTGCACTCCCTGAGCTCCTGCTCTGTGCCAAGCCCTATGCTGAATGATACTAAGACCCCAAAATGAATGAGACCCATCCCCGCTCTCAGGGACTTCTCATTCCCAGGAAGGGCAGACAGAAAAGGGTGCTCAGGCCCATAAGAGGGTGTGGTGACAATGACTGTGGCTAGGCTGAACGACACCTCTCAGAACTCTCTTCCCTGTAGGTTCCTGTTAGGGTGGGAGCGGGACACACCTGCCCAAAGCAGCCGCCGTTGTGCATTTCATGCTGGGGAAATCCAGGCAGGAGCTTCCGTGGCTCAGGTCCAGGTGTTGCTCATCTGCTAGCTCGGCTGGTCAGCCTGGAGCAGCAGCAGGACCTGAAACTGCTCCACCTTTACCCCAATCCTCCTTCAGTTTCTCCACCTCCTGAGCCAGGTGTGCGTTGACCTCTGTGACAAAGGTCACTCCTGCAGGTCCCCTGCACCACCAAGATGAGGCAGCAAGAATAGAGGCAGGTTCTGTGGGTCCCGAAACCTTCCACCTTGTGTGGGCTCCTGGCTTGTCCTTACTCCCCACTTTCCATCCATCTCCCCTTCCCCAGGGCCTGCCCTGCAGACTTGGAGCTCAGGTCAGATGCAGAGCCCACAGCCTCCTCACAGACTTCCATCAGCCAGAGATGGGATCCTGACACATTCCACCAGCGCCAAGTGGAGAGATATTTAGGTATTTAGGGGTCTGAATGAGGGGCAAACTGGCCCACCTGGAGCGGCAGGGAAGGTTTCCTAGAGGAATTCCTGCTATTCCTCACTGCGCTTCCAAATTTTAGTCGTGTTCCACTTTTACGATCTGAATAGCACTTGCACTGCTATTTACTCAAAAATTTTCCTTAAAGCAACTCACTGTTTTTCTTTGGCCTCATCTTAAAACAATAATGTTTATCCAATCATGTGATTAATATGCTATTTTCAATTATTTTTCTCTAATAGGCGCTTAATCACAAGCATAGCCTGTAACGCTTTTTAACAACTGTCGTGTGTAACCCCTTAGAATCATCTCACATGCCCTCAGCCACTGACACCTGAACCCTATTTTGGGAAACACTCCTTTAGGTGAATTTTGAAGGATGAACAGAGGTTTACATGGAACCAAATGGAGAAAGGGGATTTTGTACTGAGAGAGCAGGTTAAGAAGTTTCCTAGAAGATGTGACAGAAGCTGCATTAGTTATCCATTGTTGCCTAGCAAATTACCCCAGGGCTTCAGGGCTTAAAACAGCAACAGATATTTGTTACCTCTCAAATTCTGTGGGGCAGGAATTGAAGAGTGTTTGTTTTCAGCTTTTTATTATGAAGCTGGGTGATTGTGACTTGGTGAGTCTCATGAGGTTGGAGTAAAGAAGCCAGTCAGGGTGCAGTCATCTGCAGCTTTACTGGGCCTGAAGGGTCTGCTTTCTAGGAAGGTCACTCGCAGGGCTGACAATGTGATGCTGGCTAGTTCCTACCTCAGGGCCTTTGCACTTGCTGTTCCTGTGCCTGGGGTGTCTTTCATCTACTCTTTGTATAACTAGACCCTTCCCATCCTTGATGTCTTTGCACCAATGCCACCATCCATGACCTCTGATGCCACCAAGTTACTTTCTTACACATCATCCTTTGTTTTCAACTTTTTATTATGAAAATTTCAAACATCCAGAAAAGCGGAAAAAATAATACCAAGAATACCCGCATCCTCTCCTTATATTCAAGTTTAACATTTTGCCATATTTCCTCGTTTTTTTCTGAACTGTGTCAGAGTAAATTGCAGGCATCAAGGCACTGTGTCCTTGAGTGACACTATGTCCTTGAGTGCTTTAGCGTGCCTCTCCCCAGAGTGACTGGCCCACAATCCCATGATCACACCTGAGAAAATAAACAATAACTCCCTAACCCTATCTAATATATAGTCCTTTTTCAGTCTTCCCCTTTGGTCTCCAAAATGATTTTTCCATCTGTATTTATTTATTTAATTTATTTTGAGACAGAATCTTGTTCTGTCATCCAGGCTGGAGTGCAGTGACAGGATCTCAGCTTACTGCAACCTCCACCTCCCAGGCTCAACTGATCTTCCTGCCTCAGTCTTTAGAGTAGCTGGGACTATAGGTGTGTGCCACCACGCCTGGCTATCCATGTGTATTTTTAAAACTGGAATCCAATCAAGACTTATGCCTTATATTTGGTTATTATATCTCTTACATTCTACAATAGTTCACCCGCCTATTCATTTTTTTGTGACTGCTAAAGACAGCATGCCCAAAGTGAAGTCAACTCATGCTAAAGTTCCACATGCTTTTTTTTGTTTGTTTGTTTGTTTTTGTTTTTTGAGATGGAGTCTCACTCTGTCGCCCAGGCTGGAGTGCAGTGGCACGATCTTGGCTCACTGCAAACTCTGCCTCGGGGGTTCAAGCGATGCATTTTTTTAATCCTTTGTTCTGAATGCAATAATGACTAAAAGATTTTCACAGAAACTTCACAAAATAAGATATACGAATAGCTAATATGCACAGAAAAAAACTACTCAACATCATCAGTCATCAGGGAAATGCAAATTAAAATCACAATCAAATGTTGCAACCCACCAACCAAATTCCTGAAAGTAGAAAGACAAGACCCCAAATGTTGATGAGGATATATGGAGCAACCAGAACTCTCATATACTGTTGTTGAGAATGTAAAATGATGCAACCACTTTGGGAAAAGTCTGTCCCTTTCTTATACAAGTAAACATATACCTACTCCATAACCCAGCAATTTCATTCCTAGGTATTTTACCCAAAATGAATGAAACATGTGATCATAACAAGACACATACAAAGATGTTATTTTGTTTTATTATTATTATTTTGTAGAGATGAGATTTCATCATGTCTCCCAGGCTGGTCTTGAACTCTTGGCCTTAAGGGATCAGTGCCTCCTTGGCCTCCCAAAGTGCTGGGATTACAGGCATGAGCTACTGTGCCCATCCAAAACATACACAAAGTTATTTTTAAAAGCAGATTTATTCATAATAATAATGGTCCAAAACTGAGGAAATATTAAAACAAAATACCCATCAATAGGAGGATGAATAAGCCAGATGTGGTATATTCACACTGCTGAATATTATGTTGCTATAAAAAGTAATAAACAAGGCCGGGCCCGGTGGCTCATGCCTGTAATCCCAGCACTTTGGCAGGCCGAGGCGGGTGGATCACGAGGTCAGGAGATTGAGACCATCCTGGCTAACAAGGTGAAATCCCATCTCTACTAAAAATATTTAAAAAAAAAAATTTATCCAGGTGTGGTGGCGGGCGCTTGTGGTCCCAGCTACTTGGGAGGCTGAGGCAGGAGAATGGCATGAACCCGGGAGGCGGAGCTTGCAGTGAGCAGAGATCATGCCACTGCACTCCAGCCTAGGCGACAGAGCGAGACTCTGTCTCAAAAAAAAAAAAAGTAATAAACTACTGATAGAGGCAACAAAATACTTCATTCTCAAAAACATTTTGCTGAGCAAAAGAAAATTTAACCCACAGGAAAACGTACACATTGTATGATTCTATTTATATGGAATTCTTCTACAGACAACATTAATTTATGATGAAAACTCAGCACGATGGTTGCCTCTGGAGGTGGGACTGGGCATGAGGATTGGCTGGGAAGGAACTCACTGGGGCAACAGGAACTGTGTGTGTCTTGGAAGGGGTTGCATGGGTGTATGCACTTATTTGTCAAAACTCATCAAAAGGTACACTACAACTTTGTGCATTTTACTTTATGTAAATTTCACCTAAGATAGAAACAAATATTAAACTCTAGTTAATGACGTTAGTGCTGGGGTATTTAGGGCCTAAGGGTACTGAGATCCGCAACTCACTCTGACATACATGAAAAAATAGGATGGATTTATTTTCATGGATGTAAGAATATTTAATCAAGCAAATACTACAAAATATTAACAATTACAGAATCTACATGATGAGTATGTAAGTGTTGGCTGTACAACTTTTTCAATTTGTTTGTGTGCTTGAACATTTTCATAATAAAGTGATCGAAAAGAAACTAAATGTGTCTCTTCATCTTTTGAAGATGAATTTTGTGTCCTTTAGGAGTGTTTTAAGAGTTTTCTCGTATAGGTTTTACAAATTTCTTGTTAAGGGTATGCCCAGGTGTTTTATCTTTATATTGTCATAATAAAAGAGGTCTTATATTACACCTTCTATCTGAGTATTGTTTCTGTGTATAAAAGTTATTAACCTCCTTATGTTAACTTTACATCTTTCTATTAAATTCTTGCATTGATTAGTTTTTCACTATGTCTGGAATTTCCTAGATATATAATCACATATTGGTTGTGAATTGGTATAGCTTATTCTCCCTCTTTCTAAGTCTTATATCTCTATTCGTATCTGTACCCCAATTTCATTGGCCAATGCCTCCAGTACAATATTGAGTAACAGCAGTGACAGTGGGCATCAGACAGGGACACAGTTGACCTGGAGGCAGCACCCCCAGTGCTGTGATGGAGGAACACAGGGCATTCTGGGGACCACCTACCTCCCAGGCTGGCATCCTCTCTCTAAAGCCCCCAGAGATACCTCCCTGAGCCCTTCCTTTGAAACCTTGGGGACAGGTGGCTCCTTCTAAGGCAGCCCATCCTCCTGGTGGACAGTTCTCTTGAATCTCGACCTGCTGTTCTCTGGATAACTCCTGTCCTCTCCCTGGGCTCATCTTGCACTGCATGGAGTTGGGCAGCCTGGGGACCTGCAGTGAACAGGACCTGGGGTGACCTGACCCTGCAGTCTGGAGGTCAGATCCCACTTCTGCCCAGGGGTCAGGGCCAGCTCATACCATGCAGACCCTGGTCAGTGTCCCTGGGGCAGCCCCTGACAAGGCCACAAGTCTCCTCTTGCCCTCCAGGGGGCGACATCACACACAGATAACACTCAGGAAATGGATTCCCCTGGACAGGAACCTGGCTTTGCTAAGGAGGTAGAGGTGGAGCCTGGTTTCCAGCCCTTGCCCCAAATGACCCTTCTGGTCCCTGCCATGTGCCTGCTCCTTCATGGTGCCTGCTCTGCCAAGGGTTTTTGTGCAGCTCCCCACTTCCTCCTGGCATCACCCATGGGGAAGGTGTGGTAGCCACAGGACACACACACACACACACACACACACACACACACACACAGACAGACACAGTCTTTCTATCTCTCTCGCCCCCCCAACCACCTGCAAGGTTAAGGGGTGAACATAGGGAGAACATGGACAGGCCCTGAGCCACAGCTCAGCCAACAGACACAGAAAGGGAGGGTCTCCATGAAGCCTTCCCCAAGGACAGCAGGGCTCAGAGCCACCCACCTCCCTCCACCACAGTCCTCTCTACCCAGGACACACAGGACAACTTCCTCCACACCCTGGAGCTGGAGCTCCACCTGAGTCCAGCCTGGGTCTCTTTGGGTCAGAGGCCAGGCTGGTGACACTGGAGACAGAGGGCTGGTCCCTCCCCAGTCATCCCCCAGTGAGCTCCTTTCTATCCCCCAGAGCCACCTCTGTCACCTTCCTGCTGGGCATCATCCCACCTTCCCAAGCACTAAAGAGCATGGGGAGACCTGGCCAGCTGGGTTTCTGCATCACAAAGAAAGAATTCCCCAGGTTTGGATCCCCAGGGTTCTGTGTGTGGAGCTGACAGACCTGAGGCCAGGAGATAGCAGAGGTCAGCCCTGGGGAGGGCGGGTCATCCTCCCAGGGGACAGGGTTGCACCAGCCTTGCTACTGAAAGGGCCTCCCCAGGACAGCGCCATCAGCCCCACCTGAGAGCTTTGCTAAACAGCAGTCAGAGGAGGCCATGGCAGTGGCTGAGCTCCTGCTCCAGGCCCCAACAGACCAGACCAACAGCACAATGCAGTCCTTCCCCAATGTCACAGGTCACCAAAGGAAAACTGAGCTGCTACCTGACCTTCGAAAGATAATAGCCGATTTCCCAAACAGGCCAGTTTCAATCGCATGACAATGACCTCCCCTCTGCTCTCACCGTTTCTAAAACAGGAACCTGATTCTCCCCCATCAGAGATTTCTCCCTTGTTCCATGAGCCTTTCCCGAGTGGCCCTGTTTTTTGTGTTTGCTTTCCGCAGCCCTCCCCTCTCTATTAAACCCGCGCTTCTGCTCAGCTCCTTGACCCACGTATTGTCTCATGGGATGAAGTCTCGCCCGATTTTAGGACGGCAAATAAAGCCACTTGAAGTCTTTATCTGTGCTAGTTTGTCCTGTGACAGCTCTGTGTATCTGTATGTGTACATGTGTCTCAGTTTCAATGAATCTGAGTATATATGTGTGTGTGTCTGTATATGTGAGTGTTTGCCTCTATGTCTGTATATATGTGTATATGTGTTTGCCTGTATGTCTGTATATATGTGTGTCTGTGTTTGTGTCATGTCTGTGTGTATGTGTGTGTGCATCTCTGTGTGTGTCTCTGTGTGTGTCTCTGTGTGTGTATATGTGTGTGTGTGTGGACAAGTGTGGAAGGAGAGCCATATCTGAAGAAGGCAAATGGCCTCAGCAGGTCCTAAGGACCAAACACACACAGAAGGGAAGGGGAAGCAGGAACCAGAAGGCAGGACTGAGAGGGGAGGGGACAGAGAAGCATCCTGGGCAGAGTCCCGCCCCTGCCCCTGGCCCTAGGAAGTGCTCCTGCCCTGAGAGAAGGCTCAGCACAGAGGGAGGAAAGACAGCAGAACTGGCAGTCACAGTAGCTCTGATCATCCTGGAGCTAAGCTCCTCTCCACAGAAGAGAAGCAGGCAGCAGAGACCATGAGGCCCCCCTCAGCCCCTCCCCGCAGAGGATGCATCCCCTGGCAGGGGCTCCTGCTCACAGGTGAGGGAGGACTCCCTGGGAGAGGGTGGGAGGAGGAAGCACAGAGACTGGCTGGTGTCTCCTGGGGAGGACGGAGCTTTGAGAGGGGATAGAAGGCTTCTGTTGAAGCCTGAATAGGGGAGAGGACATCAGAGAGGGACAGGAGTCACAGCAGGAAAATTACATTGAACTGGAATTGGAAAGGGGCAGGAAAACCTCAATTGCTCCGTGTTTCTAAGGCAGTAATCAGTGGCCACTAAATATTGAAAAATGATAAGGAAAGCAACCATTTATGTCACCATGGCACTGCAGAAAACAAACCTTCCCAGGGACTCCTGGGAAACCCCCTGCCTGGTCTGAGACCCGCTCTGAGGAAGCAGAGGGTAGGCTTGGGCCCAAGAGAGGCCGACCATGCCACAGGTGGGGGCAAAGGGGTGCTCCGGGGGAACTTACAGCCCAGGCAGGCTTGGGTAGCAGCAACGCAAGGAAGGCCCCCTACGTGCTCTGCACGCCTCTCTGGCATTTGATATCATGAAAAGAAAAGGAGAGGGAGAAAAGGGAGAGAAAAGGAAAAGAACATTCTTGGCATGTGGAGCCATCTATCGCTTTCTTAGTCCGTTTACTCTCTACTTAAAGGAAGCCTCTCCCTGCTACAATCTGGGTAACATCCATAAGAGGCGGGGATGTCCTGGGCAGCAGCAGCCATCTGGGGTCCTGAGTGTTCTCTCCCTTGGCCACCTCCTCCACCTCACTTCAAGGTCCCTGTTCAGAACACATTTCCACAACAGCACAAACGCTGTCCTCACCTGCCTACCTCAGACATTGGCAAATAAACTAATGTTTCTCATGGTTTAACACCATCTTCCTTGGTGCTGTCATTATGATAGTGAGTTCTCATGAGATCCAGTTTTCTGAAAGTGTGTAGGAAAGCATGTGGTAGAAAAGAAAAGCCCATGTTCAGGGGAGGAATTCAAGCAGGCTGCAGAAATTTGCATAAGTAAAGGGAGCGAAGTGCTAATAGCCAAAACAATAAGGAGAAGGCCTTAAAGGCATTTCAGAGACCTTTGCAGCAGCCCTTCCCATCACAGGACCAGAGGCCTAGGAGGACAGAATAAATTTTGGGCCAGGCCCAGGGCTCTGCTGCCCTGTGCAGCCTCAGGACACTGCTCACTGCATCCCAGCTGCTCTAGTCATGGCTCAAAAGGGTCAAGGTACAGCTCGGCCTGTTGCTTCAGAAGGTACATGTCATAAAGCTTGGCAGCTTCCATGTGGTGGTAACCCTGCAGGTGCACAAAGTGCAACAGTTTAGGCTTGGGAGCCTACATTTCAGAGGATATATAGAAAAGCCTGAATGTCCAGGCAGAAGCCTGCTACAAGGGCAGTGCCCTCATGAAGAACCTCTACTAGGGCAGTATAGAAGCAAAATGTGGGGTAAGTGTCTCCACACAGTTTTCACTGGGCCAGGAGCTGGGAGAAGATACCCACCATCCTCAAGACCCTGGAATGGAAGAGCCACTGGCAGCTTGCACACTGCACCTGGAAAAGCCATAGGCACGCAATGCCGGCCCATGAGAGTAGCCATGAGGGTTGAGCCCTGCAAAGCCACAGGAGTAGAGCTTCTCAGGGCCTTGGGAGTCTAACCCTTGCATCAGTGTGCCCTAAATGTGAGATATGGGGTCAAAGGAGATTATTTTGGAGCTTTAGTTTTAAAGACTGTGCTGCTGGGTGTCAGACTTGCATGGGGCCTGTATCTTATTTCTTTTGGCTTATTTCTACCTTTTGGAATTGGAGTATTTACCCAATGCCTAAATCCCCATTGTATCTTGGAAGTAAATAACTTGTTTCTGATTTCACAGGCTCATGGGCAAAAGGGACTTGCCTTGTCTCAGAAGAGACTTGGGACTTTGGACTTTACTGGTAATGCTGGAAAGAGGTAATGGACTGTTGGAAAACCATTGTTACATTTTGAAATGTGAGAAATGTCAGGCCTCTGAGCCCAAGCCAAGCCATCGCATCCCCTGTGACTTGCATGTATATGCCCAGATGGCCTGAAGTAACTGAAGAATCACAAAAGAAGTGAAAAGGCCCTGCCCCGCCTTATCTGATGACATTCCACCATTGTGATTTGTTCTTGCCCCACCTTAACTGAGTGATTAACCCTGTGAATTTCCTTTTCCTGGCTCAGAAGCTCCCCCACTGAGCACCTTGTGACCCCCGCCCCTGCCCACCAGAGAACAACCCCCTTTGACTGTAATTTTCCATTACCTTCCCAAATCCTACAAAACGGCCCCACCCCTATCTCCCTTTGCTGACTCTCTTTTCGGACTCAGCCCACCTGCACCCAGGTGAAATAAACAACCATGTTGCTCACACAAAGCCTGTTTGGTGGTCTCTTCACATGGACGCGCATGAAATTTGGTGCCATGACTCGGATCGGGGGACCTCCCTTGGGAGATCAATCCCCTGTCCTCCTGTTCTTTGCTCCGTGAGAAAGATCCACCTACAACCTCAGGTCCTCAGACCGACCAGCCCAAGGAACATCTCACCAATTTTAAATCAGGTAAGCGGTCTCTTCTTACTCTCTTCTCCAACCTCTCTCACTGTCCCTCAACCACTTTCTCCTTTCCACTCTTCAATCTCTCCCTTCTCTTAATTTCAATTCCTTTCATTTTCTGGGAGAGACAAAGGAGACATGTTTTATCCGTGGACCCAAAACTCCGGCGCCGGTCACAGACTGGGAAGGCAGCTTTCCCTTGGTGTTTAATCATTGCAGGGACGCCTCTCTGATTATTCACCCACGTTTCAAAGGTGTCAGACCACGCAGGGACGCCTGTCTTGGTCCTTCACCCTTAGCGGCAAGTCCCGCTTTTCTGGGGAAGGGGCAAGTACCCCAACCCCTTCTCTCCTTGTCTCTACCCCTTCTCTGCTTTTCTGGGGAAGGGGCAAGTACCCCAACCCTTCTCTCCTTGTCTCTACCCCTTCTCTGCTTTTCCGGGGGTGGGGCAAGTACCCCAACCCCTTCTCTCCTTCTCTCCACCCCTTCTCTGCTTTCCTGGGGCAGGGGCAAGTACCACTCAACCCCTTCTCCTTCACCCTTAGCGGTAAGTCCCGCTTTCCTAGGGGGCAAGAACCCCCCAATCGCTTATTTCCATGCCCCAACCTCTTATCTCTGCGCCCCAATCGCTTATTTCCATGCCCCAACCTCTTATCTCTGTGCCCCAATTGCTTATTTCCGCGCCCCAACCTGTTATCTCTGTGCCCCAATCCCTTACTTCCATGCCCCAACCTCTTATGTCTGCACCCCAATCCCTTATTTCCATGCTCCGACCCTTTCTCTGCTTTTCTGGTGGGCAAGAAACCCCCACCCCTTCTCCATGTCTCTACTCTTTTCTCTGGGCTTGCCTCCTTCACTATGGGCAAGCTTCCACCTTCCATTCCTCCTTCTTCTTCCTTAGCCTGTATTCTTAAGAACTTAAAACCTCTTCAATTCTCACCTGACCTAAAATCTAAGCATCTCATTTTCTTCTGCAATGCCGCTTGACCCCAATACAAACTGGACAGTAGTTCCAAATAGCCAGAAAACGGCACTTTCAATTTTTCCATCCTATAAGATCTAAATAATTCTTGTCGTAAAATGGGCAAATGGTCTGAGGTGCCTGACGTCCAGGCATTCTTTTACACATCAGTCCCTTCCTAGTCTCTGTGCCCAGTGCAACTCGTCCCAAATCTCCCGCCTGTCCCCTCAGTCCCAACCCCAAGCGTCGCTGAGTCTTTCTAATCTTCCTTTTCTACAGACCCATCTGACCTCTCCCCTCCTTGCCAGGCCAAGCTAGGTCCCAATTCTTCCTCAGCCTCCGCTCCTCCACCCTGTAATCTTTTTATTGCCTCCCCTCCTCACACCTGGTCCGGCTTACAGTTTCGTTCCGTGACTAGCCCTTCCCCACCTGCCTAGCAATTTACTCTTAAAAAGGTGGCTGGAGCTAAAGGCATAGTCAAGGTTAATGCTCCTTTTTCTTTATCCCAAATCAGATAGCGTTTAGGCTCTTTTTCATCAAGTATAAAAATCCAGCCCAGTTCATGGCTCGTTTGACAGCAACCCTGAGACGCTTTATAGCCCTAGACCCTAAAAGGTCAAAAGGCCATCTTATTCTCAATATACATTTTATTACCCAATCTGCTCCCGACATTAAATAAAACTCCAGAAATTGGAATCTGGCCCTCAAACCCCACAACAGGACTTAATTAACCTCACCTTCAAGGTGTGCAATAACAGAAAAAAGTTGCAATTCCTTGCCTCCACTGTGAGACAAACCCCAGCCACATCTCCAGCACACAAGAACTTCCAAACGCCTGAACCATAGCAACCAGGCGTTCCTCCAGAACCTCCTCCCCCAGGCGCTTGCTACACGTGCCGGAAATCTGGCCACTGGGCCAAGGAATGCCCGCAGCCTGGGATTCCTCCTAAGCCGCGTCCCATCTGTGTGGGACCCCACTGAAAATCGGACTGTTCAACTCACCTGGCAGCCACTCCCAGAGCCCAAGGAACTCTGGGCCCAAGGCTCTCTGACTGACTCCTTCTTGGCTTACCGGCTGAAGACTGACGCTGCCTGATCACCTCAGAAGCCCCGTAGACCATCACGGACGCCGAGCTTTAGGTAACTCTCACGGTGGAGGGTAAGTCCATCCCCTTCTTAATCAATACGGAGGCTACCCACTCCACATTACCTTCTTTTCAAGGGCCTGTTTCCCTTGCCTCCATAACTGTTGTGGGTATTGACAGCCAGGCTTCTAAACCTCTTAAAACTCCCCAACTCTGGCGCCAACTTAGACACTACTCTTTTAAGCACTCCTTTTTAGTTATCCCCACCTGCCCAGTTCCCTTATTAGGCTGAGGCACTTTAAGTAAATTATCTGCTTCCCTGACTATTCCTGGACTACAGCTATATCTCATTGCCGCCCTTCTTCCCAATCCAAAGCCTCCTTTGCGTCCTCCTCTTGTATCCCCCCACCTTAACCCACAAGTATAAGACACCTCTACTCCCTCCTTGGCGACTGATCATGCACCCCTTACCATCTCATTAAAACCTAATCACCCTTACCCCACTCAACGCCAATATCCCATCCCACAGCACGCTTTAAAAGGATTAAAGCCTGTTATCACTCGCCTGCTACAGCATGGCCTTTTAAAGCCTATAAACTCTCCTTACAATTCCCCCATTTTACCTGTCCTAAAACCAGACAAGACTTACAAGTTAGTTCAGGATCTGTGCCTTATCAACCAAATTGTTTTGCCTATCCCCCTTGTGGTGCCCAACCCGAACACTCTTTTGTCCTCAATACCTTCCTCCACAACTCACTATTCCGTGCTTGATCGTAAAGATGCTTTTTTCACTGTTCCCCTGCACCCCTCGTCCCCGCCTCTCTTTGCTTTCACTTAGACTGACCCTGACACCCATCAGGCTCAGCAAATTACCTGGGCTGTCCTGCCGCAAGGCTTCACAGACAGCCCCCATTACCTCAGTCAAGCCCAAATTTCATCCTCATCTGTTACCTATCTCGGTATAATTCTCACAAAAACACACGTGCTTTCCCTGCTGATCATGTCTGATTAATCTCCCAAACCTCAATCCCTTACAAAACAACAACTCCTTTCCTTCCTAGGCATGGTTAGTGTGGTCAGAATTCTTACACAAGAGCCAGGACCGCACCCTGTAGCCTTTCTGTCCAAACAACTTGACCTTACTGTTTTAGCCTAGCCCTCATGTCTGTGTGCAGCGGCTGCCGCTGCTTTAATACTTTTAGAGGCCCTGAAAATCACAAACTATGCTCAACTCACTCTCTACATTTCTCAACTTCCAAAATCTATTTTCTTCCTCATACCTGACGCATACACTTTCTGCTCCCCGGCTCCTTCAGCTGTACTCACTCTTTGTTAAGTCCCACAATTACCACTGTTCCTGGCCCGGACTTCAATCTGGCCTCCCACATTATTCCTGATACCACACCTGACCCCCATGACTGTATCTCTCTGATCCACCTGCTATTCACCCCATTTCCCTGTATTTCCTTCTTTCCTATTCCTCACCCTGATCACGCTTGATTTATTGATGGCAGTTCCACCAGGCCTAATCGCCACATACCAGCAAATGCAGGCTATGCTATAGTACAAGCCACTAGCCTGCCTCTCAGAACCTCTCATTTCCTTTCCATCGTGGAAATCTATCCTCAAGAAAATAACTTCTCAGTGTTCCATCTGCTATTCTACTACTCCTCAGGGATTATTCAGGCCCCCTCCCTTCCCTACACATCAAGCTCGAGAATTTGCCCCCACCCAGGACTGGCAAATTAGCTTTACTCAACATGCCCGAGTCAGGAAACTAAAATACCTCTTAGTCTAAATAGACACTTTCACTGAATAAGTAAAGGCCTTTCCTACAGGGTCTGAGAAGGCCACCACAGTCATTTCTTCCCTTCTGTCAGACATAATTCCTCAGTTTAGCCTTCCCACCTCTATACAGTCTGATAGCAGACCAGCCTTTATTAGTCAAATCAGCCAATTAGTTTTTCAGGCTCTTAGTATTCAGTGAAACCTTTATATCCCTTACGGTCCTCCGTCTTCAAGAAAAGTAGAACGGACTAAAGGTCTTTTAAAAACACACCTCACCAAGCTCAGCCACCAACTTAAAAAGGACTGGACAATACTTTTACCACTTTCACTTCTCAGAATTCAGGCCTGTCCTCAGAATGCTACAAGGTACAGCCCATTTAAGCTCCTGTATAGATGCTCCTTTTTATTAGGCCCCAGTCTCATTCCAGACACTGGACCAACTTAGACTGTGCCCCCAAGAAAACTTGTCATCCCTACTATTTTCTGTCTAGTCATATTCCTATTCTCCATTCTCAACTACTCACACATGCCCTGCTCTTGTTCACACTGCCAGTTTACACTGTTTCTCCAAGCCATCACAGCTGATATCTCCTCGTGCTATCCCCAAACTGCCACTCTTAACTCTTGAAGTAAATAAATAATCTTTGCTGGCAGGACTATGCTGAATCTCCTTAGGCACTCTCTAATCAGATGTCCTAGGTCCTCCCAATTCTTAGACCTTTTATACCTGTTTTTCTCCTTCTTATTCCATTTAGTTTTTCAATTCACACAAAACTGTATCCAGGCCATCACCAATCATACTATATGACAAATGTTTCTTCTAACAACCCCACAATATCACCCCTTACCACAAGATCTCCTTTCAGCTTAATCTCTCCCACTCTAGGTTCCCACCCGCCCCTAATCCCGCTTGAAGCAGCCCTGAGAAACATCGCCCATTCTCTCTCCATACCACCCCCCAAAAATTTTCGCCACCCCAACACTTCAACACTATTTTGTTTTATTTTTCTTATTAATATAAGAAGGCAGGAATGTCAGTCCTCTGAGCCCAAGCCAAGCCATCGCATCCCCTGTGACTTGCACGTATACGCCCAGATGGCCTGAAGTTACTGAAGAATCACAAAAGAAGTGAAAAGGCCCTGCCCCGCCTTAACTGATGACATTCCACCATTGTGATTTGTTCCTGCCCCACCTTAACTGAGTGATTAACCCTGTGAATTTCCTTCTCCTGGCTCAGAAGCTCCCCCACTGAGCACCTTGTGACCCCCGCCCCTGCCCACCAGAGAACAACCCCCTTTGACTGTAATTTTCCATTACCTTCCCAAATCCTATAAAATGGCCCCATCCCTATCTCCCTTTGCTGACTCTCTTTTCGGACTCAGCCCACCTGCACCCAGGTGAAATAAACAACCATGTTGCTCACACAAAGCCTGTTTGGTGGTCTCTTCACACGGACACGTATGAAAAGAAAGACATGAGATTTGAGAGAAACCAGGGAAAGAATGATATGTTTTGGATTTATATTCCCACTCAAATCTCATGTCAAGTTGTAATCTCCAAAGTTGTAGGTGGAGCCTGGTTGAAGGTGATTGGATTATGGGGATGGTTTCTCATGGTTTAACACCATTCCTCTTGGTGCTTTCCTAGTGACAGTGAGTTCTCAGGTGATCTGGTTAAGAGTGTGTAACCCTTGCTGTCTTCCTCCTGCTCTCACCTGTGAGATGCCTTGTTCTGCCTTGGCCTTCCACAATGATTGTAAGTTTCCCGAGGCCTCCTCAAAAGCTGAGCAAATGTGAGAGTCATGCCAAACCATGAGCCAATTCAACCTCTTTTCTTTATAAATTACCCAGTCTCAGGTATTTCTCAGTAGCAATGTGAGAACAAACAAATACAGCATTATTTTCAGGAGAGAAAAAACAGGAAGTAAGCAATTCTAACTAGTTACCAGGTGTAAAGCCCAAGATAAACAGCAAAGCTATGAAGATTATACCTGGAGAATCTAATCTCTTCCAGCATGGCCAAAAGGCACAGCTGTGGGATGGGATGAGTTTTGTCCCCAGTTCTTGCTATGGTCGCTCATCTAGAACTCAGAATCTAAAGGCTCAAATCTAAAGATATAAGGTCACAGAAAAATTAAGAAAATGTATATATACAGAAGCAACCATATGATGACCCTAAAACATCTAGTAAATACAATATAAAAATGTCTGCCAACAGACCCAGGCACAAATGTCTAAATTAAATCTGAAGACATTTCTACTTCATTTTACCAATAATTTTTAAACTATCTTTATTTACCAAAGATTACTAAAATCACATGTATTGAAAAGCATTTGGGATTATTTACTTAATTTATGAGTACTTATTTTTACATTAATTTGATACCATGTATGTAAACAACATATAATCATATGTATGGACATAGACATATATGTGATACAGCATATAACATACACATGTGCACATAAAGATAGAGGGAGGCAGAAAGAGTTTAGAGTTTTGATTTCAGCATAGGACCGATCAAATTCAGTATTTAAAAAAGACAGTTGGATTAAATTTGTGCCTTTGTAAATGGAAGAGGTTAACATTTAATTAAGCCAGACTTTATTGAGTTTTAGAGAAAATTGGTAGCAAATTTACATCTCAAAGCACAGAGAGAAAGAGAACTAAAGCTTTTACAAGAAGGAATTTGTGTGTGTTCAAGGAAGATTAAAAATAGATGCCAAGGTAACACAAAAATGACAGAAATTTACCATAGGATTTTATAAGGAGACCAATTTTATTTAGATAGGCAGCTTTTAATTTGGTCTCTGTTTTCCAACTGGACCACTGAGCTCAGGACAGAGCCCATTAAGGAAGAGGACCAACGAAGTCTTGCAACTTTTAGATCCTAATAATTTAAATACATAAAAAGAAGACCCAGTTGCAAGGGACAGCATCCAGACCTTTATAAATCAAGGATTTCACTGAATCCCAGGTCCCTGAGAAGAGGAAAATGCCAATGGAACCATACTATGCAACACTTCCACAGTGTACTTTGCTATAAGGGCATTTTTCTAATTATTTAAACTGTGTATTTCTTATCTAAACTTGCAAAGAAATGAGTAGCATTCTGAAGTAATAATCATTTATTGCGAGCGCTGTTAGTCACCTCCAAAACCAAAGCTCTTACCAGTGACCCAGCAGCCATCACACATATAAGGTCAAGCATTTTTACAGTGCAAAGTAATCTCTGATGCCCCCAAAAGCCAAAGAGGTCAGGGAAAATGGAAAAGAGAGCAGAGTTTTAGACCTGAGAGGAATCCATTTACTTACAACTCTTGGGGTTCCATGAGGAAAAACAGTGGTTTCTCCTAAATAGGGAAGTCTGTGGCATCTTTTCTGTTTTCCTTAAGGGGTTCCAGGCTGTCAGAAATTCTTTAGGTTCCCTCATGTGGCATCAAGAATAGCAAGAGGAAGGATGGAAAGAGAAATAAGCAGAAAAAGAATTTTTAAGAAAAAAACCAGACAGACTAAGCACATGATTTAAAAAGATTTCAGTCAACTGAAAAAAAATCTTTCAAAGATACAAAAGAGATGGCCAGAGGCAGTGGCTCACATCTGTAATGGCAGCACTTTGGGAGACTGAGGCGGGCAGATTACTCAAGGCCAGGAGTTCAAGACCAGCAACATGGCGAAACCCAGTCTCTAGTAAAAATACAAAAATCAGTCAGGTGTGGTGGCACGTGCCTGTAATCTCAGCTGCTCAAGAGGCTGAGGCCCAAGAATCCCTTGAACCCAGGAGGTGGAGGTTGCAGCGAGCTGAGATTGTGCCACTGCACTTAAGCCTGGGTGACAGAGTGACAGCCTGTCTCAAAAAAAAAAAAAGATACAAAAGAGAAAAGCAGAAAAGCCTTCAATATACATTCAAGTCCTTTCTCAATATATATCCAATATGAATTTATATATTCTGTGTATATACATATTCTATATATATATAATATTTTATATATATATTATTTTAATATATACATGGCTTAATATTATAAATATTAATAATTATATGGCTTAAATACCATTAATAAATATATGGCTTAAATACCAGTTTTTAATTAAGCTGACTCTTAATCACAGAGCTGTTTTGGGAAATCCTTCTCTTAGCTGCCAAACATAGCTGAGAAATGACACCAAAGCATGTTAGCAGCAGTGAATCTGTAGACGTCTTCAGCAACCTCAATTCTTGCCTCTTTAGAAGAAGTAATTTGACTAAGAGGCATAAGGCAGAAGAAGGGACTGAGGTAAGTGTTAGAGCAGGAGTAAAAGTTTATTTAAAAGCTTTAAGGCAGGAATTAAAGGAAGTAAAGTACAATTAAAAGAGAGTCAAGCAGGCTGGATACAGTGACTCACACTTGTAATCCTAGCACTTTGGGAGGCCGAGATGGGTAGATCACCTGAGGTCAGGAGTTTGAGACCAACCTGGCCAACATGGTGAAATTTCGTCTCTACCAAAAATACAAAAATTAGCTGGGTGTGGTAGCATGTGCCTGTAGTCCCAGCTACTAGGGAGGCTGAGGCGGGAGGATCATTTGAACCTGGGAGGCGAAGGTTGCAGTGATCTGAGATCATGCCACTGCACTCTAGCCTGGGTGACAGAGCAAGACTCTGTTGCAAAAAAATAAATAAATAAAAATAAAAAAATAAAAAAGCCAAGCAGGCAACAAGAGATCAAGTGCATTGCTTGACCTCTGACTTAGGCTTTTGTATGTTGGCATAATTCTGGGGTCTGCATCTCCTCTCCCCTTATTTTCCCTTTGGAGTGGGCTGTCTGCATGTGCAGTGGCCTGCTAGCACTTGGGGTGGGGTGAACATGCGCAGTGTATTTACTGGAGTTGTATGCATGCTCACTTGAGGTGTTCTTCTCTTTCCAGTCAAATGTCCCTGGGAGGTCACAAACCAGTTAAACTCCACCATTTTGCCTCTTAATGCACATGTTTTAGCCCACTCACCCAACTTCTGAGAACTTATCAGGAAGGAGCTGATCAACTGTTTCAGGTGTTTCCTGTCTATTGGGAGACTGCCTTTCCCTGGTGCTAGCTACAACCCATTATTATTTTAGAGAGACAGTTAACGACCACCTGACAATCACCTGATGGTCATGACATTCCTGGTGTGTGGGGGAAGGAGGCTCCCTCCTGTCCTGCTGATGTCTGACTAGCTACCCACTGTAATACTTTCAGATTTTTTATTATCAGATTTTAGCTAGGACAAACAGCTGATATTTCTGGCTTTTGAATTTTTTTTTAACCAAAAGTATCCTCCCAGCTGAAACTGATAAGCACTAACCATAATTGTGACTTAGCCAAGGATGCATGAGACATCTCCAAAGATGTAAATGAGTACCACAAAAACTCAAAAATCACACAAATATCAAAACAAAAGTGGCAGAGGCATTTGAAGTAGAGTGACTCCATCTTGAGTGAGGGCTGGGAAAATGAGGCTGGGACTTGTTGGGCTGCATTTCCAGAAAGTGAGGCATTCCTAGCCTCTAGATGTTTATGGTTAAGGGAACAAATCAATAATATTTACTAAACAGACCCAGACTTGGGAGTGTCCAGATATCCCAATATCTGGAAAACAAAGTGATTCCTAATTTTGCTTTAAAGATAATAACTTAGATTCTTGCAAAATATCACAATTAAGAAAATTAATCCTTATCACAAACCTTTGTAGCAGGGTACATCTCCCCATATATATGAGCACTGTACCTAGGGTGGGTGTGTGCCTCCTCTTACTTTCAAGAACATCCTACTGTGACTATGGAGTAGCTGTACTTTCACTACTTTACTTTCTTAATAAACTTGCTTTTACTTTGCGCTGCAGACTTGCCCTGAATTCTTTCTCGTGCAAGATCCAAGAATCCTCTCTTTGGGCATGGATTGGGACCTTTTTCCTGTAACAAAAGCGGTTCATTCTCTGACTTGTAATTGAATCCAGGCTGCAACAGTGAAAGTGTGGAATTTTAACTACTGGATGACATGGTGAAGTGGCTTTAATCCTTATTGCCTCAGGAGATCTAAAGCAAGTCATTTGAGATTACAAAAAACTTAACTTTGTTTAAGGCTAGATTTTTGCTCTGTAAGTTAGTCAAGAGAATATTTAAGGCTAGCCGTGACACTATTATGTGTCTTTCTTTAAAATTTGATTCTCCTCAAACTATCTTGGCAAAATTATGACTGAGACAGTGAAAGAGATCTAACCTAACCTAATGAACACCGTCTTGCTTCTAACCTCCAAGCTGTCCTTGTTCGGTCCTGGGCATAGGCTGAACTAACTTTAATAGGAATTTAGTTTACAGTTTAAAACAAAGACGATAACAGCCCTTTCCCAAAACGAACCTCCTTCTTGCCTGGGGACAAGACTGCCTTTGTGGGACTAACAAATTAGCCACAAGATTAGAAATTACGGTTTAAGAGTCATGCAGCTGGAGGCTACAAGATTCTGACCCTCTCTAAACTGCTCCTGAGATCTGTCTGAGCTATTTGGCAGACCCTGCACTTGATGGATGGATGAGCTGGCCCCACCCAGATCGATAAAATGGGTCATTTGATCTTGTGACCTCTACTCAGGAACTGACTCAGCAAAAAAGGACAGCTTCAACTTCCCATGATTTCATCTCCTACCTAACCAATCAGCACTCATGCTACATCAGCTGACATTAAAATTACTTAGATATACAATTTGAATGAACGTCATGGTCTAAGTCAAATTACCTATGATAACCCATCAGTTATCAGTGCTATGCACATAATTTGAAGAAAAACTATGATTCAAGAGGATATGAGTCTAATATTAATTAAGCATGGACTCATGGAGAACCAGGATGGCCACCTTGTCCTTCCTAAGTCCTTAAAGCTTTTATTATTAAAAGTTCTGCATTCCATGACTCATCATGGAAAAGATAAAAATATTCAAATGGAATATATTGGTGTGGTGACTTATAAATTGTTAAAAGAATTTATAACCAATGTTTGGCCCCATATTCCTGGGAAAACAATCAAAGCTTCAGGTACACTTGGTCACCTGCTGGTCCATTTAAACATTTTATAATGAGATTTCATTCAATTGTTATTTTCAATGCATATTTTCTGGTTCTGGTTGTATAAAAGCTCTCCCATGCAAGAGGGCTCATGTTATCTACTAAGTTATTATGTTACAGTGTATTTTCACCAGATAAAGAAAACTTTCTATAGTTCACTAAAGATAATCAACGCATTCACAACCTAGAATCCAGAAGTAGAATTGCTGGATCAAGTAGTAATTCTTTAATTTATTGAGAAACTGCCATACCACTTTCCACAGCATCTATAACATTTCCCATCACCAGCAGCAATGCACTAGAGCCCTAATTTTTCCACCTACTTGAAAACACTTGTGGTTTCATGTTGTTGTTGTTTTTATTAAAGCCATTTTAATGTGTGTGAGGTGGTGTATTACTGTGGTTTTGATTTGCATATCCGTAAGTATTAGTGATGTTGAGAATCCTCGCATGTCCTCACTGGCAATGTGTGTGTCTTCCTTTGGGAAGTATTTTAGTCTTTTGTTCACTTTTAAATTCGGGTTTTTGGATTTTTGCTGTATTTGACTTGTAGTAGTTTGAGTCAAGTACAAATTGTGAGGTCCTGTTCCAGCCATTGGAAGCCGCACACAGCAGTAGGGTGGATGCATCAGGTTATAAATGACCTTGTCTCCTTTGTTCGTGTGTGCATTCATGGCAAGACTGCTGGCGAGCGGCACTTTTTCTGCAGAAAGTAAACTAGCCTTGCTGAGAGATGCTGTGCCTCAGTGCTGATCTTTATGACACCGAGCACCCGTTACCAACAATTTGAAGGCCCCAGCGAGATTAACATTCCCCTCTGGGACAGTCTTTGGCCCTGTCTTGTGGGGAGGCGCCCTGCCGCCCGTTGCGGCAGCCCCAGGAGGAGAGCCGGGACCTACCCGGTGAGAGGAATATACTTGAATTCTCAGCAACGCGGGGAAAGAGACAGGCTTGCGGGACTCCCCACAGTAACCAGGCAACGCCGTGCATGGGCCAAGGTAGGAAAAGCCGCAAGAGGGCAGCAAAGTACTTCCTTGGTGGTCAGCTTTTGGGAGGCTGAGTGTGTGTGCACGATTACCAACTTGTTGCTGGACAGAGTGCGTGGACATAAACGGGAAGAGTGTAAGGAACCTCCAAAAGGGAAACGGAGGAAGGTTAACCTCGCAGGGAAAGAGAATCGGTGAAACACCTCTGGTGTGAGAGATTAAGCCTTGAGGACAGGACAGACGAGACATCCCCGGTATCTGGGGGATTCAGCCTTCCTGGGAAAGGAAGAGGCAAAACATCCCTAGCACAAGGGATTGGGCCTATCTGGGATTCAACATGGGAAATGCTTCTAGTAGGATTGGGACAGGAAATAGACCAGGCAACAAGGGAGGGGACAGTGATCAAATTTCCTTTGATAGTCCCTTAGGATTCATGCTATAATATTGGAAAGAGGATGAGCGGACTAAATATAAGAGAAAACAACAGATGATTAAATATTGCTGTTTCCTCTGGACCCAAGAGCCAACCTTAAAACCTGCCATTTTCTGGCCAAAATTTGGTTCAGATGAGGATTGGGTCTGTCAACTTTTAATAATGTATGTTAACAACCAAAGCCCCATGTCCCCAGAAAAAATGGATTATGCCTTATGCTAGCAGCAAGGGCCTGCCCTTCTTTACCCCTTAAATGACTTAAAGACGGTAACAGACAGAAACAAAGGCCCAGAGCAGTTAGTGGGATCCTTTAAATTATCTTCCCGTTTCTGAATCCCACGGCGCTGCTGCTGCCTGCCGTATGGCTGCCGCCTTCTCCTCCTCAGATGGAACTCCCGCCTCCCACTCCTCCTCCGGCAGAAGTCCCGCCTCCCCTCCTCCTCAGGCGGAAGTCTCGTCCCCCCCACCCGCTCCAGGGATCACTCTGGACTTGGAGGCGTCTGTTCCCGAGGAATTACCGCCTCAGTGGCTTGATCATCTCTGCTGCCCATCTAAATGTCCTTCCTCAAAAAGAGGGCTCCAAAAAGAGATAGAACAATGTAAAAGGGACATTCAGAATCTTCCTTTTCCTTGCACTCCTAAAGAATCGACTTCCCAGCTCTTCCCTCTAAAAAAAGTTCCACAAGGAGAGGGCACGATTGGCTTTATAAATGCTCCCTTAACTGCCTCTGAGGTCTGAGGCCTAAAGAGGGAGCTCAAGCCCCTGCTAGATGATCCAAAAGGAGTGGCAGAACAGATCGACCAGTTTTTAGGTCCCCAGTAGTATACCTGGACGGAGTTAATGTCGATCCTAGGTATCCTCTTCTCAAAAGAGAAGCGAAACATAATCCACGCAGCCGCTATGGCAGCCTGGGAAGGTGATCACCCTGCTCGCCAGGATAATCCGGTGGCAAATACTAAATTTCCCACTCAAGACCCACAGTGGGATAATAATAATGCAACCCACCAAGACCATATAAAAATTTACGAGAATTAACGGTTAGAGGGATTAAAGAATCAGCACCCTGACCTCAAAATCTTACTAAGGCCTTTGATGTACAACAAGAAAAACATGAAGGGCCTGTGCAATTTCTAAACAGATTAAGAGAGCAAATGAGAAAGTATGCTAATTTAGATCTAGATAGCCCCCCAGGACAAGGGATGCTAAAATTGCATTTTGTCACAAATAGCATAATATAGCAAAGAAGTTACAAAAAATAAAAAGATGAAAAAATCGCTCCATCAAAGAGCTTTTAGAGGAAGCACAGAAAGTATATGTCAGGAGAGATGAAATGAAAAAAAGAAAAGCAAAAGGCAAAAATCTTTTGGCAAAATTCACCAGGGCAATCAATGCCAGAAGCAAAATTTCGGCCGACACCCTGGGACCTGGGGATGCAAAACAGAAGACAGAATCAAGGTTGAAGGGAAAACAGTCACAGCAAGTGTTGTAAAGGGTGTAAACATAAGAGAGAAGAAAAAGGACAGAGGCAGGGAAGTTCCGGAATAGGGAGAAAAGGAGGGCAAGATAGATGTTACAAATGTGGAAACTCAGGCCACTTTAAGAGATAATGCCCTAAGTGACAGATTACAGGGGGAGCTCCTCCGCTCATTCCTGCCTTTAAAGAGGAGGAATGGGGGGTGTCAGGGGCTCTTTCTTTTCTACCTCGAGTCCCACCAGGAGCCCTTGATAAATTTAAAGGTAGGACCTAACCATGAGTCAATTACTTTCTTAGTCGACTGAGGCTCTACTTGCTCCTCCCTATGTGTTACCCCAACTGGGCTAACATATTCTCCAGAGGAGTTGTTAGTCTCTGGAGTAAAAGGGGAAGGATTTAAAGCAAAGATTTTAGAAAGTGCCAAGGTAAAATATAAAGCCTGATCAAGTAACATTCAATTCCTATTAATTCCTAAAGCAGAAACTAATCTACTTCGGAGAGATTTAATGTTAAAATTAGGTATTGGTCTACAGCGTAGCAGGATGAGCAGCAGACAAAACTTCTCAGACACCTAGTTAAAGAAGGAAGGGGTTTATTCGGCCGGGAGCATCGGCAAGACTCCTTTCTCAAGAGCCGAGCTCCCTGAGTGAGCAATTTCTGTCCCTTTTAAGGGCTCACAACTCCAAGGGGGTCCGTGTGAGAGGCTCATGATTGATTGAGCAAGCAGGGGGTATGTGACTGGGGGCTGCATGCAGCGGTAATCAGAACAGAACAGAACAGGACAGGGATTTTTATAATGCTTTTCCATACAATGTCTGGAATCTATAGATAACATAACCTGTTAGGTCAGGGGTCGATCTTTAACTACCAGGCCCAGGGCGCGGTGCCGGGCTGTCTGCCTGTGGATTTCATTTCTGCCTTTTAGTTTTTACTTCTTCTTTCTTTTGGAAGTAGAAATTGGGCATAAGACAATATGAGGGGTGGTCTCTTCCCTTAACAGGTTAGCCCAAGAGGGTTCTTAACCTCACTAAATTTGCTAACTATGGCAAAATTTCCCCTGGTGTCTGGCCAAAAGAAAGAAACTGAAGGAGGTTACAGATTCCCCCAATCCAAATAAAATTGAAGACTCCAGGGGAGATTGTAAGGAATAAATAGTATCCTATCTCCTTGGAAGGGCAGATAGGGTTGAAGCCCGTAATAGACTTACAAAAGATGGGCTCCTCAAGCCTTGCATGTCTCCCTATAATACTCCCATTTTACCTGTCAAGAAACCTAACAGGTCATACTGATTAGTGCAAGATCTTAAAGCTGTTAATGAAATAGTGCAGACTCCTCACCCAATCATGCCAAATCCCTACACTATTCTTTTCTTATTTTGAGACAGAGTCTCACTGTGTCACCAGGCTGGAGTGTAGTGGTGCAATCTTGGCTCACTGCAACCTCCGCCTCCCAGGTTCCAGTGATTCTCCTGCCTCAGCCTCCTGAATAGCTGGGATTACAGGCACCCACCACCATGCCCAGCTAATTTTTGTATTTTTAGTAGAGACGGGGTTTCACCAAGTGGCCAGGATGTTCTCAATCTCTTGACCTCATGATCTGCCCGCCTCGGCCTCCCAAAGTGCTGGGATTACAGGCATGAGCCATTGCGCCTGGCCCATCCCTACACTATTCTAAGTAAAATTCCATATAGTAATCAGTAGTTCACTGTCTTAAATTTAGAGGATGACTTCTGGGCATGTCTTTTAGTGGAAAACAGCCTGACCTGTTTGCCTTTGAGTGGGAGGACCCCCACAGTGGGCAGAAGCAACAATACAGATGGACAGTTCTGTATCAAGGGTTTGCAGATTCACCAAACCCTTTTAGTCATGCCTTAGAGAAAGTCATAGAGAGGGCTGCTATCCCAAAACAGCTATGTTTACTTAACACATGGATGATATTCTTATACCTGGAGAGGATATAGAGAAAGTAAATAAGTACACCATCTATTTTCTAAATCATTTATACACTGAAGGGCTACGAGTCTCAAAAGAGAAGCTCCAATATGTAGAACCAGAAGTCAAATACATGGGCCATTTAGCACCAGCAAAAGAAGAATTGGTCCTGAGCGAGTAGAAGGAATTCTGTCCCTGCCACTGCCCTGGATCAAACAAGAACTTAAAAAGTTTGTAGGATTAATTAGATACTGCCGATTATGGATCGACTCCTATGCATTAAGAAGTAAATTATTATATGAAAAGTTAGCTAATAAGGGGCCTGACCCCCTTATGTGGTCCTCTAAAGAAGTAGATCAAATTAATAAACTGAAGCATAGACTAATGTCTGCTCCAGTTTTAGCTCTGCCTTCTCTTAAGAAGCCCTTCCACCTTTTTGTTAATGTAAGCAATGGAGTAGCCTTAGGGGTGCTCACTCAAGAACACGGAGGCCGGTGACAACCAGTAGCTTTTCTGTCTAAGATTTTAAATCCTGTTGCCAGTGGGTGGCCCCAGTATATTCAATCTATTGCAACCACAGCCATATTAGTAGAAAAAAGTAGAAAAATAACCTTTGGGGGGTATTTGACCGTGAGCACATCTCATCAAGTCAAGACCATTTTGAGCCAAAAAGCAGGAAGCTGGCCCACTGATTCCAGAATTTTAAAATATAAGGCTATTCTGTTAAAAAAAAAAGGATGATTTAAATGACTTAACCATAACAACAGATAACTCACTCAACCCTGCAGGGTTCTTGACGGGAAATCCGTTGCTACAGACAGAACACTTGTGCCTCAACTTAATTGACTACCATACAAAAGTCCAGCCAGATTTAGCTGAGGCCTCTATAGATCGGGGCAACACCTATTCATAGACAAGTCCCCCTGGGTGTTTAATGGGGAATAACACAGTGGATATGCAGTAGTAGATAGAGAGACACTCGAAGAAATTAAATCAGGATGGTTACCCAATAGCTATTCTGCTCAAGCTTGTAAATTATTTGCCTTCAGTCAGGCCTTAAAATATTTAAAGGATCAGATAGAAACTATCTACACAGATTCTAAGTATGCCTTTAGGGTAGCACACACATTTGGGAAGATTTAGGCTGAACAAGGTCTTATAAATAGTAGGGGCCAAGAACTTGCTCATAAGTCATTAGTCATGTCTTAGATAATCTCCAGCTACTAAAGTAGATAGCCATCATGCACATTCCTGGACATCAACATGATTTTTCCCTTAAGAGCCGAAGGAATAACCTTGCAGATCAGATGGCCAAAAAGGCTGCAGTCTTAGATATGCCCATTTTTCATTTAACTCCCCACCTTCCTTCTCCTACTGTTGTGCCTATCTTCTCCCTGGCTGGGAAAGAAAAATTAGTTGAAATCCCAAAGCAAAAAAAAAAAAAAATTCATAAGAAAGCTGCATACTTCCAGATCAAAGAGAGATGCTATCTAAACCCTTTATGAGGGAAGTATTATCCCATTTACATCAAGGGACTCACTGGGGTCCCCAGGCCCTATGTGACATGATTCTCAGAGTCTTTAGGTGTATTGGCATTTATATTCTAGACAGGCAGATCACAAATGGCTGTCTCATCTGTAAGAAAGCTGACAAACAAGCTGAAAGGAAATTGCCTTTCGGAGGAAGAACTCCGGAGTTAAGACCATTCCAAAACGTCCAAGTCGATTATACTAAAATGCCACCCATTAGTCGGCTAAAACACCTGCTAGTAATAATTAATTACCTTAACCACTGGGTAGAAGCCATCCCCTTTTCGAGGCAACTGCCAATAATGTGGTAAAACCATTAATTGAGCATATTATACCCAAGTTTGGAATAATAGAAAATATTGACTCAAACAATGAAACCCATTTTGCTGCACATATTATTAAAAAGCTGGCCCAAGTGCTAGACATAAAATGGGAATATCATATTCCCTGGCATCCCTTATCCTCCGGACAAGTAGAAAGAATAAATCAAACCCTTAAGAATCATCTGACTAAATTAATTCTAGAAACTCATTTACCATGGACCAAATGTCTTCCCATTGCCTTATTAAGGATCAGGACAGCTCCCCAAAAGGATACAGGCCTGTCTCCATATAAAATGTTATATGGATTGCCTTATTTACATTCCTCAGCTAATGTTCCTATGTTTGAAACTAAGGATCAGTTCCTCAGAAATTATATACTTGGTCTCTCCGCTACCTTTTCTTCTCTTAAGATAAAAGATCTCTTAGCACAGACACCACCGCTAGAATTTCTAGCTCACCAGCACTAACCCAGGGACCATGTTCTCATCAGAGGGTAAAAAGAAGGGAAACTTGTGCCCGCCTGGGAAGGCCCTTATCCTGTACAGTTGACCACCAAGACTGCCATCCGCACAGCCAAGAGAAGATGGACCCACCATACTTAAGTCAAGAAATCATCTTCCTCATCAGAATCATAGGTTAGTGTACCGGGATCAAGCCTTAACAAGTTAAAGTTAAAAAAAACCAAAAGCTTAATTTCCATATCCCTTCTATATTGCTTCCTTTCCTTTCCTTATTCTGTTACTAGCTCCTTTTGTTATTAACATAACTAAGTCTGACTCATCTCAGACCATTGCCTTTAATGCATGCTCTGTCATACCTTGTAAAGATGTGAAGGATCAATGACAGCTAGCTTTTTCACACAAATATTTATGCTCCGGCCCTCTAGTTGACATAGTTCCTCCTAGCACTCATGGTTGTGAATACCTGCAGCCGAGACACCAATTTTCTGCTCCTATAGCCTGGCAACCTTGTAGTAGCTGGGACTACATCCTATGGACTACTCAGGTGCAAGGTTGGACTTCCACGGAAGAGGTTTGTGCAGATCTAAAACCCCTCACTAAAGGGACTACGCCTTCTAATTGCCAGCCTTATCAGTGTAACACTGTCCTTCTCTCTATCACCACCTCCACCTTAACTGACTCTAAACCTACTCTTAGTTGCTTCTATGGTATGGGGATCGACCTAAATGGGAAACACCCCCTATGCATTTTTTAGATATGCATTATTCCCCATCTTCCCCTTCTTCAGTAGCCTCAGTTTTAGATCCCATCCCACTTACTCCTACACCTATAATAAAACTACGGTGTCTATTGCAAAGGTGAAAGATCTAAAACAAACCTTAGCCATTAAGACAATGTATCAAAATGCAAATGCCCGGCTGGAATGGATTAAATATTCCATCTGCACTTTAAATAACAGTGATTGTTATGCTTGTGCACAGACGCCCAGATTGTCCCCTTTCCACTCGGATGGTCTCCTCATCAACCAGGTATGGACCATATGGTCACACACAGCTGTGACCATCAGTCATTGTGAGGAGGATTCTACCACAGGCTAAATCCTACCAAAATCCCACTGCTTGGGATAATCCATCATGCTGAGCTCTCTCTCTGCTGTTTCCTAAAGCTTGACACCCTGTGGGTCAGCCCCCAAGGGCAATCCAGCTTCCACCTCTAAATGCCAAGTTTAGTTCGTGCCTCCCATGGCAAGTGGAGAATTTGGTGTTCCTTGGAAGCATAAAAGGATGCAAGAAGCTCAAGCCTTTCCAGGAGCTTGCCCATCAGTCTGTGCTTAGCCACCCCTGAGCAAATGTATGCTAGTACTGTGAAGGACCTTTACTGGACACTCTGCCAGATAATTGGAGGAGTATTTATGCTCTAATCCAATTGGCTATCCCTTTCACCCTGGCATTTTATCAGCCTTAAAAAAAAAAAAAGTAAAAACAAAACACTGCAGGCCCAAAGAAACTCTTTATAAATCCTTTAATCCTCAGGTTTACATAAACACTATTGGGGTCCCGCAAGAAGTGCCAGATAAATTTAAAGCACGAAATCAAATAGCTGTGAGATTTAAATCTTTGTTGTTCTGGTGGGTAACTATAAATAAAAATGTTTTCAAAGCTTTATACAAAAACTTGTCCCTGCTACTCTCACAAAATTGTTTCCTAACTCTCCACCATATTCAAAAAGATTACTTCTCTTAAAAGGACAAACAGAGCAATTAAGTCAAAACATATTAAACAAGTTTGAAGAGTAATTATAAAATAAAAGAGGGGAGAATTGTAGAGAATGAAATAAATAGAGGTCCTCTTCAAAGGGATTTTCCTCCCAGTCTAATTGAAAATAAATAGTAACCTCTCTTAAAAGCACAATTTTCTCAAAGACCTGTGCTAATATTCTTAAATTCTGCCAGCCATAATAAAGAAATCAATATACTCTGTGTTCTTAGACCCCACATTTTAGCTTAGATATTTGCCCTGATATGCCTGAACCAGTCCAAGCAAGCATTAGGTCAGGCTTATTCCTTTCCCTACTTGAAAATGTTTTTGCCTCTCTCAGCATTCCACAAGTTAATTCCTCTCTTCCTTTATTCTCTGCCTTTGCCTCTTTGGGAAAGTTCTAAGTTGCTAGCCAATCAAGTCAAGTACAAATTGGGAGGTCCGTTCCAGCCAATAGAAGCTGGACATAGCAGTAGGGTGGACGGGTCAGGTTATAAATGACCCTGTCTCCTTTGTTTGTGTGTGCTGTCATGGCAAGACTGCTAGCGAGTGACACCCTTTCTGCAGAAAGTAAACTAGCCTTTCTGAGAGATCCTTTGTCTCAGTGTTTATCTTTATGACACTGAGCACCCGTTCTCAACATCAGGAAGCATGTTCCCTGGACACTCTGTGTGAGCATTCAAGACCCTCCATTAAGTTTCCACACACGGCTGTGACCATCAGTCATTGTGAGGAGGATCTTATCACAGGCAAGACAATCAGCTACAGAGAGAAACCAAAAGTTGGAGGTGCTGGTTGCTGACATGGAGCAGAGTCCCTGTAGTTCACAGATCCAGCTAAATTAAAAGTGCCACCCCCCTTTTGATCCAGGCACCCCTGAGAAATAGCCTTTTCCTAAGGACTCCTCCATGGTGACACAACAGCGTCCCTCATTGTCAAGCTTCCATAGCGGGCAGCAACCTGGTCAGAACCCATCCCAGCTTCACCCTTCCTCCCTCCCATGGAGCTGGCCTCAGGGCTGAGAAAAAAAAAGGCAGAGGCCAGTGAGGCCAGAGATGGTGAGAGAGCAGCAACGCAAGGACAGCTGCCTGGAACAGGAGCAGGTGGGGCCACAGGGAGAAGGTGGTGCAAGAAGGAAAACCCAGGAATGGGCAGAAGAGCAGAGGAGAACCCAGGCTCTGTGGAGCTGCAACCTAGAATGAGACTGAATGTGAAGTTATCTCACCAGGGAAGGTCAGGCCTCATGAACAGGAGGGGAAGGAGCTCCCACCTTTCCTGCTCCAGACAGAATGTGCCCCCTCAAAATTGTTAAAGCCCTCATCCTTAATGTGATGAAATTTGGAGGTGGCATTTTTGGGAGATAATTACAGTAAGACTAAGTCATAAAAGTGGAGGCTTCATGATAGAGTTAATGACCTTATAAATAGAAGAAAACATGGGAGAAGGGTCTCTACCTCTTTCTGTCTCTCCACCCACCTTCAAGCCTGCACCATGTGCAGATACAGCAAGAGAGCAGGAATCTGCAAGGAAGCCCTCACCAGGACTGAATCAGCTGGAACCTTGAACTTGGACTTCCCAGGCTCCAGAACTATGAGAAATAGATTTCTAAATTTTAAGTCACCCAGACTAAGGTGTTTGTTACAGCAGCTGAAGCCCATGAAAACATCATCTGACACACTGTTTTGAATAAAACTCTTCCATTTCTCCATCAAATCACCTGACAGTGCCTGTCCCCAGCAGCACCAGAGACCCCAAGAAAAGAGCTCCAGCAGGGGCTCAACCAGCATGGGTCCCATGGGGCAGCCTCAATGTCAGGCACCAGATGGCAGGTGAGGCTATAGTGATACAACCACAATGTGAAAGTACAAATTTTTTTTTTGCTATTTACAGACTCTGAGGAGCACATGGCACACCTAGAGATAATAGACACAGAGGTCAAGGAGTCCAGGCAGAGAGGAAAGTAGGGACCTGTAGGCCAATGGCTTTAGTGGGTCCAAGGCGTTAGCTGAGGTTTCCAGCAGAAAGCTTTAATGGGTGAGTTTAAAGCAAGCAAACACTGGGGCCAGGTGACCACGCTGTGACTGAGAGGTGGTCACTTTAAATTTCAGGGCAAATTTCACAACCGTCAGTTTAAAGGAAGCAGCTGGGTAGAGGGGGAGCCCAGCACACTAAGCAGGAGAGATGCCTCTAAGATTTTATCTCTGGCCACCAACTGCAGCCATTTGGCCAGGTACAGTATTGGGAACTGTCACGGTGACCAAGCCCTGCCTCTGATATAAAGCAGGTAAACTTACACCTTAATAAATGAATGCCAAGGCAACATGAAATTACGAGCACTGGTGACATCCACGGACACCAACAGTGTGTGGTGTTGAGCCCTAAGGTCAGGGTCCTGCATTCTTGGTCCCCTGGGAGTGAGAAACAAAGATGACTTGTCCCTGCTCCCTCTCTGCTCCTCTGTCATTGATCTTCCTGCCCTGCACCTCCCTCTTCTGCTTCCAAACCTCTGCCCAGTGCTCAGCCCCACCCAGACATCACTGTCCCCAGGGCATACACAGTGCAGCCCACTGCACACAAACACAAACTCACAGGTGACAGAAATCTGTGTTTGGGACATCTGATTGTGATAGAGGGAGGATAGTGAACTTACAGTCACAGAGACTGAGACTCATGGGGCTGGAATGTGATGGATCTGTGACATAGGTGAATAATCTGCTGTGAAATGTGCAGATTCACATGGAATAAAACATGCAGCCTTGCCTGGGGCTGCTGTCATCCAAATTTCCCCCATGTTCACCAGAGGATGGCAGAATCCCAGCCACAAGACTCCCCAGGGGCTGCTGACCCAGCCAAAAGGGCATCTGCAAGGGCAGCGATGGTCCACATGATGCCATATTAGGCACTTTACCCTTGTGACCTCTTTCCATCCTTATCAACTTTTTCTGTGACTGCTCCCTACATTCCCACCCCACTCCCTCTGTACGGTTCTCTAGGTTATCCCAGGCTGATCCCAGTGCTGACACAGAACAGCAGCTGCCTGAGTGCCCACAGTATTCCTAGGAATCAGCCAGGCACCCTATGACCTGCCCATTGCACGCTAGGAGGTGCAGAGGGTGTTTGAAGGTCACGCACAGGCACCATCCATGATGTGGCCACCTGCTGGAGGTTTTTCTACTCACCCACAATCTGCCCCCTGCTGTCTCTCGTGAAGCTGGGAGGGAAGACAGGGCTGTCCTTTGTGCATGGGGAAGGTGAAGTGGGGGGTATGAGCTCCTTTTGTTCTCAGAACATGGCCCACCCCCACACACCCTCTCAGGTGTGAGCAAAGTCCCTTCACGCAGGCTCTCCAGCCACTGCCTGTTCTTCTTCTACACAGAGGAGCTTGATCTGCCTCAATCCCTCAAGAGGAACCCCAAGGGATGTATAGCAAGAAGGGCTAAGCCCATCCTGGCTGCAGAGTAAGTCTGCAGAAATCTCTCCAGCTCTGAGCCCCTGTTCTTTCCCAGTCTCTCTCTCTGGGTCTTGAAGAGCTGTGTTCTGTGGGGACCCTGGGCATCACCCCACTCCCTTTTGCACCAGCCGTGGGGAAGGTGGGGTGACCACAGGACAGTCAGCTGGGCCAAGGACAGAGGACACCAAAGATGGTCAGGAAGAAAATGGATGGGCCTCACCCCAGCTCAGCCACCAGAACCCAGGGACCAAGAGAGTGGCTGAGACCTGTCCCTGGTGAACACTGGGCCCATAGGCCCCACTGACCAATCAGCACAGGCCTTTCCTACCAGGAGGCATAAGAGATTGATCCTGCACACCTCCACGAAGGAAAATACCCTCTTGGACAACCGGGTCATCGAATGTCTAACCATGGAAGCTGTAGCAAAGTTCAACATAATGAAAGAGAGGGAGGGTCCTTCTCACCAGCCAGCACTCAGCCCACCCAAAGCAAGGTGAGGGTGCATCACTGTGACAGGGTCATGGTGCAGCCCAGCCTCCTGCTTTGAAGAGAAAAGCCAGATGGGAATGGGAGAGGGCAGGGGGAGCGACTGTGCACCCTGACCTGGAGCAATGGAAATGGGAGGACACTGAGGGCCCAGGGCTGTGCTTACCAAACCTAAAGGATGTCTGTGTGTGTGTGTGTGTGTGTGTGTGTGTGTGTGTGTGTCTGCACATAGTGTGTGTAGAGGTTGGGTGAGAGAATCACTGCTGAAGGAGGCAGAGGACTCAGCAATTCCCAGGGGCCTGAAACACAGACAGAAGAGAAACAGAAAGGAGGGACAAGGAAGCAGGACTGAGAGGGGAGGGCACAGAGAGGTGTCCTGGGTACAGACCCCACCCATGAGCCTGAGAAGTGCTCCTGCCCCAGGAAGAGGCTCAGCATAGAAGGTGGAAGGACAGCCCAGCTGACAGCCCTGCTCAGAAACTTTCCGGATCCCAGGCTCATCTCCACAGAGGAGGACAAGCAGGCAGCACAGACCATGGTGCCCCCCTATCAGTCCCTTTCTCCAGATGGCACATCCTCTGGCAGAAGCTCATGTTCACAGGTGAGGAGAGAACTTCCTTGAAGAGGAAATGAGAAGGCACAGGGACTGGCTTGGGTCTCCTGGGGAAAATGGGGCTCCTGGGGAAAGAGGACTTAGAGCTTCTACTGCTGCCTTAACAGAAAAGAGGACACCAGAAGGGACAGGATTAAAACAGGAAAATCACATTGAACTGAAATTTATGGTAAGAAGCAAACAAATCTCAAGTGTTCTCTATTCCCGGTTAATCATCACTGGCCACTACATTTTGAAAAATGATCATAATAACTATATCAGATAACACTTCATATAAAAACATAGTGAGGGTATAAGGCATTGTCATCAGCCACCAACTTCAGAAATTGGGAAATAAATCACAGGCCTTGGAGGGCTCTGGGAATGCTCACAAACTCATTCACAAGAGTCCACAGCATGTCCCAGGCACTGCGGTACAACCAAGATCATACAAGTCCCTGCCCTCATGAACCTGATGCTGTTATGGGGAGGGGAGCGAGACACGCAAGGATATCTAGAATGTGAGGTCAGGTGTTGACAAGAGCCCTGGAGAAAACTGAGCAGGGAAAAGTGAGAAAGGGAAGACCCAGAATCTCTAGTGGAGGTGTCAAGAAAGGGCTCTTTCAAGGATGCCCTGATGTGAGCAGGATATGAGGTCAGTGGAAAGGGAACCATGCAGACCCCTGGGGAAGAGGATTCCACACAGGGAAATGCCAAGTTCAGAGGTGTTGAAGGAATGGGGGTCATGCTGCTGACCTTGACCCAGCAGGACACACACACACACACACACACACACACACACACACACACACACACACACACACACATTCTCTCTCTCTCCAAGGCTCATGGGTGAAGAGAACCTCTAAGGACAAAGGGCCCCAACTTTCCATCCCAATACATAGGTTTTGATATTGACTGATGCTCCCTCCCCATCCTAGCCTCACTTTTAACCTTCTGGAACCCACCCACCACTGCCAGAGTCACTACTGAAGCCATGCCATTCAATGCCACAGAGGAGGAGGAGGAGGAGTTTTTTCTACTTGCCCACAATCTGCCCCTGAAAGTGATGGGCTACAATTGGCACAAAGGAAGAAGTGTGGATCTCTACTATTGAATTTTAGGATATGCAACAGGCATTCAAAGATCTAGCTCAGGACCTGCATACAGTAGTCAGGAGGTAATATTTGCCAATGCATCCCTGCTGACCCGGAAAGTCACCCAGGATGACACAGGATTCTATACCCTACAAATCATAAAGACAGATTTTACCATTGAAGAAGCAACTGGATATTTCCGTGTACACCGTGAGGAATTCATGACCTCTGGGTGTTGGGGGTCAGTTCTACTTCACGCACCCACAGGATTGTTAGGCCTGGGCTGTGCCTGTGTCCCCCTCTGCATTATGTCCCATTTTAGTGTTTGGGCATTCAGTGCAGGACACACACAGGGTAGACAAATTTCAATGGATCAGAATTCATTTCCTGCATCCATACTCTGAAGACACGTGCTGCAGAGAAAGGACAATCTGATGGGGGAAACTCAGCAGGAGGAGATCAGTCTCAGCCCATCACCCTGTGCACTTCCCATGAACATGATTCGGAAAAAGACCCTGGAGAACTACATCAGGGCCCGGTTTGAGGGGTCCCCTGGGATCCTTATAGAGAAGCTCAGTCCTAGAAGCCTAGAAGCCCTGGCCCCAGAACCCAGTCCTCAGATCCTGAATCCAAGTGACCCTGGAAAACCTGTGCCAGGGCTGGGTTGTGGCCTCCTGAGCAGGACTGACTGGGAGCAAGTATTGACCAGCTGTATGATGGATGTGGCTCTGGAGCTGCTCCCAGGCAGGGTTCAGCCCCAAGAGCCTCATCTGGTCAAAGACAGAGCCTTCTCTTTCACCTGAGACTCAGAGTGAACAGATGGACAAGCTTCTTAGGCTATCAGCCAACTGCCCTGGGAGGCTTAGGAGACCCCATAGAAAGTTCAGTGTCCCCTGGGACAGAAATAGAAGAGACAAGATGTTCCCGGCAGCAACTTGTCCACAGGGATCAGGTCTGAGGGTGCTCACTCATGAAGGCAAATAATAAACACTGTTTGTGTGAACACCTCCTCTATGCCAAGCGTTAGGTCAGGTGACTGTGAATAATTTAAAGTTCATTCAGAGTCAACACGACAAGTCACAGACCATTTACCATTTAGCTTATATGATTGAGAGGAAACTGAGCCACAGGGAGACACAGTCACTGAACCAGGGTCACACAAACATGAGGGGCAGATCAGAGTCACACGAGGTCTTTCTGTAACCACACCTCCATCCTCTCCTCCATGAGAAGTGAGGTCTTATTAAGTTCTAAGGAGCCCATGGTCATCTGTCGGCTCAAATCCTTTCTTCTTAGGCATCCAAACCTCAGAGGAGTGAGAGCAAATGGACTACTGATTCGTTTGTACTCCAGAACTAAATCACCTGCCTCAACTGTCAGAGCCAGTAGGAGGAATGTCCAGACCTTTCCCTCAGATCCTAATCCTCCTCATGGAACCTGAAATCCTGTGTTTTCCAAAGAGTCAGTATCATTCCCATGAAAGAATAAAGGAGAGGACTTGGCTTTCTCTCCCCATTCACACTAACACAGGCTCAGTGTGAGATACACACTCTGTAGTTCTCACATGAGGGAAGGAGCCATTGAATGAAGGAATGAATGATTCATAACCTCTTTAGGGACCGGATCCTGGATGCAGAATCCTAGAGGTTTCTGGCCACACCTGTTCCCTATCACTTGGGTGCTGAGACCCATGTTCCTTCCCTCTTACTCCCTGTCCCTAAAGCTACCTCGTCTCATGTGACTCCAGGGTTCCTAGGCCATGGGAGGGCTTTCAGGGATCCCTGGTACTGAACTGAGACCCTGGGGGCCCCTGGTCACTGGGGTCACTGCTCCCTGCCATGGGTGTCTCTGGCTCCCTCTGCTCCTCTGTGTCCCTCATCTTCTGCCCCCGGCTCCACCT